>NT_187660.1:3688492-3990297 GCF_000001405.40 Homo sapiens | reverse complement strand
ACCGGGTATTCTGCTAATTCTCACATCAACCCTGTGAGCCAGGGATTACATTATATCCATTATAGAGCAGCACTTCTCAAATTTTGCTGTGTGTAAGCATCTCTGGCGATACAGTTGAAATGTGGGTTCTGGTTCAGTAGGTCTGAGTGGGGCCTGAGAACGTTAATTTCTGATGAGCACCAGCAGATGCCAACACAGCTGGGCAAAAGTACTGTATGAAATCCACGGCGTATCCAGGGGGGTTTTCTTTGATCACACCCTGAGAATTTTCATAAAATAAACACTGTTTAGGAGTTTTAAGAGGAAGAATAGAACTTTGCTTCTGCAAATTATGGCAGTCATGTCAATGTTACAGAATATTCCAGGACAGATCTCCAGAAGAGTGCATCTTGTGAACCGTCAGCTTGCAATGGCCTTGGCTAGAAGTCAGCATAGGGTCTGACTTCATTTTCTTTCTGGATAATGTTTTTGAGGGGGAACACTGGGGACATTATATGTCTGAATTTTCACCGTACCTTTAATTAAAGAGATATCTTTAATTAAAGTAGCTCTGTGAACAGCAAGGAAGTGGATGAGGAAACAGAAATTGGCAGAGTCCATGATTTGTCCAGATTAAACTGCTGTGAGTGACTGTAACAAAAATTCAGAACTTACGTAACTCAAATAGGTATATTTGAGAAATAGGTCGGCACAGGTCAAGATGTGAAAGCCCAATAAAGCTAGGCAGAGACTTGGTAAGATAAAAAAAAAAAAGTGCCTCAAAATGTTCAGTGACAGTAGTGCCCTGATACAGGCAGTACTTAAGGAAAAATCAGTATTTAAGGAAGAGCTGTAAAGGGTCTCCAGGAGTGGGCAAAGTATGTTTTTAATTAAACATTTTATTTTGAGATGATTGTATATTGATCTGCAGTTGTAAGAAATAATAGAGTTCCAGTGTCCCCTTTACCTGTTTTCTCCCAATGGTAGCATTGTGCAAAACTATGGTCCAATATCACAACCAGGACATTAATGTTGATGTAGTCAATATGTAGAACATTTCCATCCCACAAGGTTCCCCAGTGCTGCTCTTTATATCCACAGTCACTTACCCAACCTCATTCTTAACCTCTGGCAACCGTTAATCTGTCTCCATTTCTACAATTTTGTATTGTAATAATGTTATATCAATGGAATCATATAATATGTAATTTGGGGATTTTTTTTTACTTGGAATAATTCCCTGGATATTCATCCAAGTTGTTGTGGTTATCAAGAGTTCATTCCTTTTCCTTACTGAGTAGTATTTCATGGTATGGGCATTCCACAGTTTGTTTAGTCATTCACTCCTTGAGGGTTCTGGATCATTTCTGGTTCCAGGCTATTATGAAGAAAGCTGCTATGAACATCCTTATAAAGGTGTTTGGGTGAATGTTAAGACTCCATTTCTCTAGGATAAGTGCTCAGGAATCCAGTTGCTGGGTTGCATGGTAGTTTTATGTTTAGTTTTAGGAGAAACTGCTTTCCAGAGTGGCTGTGTCATTTTCGTTCCCACAAACAGCATGTGAGTGATCTGTTTCTCTGCGTCCTTGTCAACTATTGGTGTTGTCACTGTTTTTTATTTTTGCTGTTCTGATAGATGTGTAATGATAACTCATTGTGTTTTAATTTGCATTTCCTTGATGGCTAAGGTTGTTGAACATTTTTATGTGCTTATTTGTCATATATACCTTCTCTTCAGTGAAATGTCTCTTTGTGGTTTTTTTGCCAATTTTCTAATGGATTTAACTGTTGAGTTTTGAGAATTCTTTATATATTCTAGATAGTAGTCCTTTGTCAGATACATGGTTTGCAAATATTTTCTCCCAGTCAGTAGCTGGTCTTTTTACTCTCTTTCACAGAACAAAAAGTTCAAGTTTATCAATTTTTACTTTTATGGATCATGCTTTTGGTATGAAGTCTAGTAACGACTTCTTTCCTAACCCTAAATCCCTAAGATTTTCTCGTATGTTTATTTTCAAAAAGTTTTGTAGTCTTATATTTTACATTCAAGTTTGTGATCCATTTTAAGTTAATTTTTACTGTATACAAGGTATGAGACTTAGGTCAAGTCTCTTTCTTTCTTTCTTTCTTTTTTTCTTGTTTTTTGTGCCTATGCCTGTCCCTTGTTCCAGCACCATTTGTTGCCAAGACCATCTTTCCTCTGTCAAGTTGCTTTTTCACCTCTGTCAAAAATCAGTTCCGGGTTCTCTATTCTGTTCCTTCAATCTATATTTCTATTCCTTCACCAGTACTGCAGTCTTCATTACTGTAGTCATATGGTAAACCTTAAAATTGGCTAGATTGATTCTTCCCACTTTATCCTTCTTTTTCAAAATTATTTTAACTATTCTAATTCTTCTACCTCTCCATATAAATATTACAATAACTTTGTCCATATCTATTAAAAATCTTGCTGAATTTTGACAGGAATTGTCTGTCAATTTATACATCAATTTGGGGAGTATTGGCATCATTAGTGTATTGAGTTTTTCAATCTGTGGACACAGTATGTTTCTACATTTATTTAATTAGTAGATTTTTATATCTTTAATGTTTTATGGTGTTCAGCATACAAGTCCTATGCATATTTTGTTAGATTTATAACTATTTTTATTGAATGATTATAAATAGAATTACATTTTTAATGTTAGTGTCCACATGTTCATTGATATTACAGAGAGATACAACTGATTTTTATGTTGACCTTGTGTCATGTGACCTTGCCGTAGTCACTTCTTAGTTCTAAAAGTTTTCAGAGTCCTTGAGGTTTTCTGCATTAGACATCTTGTCATCTGCAAATAAGTTTTACTCCTTTTCTTCTAATATACATGCCATTCATTTCCTTCTCTTACCTGATTGCACTGGCAAGAATATCCAGCACTATGCTGAATAAGAGTGATGAGAGCAGACATCCTTGCTTGTTCCCAATCTTAGGGGAAAACCATTCTTTCACCATTAAATATGATGTTAGCTGTAGGTTTTTTGTGAATGCTCTTTGTTAAGTTGAAAGTATTCTATTCTTATTTCATGAAGGGGATGTTGAATTTTATGAATTTTTTTCCTTCATCAACTGATGTGATCATGTGATTTTTCTTTTTAGTCTGTTAATATGGTGGATTACATTGACTGATTTTTGAAGATCAAACCAGACTTACATTTCTGAAATGAACCCCACTTAATAATGGTATATAATTACTTTTCAATATTGATGAATCCCATCAGTAATATTTTGTTAAAGATTTTTGCATCTATATTCATGAGGGATATTGGTCTATAGTTTTATTTGTTTACATTGGGTTTGTCTGGTTTTGGTATGAGAGTAATTGTGGCTTCGTAGAAGTGTCGGAAAGTGTTTTCATTTCTTCTATTTTCTGGAAGAGACAGTAGAATAGGTGTTAATTCATATTTAAATGTTTGGTAGAATTCTCCAGTGAAACCATCTAGGCCTGGACATTTCTTTGGAGGAGGCTTTTAAATTCTGAATTTAATTTTCCATAGTTGTAGGACTATCCAAATGACCGGTTTCATATTAGATTAATTAAGGTAGTTTGGGCTTCTCAAGGAATTGGTCCATTTCATCTAAGTTGCTAAATTTATATATGTAGAATTGTTCATAATATTACCATATTATCCTTTTGATGCCTCCAGGGCCAATATTCCTTTTTCATTCCAGATATTGATCATTTGTGTCATCTTTTTAAACTTTTTATTTTAAATATATTTTTAAATTATAATAACTTTAAATAATAATTTTTTAAGTTAGGAAAAAATTGTAAAAAGTTTAGAGTTCCCATTTACCTTTCACCGAGTTTTTCCAAATGTTAACACTTTACGAAACCACAGTACTATTATCAAAACCAGAGAATTAACATTGACACAACCGTGTTAACTATTCTACCAACATCATTACAAAAATTTCACTACTTTTCTCACTAATGTCCTCTTTCTGTTCTAGAATCCAATCTAGGTCCTACCCTGCATTTGGTTATTATGTCTCATTAGTCGCTTTTAATCTGCGACAGTTCCTGAGTCTTTCCTTGTCATTACCCTTATACTTTTGAAGAGAACTGGTCAGTTATTTGGTAGAATGACCTTCCATTTGGGTTTGTCTAATATTTTCTCACAACTAGATCAAGGTGAGGCTGTGCACTACAGGGAAGGAGACGGCTGATGTGCTCTGCTTGTTTCTGTGCTGGTGCACATGCTATTGATATGTCTTATACTGGCATGTTGACCTTGGTCCCTTGACTAAGGTGCTATCTGTCAGGTTTCTCTAGTGCAAAGTTACCATTTTTCCATTTGTCATTAGTAAATATCTTGCAGGAGATACTTTGAGACTATGATGCAGGTATCTTTTTCTCATCACACCTTTGAGTTAGAAAGGTTTGGGGGCTCAGAGGAAAATCCTCAAGACATATTCTTACACCACTGAATGATATCAGGTGGCCTGTGATAGTGGCATCTATACAAGGGACAAGGAAAGCAGAAAAAGGCCATTCTCTATGAATATCATGATTTTATGATTGCCCGAATTGGGGAGAAGAGGTGAGGAGTGAGAGATACAGAGAAAGAGATAGAGGAAAAGAGAAAGACTGATTCACAGAGAAAGAGATCTGAAGTTCAGAACTCATTGAGATGGAGAGGGCGAAGTCAAGGGAGAATTCAATTTTTCAGTCTTGACTGACTTGAAGAACAGGTAAGTTTTGCAAGGAAGGCAGGTTTGGTTCTAAGAAATCTGAGGTACCTGTGAGACGTATAAGTGCACATCCCATCAGAGAGCAGGGCAAAGGGTGGAAAAGAGAACAAGACTAGAGAGGGCCACTTGGGAGTCACCCGAACACAGGTGTTATGAATATTTAGTGAGTATAAATCAGTTATCCAACAGAAAGAGCCAAGCCAAGCACAAAGTTGGGAGAATACCCATAGTTTGTTGGAAAAGGAATCAGTGAGACAAACTGAAGTCGTGGGGAGATGAAGGACGATGGTGCCATGTATAAGGAAGAGTTCACAGTGGCAGCATGACCACTGTGTTAACTAAGAGCTAGAAGGTCAGTGATTCCGTCATTAGCAGGGGGTGACTTCTGTGGCTGTGGTTTCAGTCAGGTGGTAGGGATGGAATCCAGATGTAGGCAGGGGATAGGAGAGTGCAGAGAACGCAGTAAGTGATGAAGAAAGAAGTGGACAGCAATTATTGTGAGCGGTTCAACGGGGAATTTTCTTTGTTAACAATGCAGAGGGAAACATAACTGTAACGTCACTTCCACTAACAGCGCAGTCAGACAGATTCGATTGCTAAAGAAGACTCACAGGGCCCAGAAGGACAGTGCTCACAAGTCTGTGGTTTATTGACAAGAAGGGATGTGATAGAGCAACAAGCATGAAGGCAAGGACCTGCCTTGCATCCAAAGGCTGCCTCACAGCAAGCAGTGTGGACACACTGAGGCCGATACGGGCTGCCTCCAATGGTCTTCCCTCTGCAGGCCTGAGCCAGATGTGTTTTCTCTCTCAGAACCACATACCCATGCAAGGAAGGAACACCTCAGATCCAAGCAGCCCAGTGGAGTCACAGTGGGGCTTTTTGCAGCCTTCTGGTCACATAAGCATATTATTGCTACATGAGCAGCTCTAACATCAGAGCCCCCTCCCCAAACACGTGCAAAACATCAGTCTCACAGTCATCCATAAACAATGAGGACAAACAGGCAGAACCTACCCTGAAACTCACCTCGGACCCAAGGGTAAAAACAACAGTATTGGCTGAGCGTGATGGCTCACGCCAGTAATCCCAGCACTTTGGGAGGCCGAGGCGGGCGGATCACGAGGTCAGGAGATTGAGACCATCCTGGCTAACACGGTGAAACCCCATCTCTACTAAAACTACAAAAAATTAGCCGGGCGTGGTGGCGGGCGCCTGTAGTCCCAGCTACTCGGGAGGCTGAGGCAGGAGAATGGCATGAACTCAGGAGGTGGAGCTTGCAGTGAGCTGAGATCGCACCACTGCACTCCAGCCTGGGTGGCAAAGCGAGACTCCATCTCAAAAAAAAAAAAAAAAGTATTAATCACTGCCTTTCATAGTTTGATGCAGAATGTCTCGTACTTCAGCAAAGCAGCTCAGGCCAATTTCAGACCTGCTGGAATTAACCCTCCTAGCACATCCCTCTACGAATGTTATCTCAGTAAGTCCTTATTACCATCCTGTTAAATAGGTGCCATTACTCTTATTTTTAAGAAGGGCAATGTGATGCTCAGAAAGAGTAAGTACACTGCCAAAGCAACACACCAGGAGAAGGGAGGCGGGAACTGATTCTGTGGGACAGGAGGGCAGATGCCTTCACAACAAGAGGCCCCCGGGTGTGTTTGAAACAAGTTGGGAGTAAAAAGGATTAGAGAGGAGGAGCTTGCAGGTATGAGAGCAGCAAAGGGATAACTGTGAAAGGCGGGTCTCCTGAGAAATGAGAACAAATGTGCTCCTGAGACTGCTTAAGAAGAAAGAGAGAAGATGAAGCTATTAGCAGAGGCTGGGGCCCAGGCCTCGGTAGCCTTTAGATGAGTGGTTCTCCACCCCAGAGGGCTGGTGCAAACACAGCTTGCTGGGCAGTGCCCCCACTTCCAACTCAGCAGGTCTAGGTGGAGCCTGGGAACTTGCATTTTTAACAAATCTCCAACAATGCTGATGTTGTGGGCCAGGGGCCTCACTTTGAGAACCACTGTTCAGGCTTGTCAGTGCCACATGGGTTGGGTCAACTGGAAGGAGAAGAGCTGGGGTGGAGGGATGACTCTCTGGGACCCCTCTTGCCGGTCTCTTTGCAGAAGTATCAACAGGTCATGATACCAGGGGAGGAACATAAATAAAAGGGACCAAGTTGGATAAATGCCAGGGTATTAGAGTAAAATGTGTTTCAGCTGCTTAGCTTTGATGTGAAAATTTGAACAAATAACCAGAGAATAAGGGACTGTTTCCATTCCTAGTTTGAAAAAAATTATATTTAATAAAAGATGGAATTGTCACTAGCATAATTTTAACGATTTTGAAATAGAAAATATCCTTGGAGGGGAGGGAAGGGTTAGGAAAGAATGTGTGTAGTTGGAGGAAGGAACAATGCTTGGCTGCTGTCCTGGTGGGAGTCAGTGAAGCTGCCTGATGAGCAGTAGCAGGACCATGGGCTCGATTATCAGGGAATGACTTTTTAGATGGCGGAGATGCCTCTGGGGCTTCAGGAGCTGTGGAGATAAGGTGACCAGTGTCTTCAAGCTGGGATAAAGCATTGTTCACATCTCAGCACATTTCGAGAAGTGGCACAATGCTAACACAGAGCATTGGCTTTGCTGTTCAGGTTGCAGGTGACTGGTTGTGTGACCCTGGGCAGGTTGTCTCACTCCTCTGGGCTCAGGACAGGTGGTCTTTAAGCAGGTGTGCATGCTAGCTAGCCCCTGCAGCGCGGGGTTGTTGTGAAAATGTAATGATAGAGAATATGGCGCATGCCTGGTACGAGGAGACACTCAGAAATGTCCTCTTCTGCTTCAAGGTCAGGTAGAAGAATCTTTTCAATTTCACCTCCTGAACCCCAAGTAGCTCTAAGTCTCATTCTTCTGAAACCCTTGTCTTCTGTGGCCCCTGAGCCTAAAACCACAGACGCTGGGTCTTTGTGGCCCCCTGGAGGCCAGGCTTCAGGAGGACCCTGGTCACAACCCGAATGGGATAGCAGCCTAGCAAGATTCAGCAGACAGCATGCGAGTAAACAGATTAACAGGGTGATTGCTAACGCCACAGAAAGTAATGTGGGTGAGTGAGTGAAAGCAAAGGTTGAGAAACATCATTCATAAAGGGCAGCCAAGGAGGGCCTTTCTAAGGAGGTAGCAGCATTAAACCTGAGGGTGAGGAGGGGCCGCCTGGGGAAGGAGGCAGGTAGAGGGGAGGAGTCCACTCGGGAAATCCCAGGTCACCTGGACATGTCACTGGGCCCTGGGATTGGTGTGCAGGTCAAATGCAATGTTGGTTGTGCTTAGGCAATTGAAAACAAGTAGAAGCTAAAAAAGGGATGATTTATCTTGGTTCTGAGAAGTTGGGTTAACAGTGAGGTCAGGAAGCAGAGGTGAGCAGCCAGCACCCTCTTTCTCTTGGGAAACTTGAACACATTTTAGAATTATAGTTCCCCCAGGGAAGAAGTTAGCAGAGGCCACCCCACACCCAGGACAGGTGACAGAGCAGCAGTCTCCTCTCCCTGACCTTGATGCCTGGGCACAAAGGCAGCTTTTGCTGAGCAACAAGATGCTTGGACTCCCCACTCCTCCTCTATTTTCCTCTCCTGGCTGCATTTGCCCTGAAAGGCTGCAGACACCTGGCCCCAGGCCCTCCAAGTGGGCACCCACCCCCATCTGGGTGACAGAGGCTGCTACTCATGGGAACTCCCCTAACTCCCTCTGAGTCCCTCTGAGTCATCTGGGTGGTGGACCAGCAGCCGTTGGGTCTGACCTCTCACCAGGACGCGTGCCTCTGAGCACTGGGACACAGGCCCTTTGAGGTCTCTCTGGAGCTGAAGGGCCGGCTCGCACACTGGGATGGAGTGGAATATGTGTGATATGTTGGTGAGGGATGCAGGCAGGTGTGGGAGGAAGTGGAGCAGGCACAGTCCATGGAGGACACGGGGCCCGGGTGCAGAGGCACACAGGCATCATCTAGATGGTGAGAAGGCGATGGGCCCAGATTCTGCCCTAGTGCAGGGAAGGCACCAAGATTTCAGATCAGAGGGAACTGCAGGAGAGCTGCAGAGACCCTCTCCCTTCAGCAGATTTAGGTGCTGCCTGTGACTTGCCAGACTGGCAGTCCCCAGCATGCTGCCAGCAGGCACGCTCAAAATGCGCTTCTGGCCTGAGCCCTTGCTGGCCTCAACACGCCAGCGGCTGCCCCTCTGTGGAGAGGAGTTCTCTGTAATGGTGCTGCAGGGACAGCCCATTCTGCCTGTCCACCCCCAGCCCCTTGTGCCCCCCTCAACCCTGTGCCCTGTCACTCACACCCGCAGCTACACCAAATCCTTCCCCAACCCCCTGCACAGGGGACTCCTTCGTGTGCAGGCCACCCACCCCCAACCCGTGTCTGCACTGGAGGTTCTCTGCGGAGAATTCTCCTCCGTGGGGCAGTAGAAGGACAGGCCTGTGTGTGCCTGAGCCCCTCTTCCTCAGGTGTGTGTGAGAGAATTTACCTGAGAGAAGTTAGCAATGCCTGCCTAGTGAAGGCCTGGCACAGAATAGGCCCTCAGCAAACACCAGAGACCTCTGCCCTCCTTACCCTTCTGGGAACTCTTATTTAGAGTTTAAGGCCCAAGCCAAGTATCTCCTTCTCTCTGAAGAGTTCCCTTTCCCCGGAGGCAGATGACAAGGCAAGCCGTGACTTCCCTTGGACGGGGGCTGCTCTGCATCTCAGGCGTTCACCAGGGAGCGGGCTGAGCTGCGGGTGTCGGTCTCCAGGTCTGTCTCCTGTTTCAGATTACAGGGCTCTTGACGGCAAAACCACTCAACTTTATTTCTGCCTCGTGGCCTACACCTCCTAGCATAGTAAGTGCTCATTAAAATGTTGCTGGTTTGTGCAGGATCTGGATTTTATGCAAATGAATAATAAACTAAAGTTTTGCTAGCTGACTACAGTGAAATATCAATCACTTCATGTCTGTTTGGATGACTGTTACCCACAAGAGAAGAGATACGTGTTGGTGAAAGTGTGGAGAAAAGAGAACACTAGTACAGTGTTGGTGGGTATGTAAATTAGTGCAGCCATTACGGAAAAAGTGTGGCAGTTCCTCAGTAAAATAAAACTAGAACTACCATGTAATCCAGCCATCCCACTGCTGGTATATAGTCAAAGGAAATGAAATCAGTACATCAAAGAGTTACCTGCACTCCTATGTTCACTGCAGCACTATCCACAATAGCCAAGACATGGAACCACCCTGTGCTCATCCAAAGATGAATGGATAAAGAAAATGTAAAACATGGCCGGGGCGGTGGCTCACGCCTGTAATCCCAGCACTTTGGGAGGCCGAGGTGGGCGGATCGCAAGGTCAGGGGATCGAGACCATCCTGGCTAACACGGTGAAACCCCGTCTCTACTAAAAATACAAAAAATTAGCCAGGCGTGGTGGTGGGTGCCTGTAGTCCCAGCTACTCAGGAGGCTGAGGCAGGAGAATGACGTGAACCCAGCAGGCGGAGCTTGCAGTGAGCCGAGATCGCGCCACTGCACTCCAACCTGGGCGACAGAGCAAGACTCTGTCTCAAAAAAAAAAAAGAAAATGTAAAACGTGGTATAAATACACAATGGATAATATTCAGTGATAAAAAGAATGAAATCCTGTCACGTACGGCAAGAATGAACCTGGAGGGCATCATGTTAAGTGAAATAAGCCAGGCACAGAAAGACAAATACTGCATGATCTCACTTATGTGTGGAATCCGAAAAAGGTGAACTCACGGAAGCAGAGAGCAGAATGGTGTTGGCCAGGTGCTGGGGGAGGTGGGGTGGGTTGAGATGTTGGTCAAAGGATACAAATTTCATTTAGGCAGGATAAATAAGTTCAAGGGATATATGGGGACTATTATAACATGGTAACTATTGTAACGATGTATCCTTAAAAATTCTTGAAACTTGCTGAGAGTAGATAATAATAAAGTAAACTGGTGTTACAAAAAGTTTTTTGGTTGAATGATGAGCAAAGGTTTCCCGGGGGAAGGGGGCTTGAGGGGATCTGGGCTTGTGAAGGGTGGAGGGGTGTTATGACAGGGAGAGGGAGAACTGAATGAAAGAAGACAGCAAAACCTAGGTAGGAGTGGGGGACAAGGAGAGCGGTAAGAGCCCAGGATCCAGGTAGCCTGAGGGAGGAGGCCCCCAGCCGAGGGATGCCAGAGAGCATGCCAGTGCCTATTGACCCTTCACACACCTGCGCTGCGTGGGCCCCCTCCACTGGCTCTGTGAGGGCAGTGTCCTGGCTTCTGAGCGCCACTCTGGGGTCACTAAGGTCACATGGCACCCTGCTGGGTAGCTGCTGCTCATTTTGTACCTGCTGTTTCCCAGCAGTCAGTCCTGGAAGCATCTCTGGTCCTGTAGTCCTGCCTTCATCTTGAGCCCTTCTCAGTGCCTTGTATTTTTACTTTACAATAGTGTCAGCTTAGAGCAGTGAATCCTTCGGGTCCCTGGAGCATCTTCAGAGGTCCCTTTTCATCTTCACCAGGACCTTTGGAACAGCCCAAGTCCCGTGGTGATGCAGGGACAAAGCAGCTGTGGTGGCTTTTTAGACCATAGGCAAGTAGGGGACATGACTAGTACTGATCCCAGACCTGGGGAAGCCCGGCTGATGGGTTTCCCGTGTGTGCTGGCCTTCAGTGACACCAAGGGGCTGGATGGAGAGGAGGATTCAGCTAGAACAGCCTCTTTGGGCTTTCACTTGCACCTTACAGACCTGGGTCTCTGCTCTCACCTGGAGCGCCCCAGACACGCGGTGTGTCCACAGCGTTAGCACACTCCCTGGGCCCGCTGTCAGCCCTGGGGGCTTTGAGAAGGGTGTGTCTGCCTGGCATCACCACATCCAATCCAGCCACATTCTGCATTTCAGAGCCAGAATACAGGTCTAAAATGCCTGTTTTGTTTTAGAAACTACTGTTCTCCCCAGGATTAAAATGTGCAGGAAGCATTCATCCCACCCTTAGTTTAGCTGATAGCCTTACCCCCCTCCCTTTTGTTTTGTTGTGGATCTGAACTTATTTTACCCAATGGCTATTTTCTTGCATTTCCCTCTAGAGGTATTGGCATTTCGAGAAGCACTTCAGCCTTCCAGATCTTTACATAATTCATTACGGACATATTTTGGACTTACAGTATCTTAGAGTACAAAAAAAAGAGACTCTCCTCTTTATTTCCAGAAGTTGTTACAGACTTCTCCTGAATTTAAATTTCCTGAAAATTTTTCCTGGACATGCTGTAAGTTTTTATTCCATTAGGGAACCATAAACAAAACCACTTACCAGCAGGCCTGAGGCAGAGATGAACACCTGGCCTGAGCATCTCTCCTGCACCTTCCTGAGAGACAGACCGAGTGATCACTGTGTGAATTAAAGCCCATTTCCTAGAAACTCACTCTTCTCTTGAAGCTTTTAGGAAGACTAAGAGATAAAGCCATCCACCAAGAGATAAAGCCAGGAAAAGTGTCTGTCCCAGTGCAAGTCTGTGAGGGTTGTTAGTGGTGGGGATGGGCATCCTTCATTCTTTCAGCCAGGGGACTGCACGTCCGTGGAGTGAACACCCCAGAGGTGGGCAGGGGACCAAGTCCAGCATGGGAGACAGGACCCCTGGGTCAAAGGCTGTTCTTAGGTAAGCTTCGTGACAAACATGGCATTTGAGCTGGGTCTTGAGTGGAGCCAGGAGAGAACAGGAATTTTGAAAATTCCTGAGGGAAAAAATGTGAACAAAGAAAGGGACCCAGGAAGTAGTTTATTGTTAACTATCATTTTCCTACTATGGTATCAAATACAAGAATGAATTTCTTCTATCCAACTGCATGTTGGTGCCCATTAGTCAACTTCTCTTCCTCCCCACTTCCCTTCCCAGCCCCTGGTAAACACTGTTCTACTCTCTACCTCTTTGAGACCCACTTTTTTTTGCTCCCACATTTGAGTAAGAACATGTGATATTTGTCTCTCTGTGCCTTGCTTATTTCACTTAACATGATGATATCCAGTTCCATCCATGATGCTGCAAATGACGGGATTCCATTATTTTTATGGTTGAGTAATATTCCGTTCTGTATATATTCCACACTTTCTTTATCCATTCATCCATTGATGGACACTTAGGTTGATTCCACGTTTCAGCTATTGCAGACAGTGCTACAATAAACATGGGAGTGCAGATATTTCTTCAATATACTGATTTCCTTTCCTTTTAATATATACTCAGCCGTGGGATTCCTGGATATGTGGTCCTTCTATTTTTAGTTTCTTGAGGAACCTCCATACTGTTTTCCATAATGATGGTACTAATTTACATTCCCTTTCTCCACATCCTTACCAGCATCTGTTATTTTTTGTCTTTTTTATAAAAGCCAATTCTAACTAGAGTGAGATGATATCTCATTGTGGTTTTAATTTGCATTTCCCTGGTGATTAGTGATATTGAGCATTTTTTCATTTGCCTGTTTTCTGTTTGTATGTCTTCTTTTGAGAAACATCTATTCAGGTCATTTGCTGATTTTCTAATCAGATTATTTGTTTTTTTGCTATTGAGTTGTTTGAGCTCCTTATATAATCTGGTTATTAATCCCTTGTCAGATGGAAGTTTGCAGATATTTTCCCCCTTTCTCTGGGTTGTCTCTTCACTTAGTTGTTTTGCTTCCTGTGCAGAAGCTTTTTAGCTTGATATAAACCCATTTTTCTATTGTTGCCTTTTTGAGATCTTATGCAAAAATCTTTGCCCAAACCAATGTCCTGAAGTGTTTCCCCAATGTTTTCTTCTGGTAGTTCCATAATTTTAGGTCTTATATTTAAGCCTTTAATCCATTTTAGAGTTGATTTCTGTATATGATGAGATGAGGGTCTAGTTTCATTCTTCTGCATATGGATATTTGGTTTTCTCAGCACCATTTATTAAAGAGACTGTGTTTTCCCTGGTGTGTGTTCTTGCCACCTTTGTTGAAACTGAGTTGGCTGTTAAGTGTGTGGATTTATTTGTGGGTTCTCTGTTCTGTTCCATTGGTTGATGTGTCTGTTTCTATGCCAGTACCATGCTCTTTTGGTTACTATAGATTGGTAGTATCATTTGAAAACACAACCATGATGCCTTTAGCTTTGTTCTTTTTGCTCAGGATCACTTCGGCTGTTCAAGGTCTTTTGTGGTTTCATATGAATTTCAGGCTTTTTTCTGTTTCTGTGAAGAATGTCATTGGTATTTTGATGGGAATTGCATTGAATCTGTAAATCACTTTGGTTAATATAGACATTTTAACAATATTAATTCTTCTAATCCATGAGCATGGGATATCTTTCCATTTTTTCAGGTTCTTCCTGTTGAGTTACAGGGGTTCTGTATATGTTATGGATATTAATCCCTTATCAGATATATGATTTGCAAATATTTTCTGTCATTCTGTTGGTTGCCTTTTCACTTTGTTGATAATGTCCTTTGGTACACAAAAGTTTTTAATTTTGATGAAGTCCGTTTTATCTATTTTTCCTTTTGTTGCCTGTTCTTTTGGTGGTGTCATACCCAAGAAATACTTGTCAAATCCAGTTTCATAAAGCTTTTCCTCTGTATTTTCCTGTATGAGTTTTATAGGTTTAGCTCTTACATTTAGGTCTTTGATCCATTTTTAGTTAATTTTTGCATACAATGTTAGGTAAGAGTCTAACTTCATTATTTTGCATGTGGATATGCGGTTTTCCCAGCACCATTTATTGGAAAGATTGTTCTTTCCACATGGAATGGTCTTGTGGAAAACCTTTGGCCATTTATGCGAGGCCATGTGTGGCACCCTTGTGGAAAACGATTTAACCATGTATTTGAGGATTTATTTCTGGTCTACCTTGTGTGGACTATAAATCTGTCTTTATGCCCACACCACATGCTTTGATTACCATAGATTCATAGTATGTTTTGAAATCAAGATGTGTGAGACTTCCAACTTTATTCTTCTTTTTCAAGATTGTCTTGGCTATTGATTCTGTTCTTTTGCATTAGAAGTCAGAAAATTTATTGCCTACAAAATCATTTTGAAAGTACTACTCAAGCCTTCTAGTAAAATTAAAAATTAATAAAGGACCAATGAGAGATATGCAAATTATTCGTGATCAGTTAGCAAACACCAAAACACAGTTGTGTTACAAGTAATAATATAGAACTGAAGCTTAAAGTAGTTGTTAAGAATTATGATTCCTAAGAAAGTAGAACACAAAAATCAAAAGCAATTTCAAATCAACATTTTAAATGATTTCAACAAAATATAGCAGGTATCAGAGGAAGAGATGGGAATTAGATTGAACTAGGGACCTTATCCTATGTGGAAATTAGAGGTTGTATATGTTATTTGACTGAGTAAAAATTAAATTTTATGTATAAGTTATTAGATAAAATAAATGGCCTCAAAAGGTAAAAATATACAGACATCTGCTGACCTAGGGGATGCCCAGTCGAGATGGGGTGTACCTGGTTCCACTGTGTGGAACATGAACAGCCCCCTCACTTTGAGGTTCCCTGCAGATCACACCCCCAGAACTTCTCTCCCAGAATCTCAGAAGTCAGAGTTCAGTGTTTGAGCCCCGCTGAGAAGCACAGTCCCCTCCCCTGGCACATCAGCTTCTAGGGGCTCTGAGCCCACCCTCACGTCTGTTAAGTCCACACGGATGAGACTTTTCCCATTGATCCTCATCTGTCTCCTGATGGGACATTCATTTGAAAATTAAAGGGTGGGATCGTGTGTTGGGAGTGGGATTCAGGGCTGTGGGATTCACCAGCCAATTTCAAATGCATGTTAAATATTTAAAATCATTTAAAAATTTGAAACATTAATATTTAATTTTTAAACTATAAAAAATTAATCCTAAAATTGAAATTGTTAATTCTCACTTCCCATGAAGTGTGAACATTCTCTTTTATTCTCACTGTCTTTTCCAGTGTTCTCAGGCGCTGTGGTCTCACCTTCCACTGGGGCAACAATGGGCCATTTCCAGCAGGGACGGCGCAGTGTTGGCCTGCATGCCTGACTGCCACACACCTCCAGAATCAGGTGTCTGAAAAGTAAGTCCTGTGTTCGTGGGGTCTTAGTGGCAGGCCAAAGGGGCAAGTGCAGTCACCGCCTCTGACAATAGAGCTGGTAGTGGTTCTGTGGACTCCCTGGAAATCAGATCTAAAGCCCAGATAAAGTGTAAGGTTCATTGAGAAAGAGTCATGAAATGTATTTCATACTGCATTAGAATTTGAGATTGGAATAATAGGCATTATTCTTTAAAAGGAAAAAAAAAACAACTGTAGTGATTGACAAGTGACTTGATTTATACCAGTGCAAAATTTGTCATCTGTTGCAACCATTATTGATTTTTTAAATATTATAAGCAAAAGAAAAATAGTGCCATTATCTTAACACACTAATTATTTTTACTTTTACTGTTTCCTGTTACTTCTTATCCAATAATACAATTTTAATCTGACTGAGAGCATAACCATTCTTTTGCTTTATGACTCTTGGAACAAAATTTTTATATACCTTCTTGCCTACTTTTTATTTTATAAGCTTTAATTCTACAGCAAACTTGAAGGAATAGAAAAGTGAACACCCGTAATTCTTCACCCAGATTTACCAATTGTTTATACACAAACAGACACACACAGGTGGTAAATATGTGTTTGTGTGTGTTTGATTCTTTTTGTCTGAATCATTTGAAAGTAAGTTGCTGACATCATGAGACACTCTGGCATCATCTCCTAAGTACACAGCTACCTTCTACAAAAGTATAGCACTATTACCACTGTGAAATATAATATCGATAAAGTGATATTATCCAAATATGTTGTCCCTACCCAGATACCCCTGATTGTCCCCCAAATATTCATCATAGCTGTTTTTCCCTGCCTAGTGTTCAATTAAGTATCACTCACTGAATTCAGTTATGCCTCTTTTTATCTGAACTAAAGGCCTGCTTTCGTTTTTCTCTTTCGTGATGTTGACGTCTTTGAAGAGTCTGAGCCACTTGTTTTATGGAGTGCTGCACAATCTGGACCTGTCTGATTATTTCCTCATACTTAGATTCAGATAGACATTTCCTCCATTTGTCTTTCCAGCACATCAGTGGGCACACCGTGGCTCATGGTGATAAGTTTGTTCACTGGGCTAAGGTCATTTCTACAAGAGTTCTCTTTATAAAGTTACTTTTTTTTTTTTTTTTGAGATGGAGTCTCGCTCTGTCGCCAGGCTGGAGTGCAGTGGCACGATCTCGGCTCACTGCAACCTCCACCTACCGGATTCAAGCAATTCTCCTGTCTCAGCCTCCCGAGTAGCTGGGACTACAGGCGCCCGTCACCACGCCCAGCTAATTTTTGTATTTTTAGTAGAGATGAGATTTCACCATGTTGGCTAGGATGGTCTCAATCTCTTGACCTCAGGTGATCCACCTGCCTTGACCTCTAAAAGTGCTGCGATTACAGGTGTGAGCCACCACGTCCAGCCTGTAAAGTCACTTTTTACATTCTTTGTCTTTTACTAGTAAGCAATGGGGCAAACTTTGAAGCCCTGTGAACATTCTCTTCCCTGGCTGATTTTCATCCAGTGATCTTAGCATCCCTTGATGGTTGTTATTATAATTTTTAACCCATTAGTTTATTGGGACCTCAGACTTTCTTTGTCACATAGTCCTTCATGTTTCACATTTTCTGTGGTTGTGGGGTCATCACACAAGGGAGCATATACTGAGGTGGTCAAGAGGAGGACTCTGAAGTTAGACCATTCAGATAGGCATCTAGGTATGCATCTTGTCTCTGTCATACAACAGCCAGGTGACTGCGAGCAAACATTTCTCCTCACAAACCTTCAGTGTCCTTATAATTACAATTAGGAGACTGGGAGTGACCATCGCAGGAGGCATATGGTAGAGGGTACAGCCTGTGGCTGGCCTTGCTAAGCAGTAGCTGTTAATTATTATCAGACACAAGACACATGGGCGAGAGCCACTGGATGCTGCTTTTATTCCTGAGATCTCTTATAAGACCTTTAGCAAAAATGCTAATAAATCTGAGTGACAGAGCAGAGGCCCCACGCTCTGTGTCCCTGCAGTTAAAAGGTTGCATAGGGAATGAAACCACTATGGCAGGAAGTATTCATCAGCGAACACTGTCCCGATGTGCACTCCCCCATCGGCTTCCTCCTCCTGCTCTCGGTCAGCCTTAACTGCCTCCCCTCGCTAGGCCTGAACCTCCCTAGTCTGTTGTCGGTTTGCCTTTCAGTCAGTAACCAATTGGGCTTTTATTTGAAGATTATGTGTGGTTTTTTTTTTTTCTATTTAAATCAAGTCCTTTTAGTTTTATTGGCATCCCATTGCCACAGAATGCATCTTCCTTGAGAATGTTTTGAAAATTTTACCAAGAAAACAGTTTGTGAAAATATAGGTTATTTTAGAAGCTACACACGAATATGAATTAGACTGAGTCTTCAAAAACATTGCTGTTGGAAAACATGTTAATATCTTAAAAATACTTCCTCTGAAAAGGTTACTTGCCTCATTTTCTTCCCCACAACTCTTAAAAGCAGATGAGAGCTGGTGCTCACAGAGAAGACCGCTCTGTGTCCTGCATCCAAATGACATGCTTTCTGTTGGCTTCTTGTCGGGCTGAGCTTGAAGGGATGGCCCTGTGGGGTTCCTCTGCTTTCTGGGGCAATATCAACCCAGCCAGCCTGGGGTTTGCCAGGACCGGAGGACTCTTCTGGTGGGCTCCAGCCCCAGGCTTCCCTGAAGCCTTTCCACATCTCCTTTTTCCTTCTTACCAGCTGTTTACATGCCAGGAATCCTTGCTTGTCTCCTCGTCCTCTGGATCTGCTCCTTGGAGATGGGACTGTGTCTTTTCTGCTTTCCCAGGAGCAAACCCAAAGGTTATGGGAGGAGTGAAGTGCAGGTGAAAGCAAACCTCTGGTTCTGCATCAACACCAAGGAAATCACTGAGTTTCACTTGAGTGTGTGGATGGAAATATCAGGGCTGCTTTTTTTCAGTTTCCCAAAGCACATCCTGCAGAATGTCTGTCCACTTGGAAACCTGAGCTCTCTAGTCTTGAGTGAGCTCCACGCTCATGGCCTGTGTGCTGGAGAACCAAATGGAGGTGGCTGGAAGCCAAGGCAAAGCCCCTGCAGAGAGGCCCACTCCCAGGAGGCTTGCAGGTGCTTGGCCACACTCAGGGGAAAAGGACCCCTCCTTCTCCACAGCCCTGGGCCAGGCCTCTCCCTCTTCCTGTTCCCTTCTGCATAGCAGCAGCCTGGCAGTATGTGTTCCCCAGTGTGGATTCAACAGCATCACCAGCCAGGAAACCCTCACACCCAGAACTTGGTTTTGGGTCTTACTCTTCAAAGCCCTGGTGCTGAGCCATGGAAAGAGACACAGTCCCCCGTGAGATGGCATAAGTATAAATTCACAAAAGGCTTGAAGACACACCCTCAGGGCAGTTCTTAAATCCCCTGGGGGCTTGCGATCCACACAGACATTGTGCCCCATAAGTGTGTGAAGGTGGGTCAGCCAGTCAAGAGAAGGCCAGGAACCCAGTGTCTATTCAGCACTTTGCTGAATTCCCTATGTCCATCTTGGTTCTGGTTTACTCCTAGAGCGTGCAAAAGCTCAATTCTCAGGCAAAGTCGTCTGTTGCCATGTTCCAAAGCTTTATTTAACTCATCAGTAAGGGAACCAGCAAAAAGACAAATGATCTGGCTCCACAAGCATTTGGTAACTGGGATCTTTTTTTGAGACGGAGTCTCGCTCTGTCGCCCAGGCTGGAGTGCAGTGGTGCGATCTTGGCTCACTGCAAGCTCCACCTCTCGGGTTCACACCATTTTCCTGCCTCAGCTTCCCGAGTAGCTGGGACTACAGGCGCCCGCCACCACGCCCGGCTAATTTTTTTGTTTTTTGTTTTTTTTTTTTCAGTAGAGACAGGGTTTCACCGTGTTAGCCAGGATAGTCTTGATCTCCTGACGTCATGATCCACCCGCCTTGGTCTCCCAAAGTGCTGGGATGACAGGCGTGAGCCACCGCACCCAGCCAGTAACTGGGATTTTTAAGGTCAGTTGGGAAACAAATGCGGAAATAAGATGCTAAGTTAAGGCAAACCTCTACAAAGCAATGAAAAAAATGCCAAATTTGGAGTTAACTTGTTTACTAGGCAGTAAAAGTCATAAGCTATCAATTCTGCAGGCTAATCTCACAGGGCTGTAAACCTCTTTATTTTAACCAATTGTGAATGATTAGATAAATATTTGTCACACTGCTCAAGAGCTTCAGAATGGGATCAATCAGACTTATTTGCATTCTAGCAGAATATCACAGATTCCAGAAATCATCATTTTTCCCTTTTTCAAGTTTGGAATCAACGTTTCCATAACAATCAGCTAAAATATGGTGATTGACAAGTTGTGAGTGATCACGTAGCACCGGGTGAAGGTGCTGCTTTTTGGCCTGCACAATGCACTTGAGCTCCGGTGTAGATACTGCAAGGCCATGTGTGGGAGGCAGCTTCTGACACAGCTCCCAACCATTCCTGCCTCCTGACATCGCATCTTTGTGTTGTCCCCTGCCCTTGGGTGTGGGCTGGACATGGTGACTTGCTGTTAATAAACAAAATACAGCAGAAGTGACAGATGTCACTTCCAAGACCAGGATACAAACACTGCGACTTCTGTCTTGCTCAGGCTCTCTCTGACTCTTCTCACATGGTTGCTCTGATGAAACAACTCTGATGTTGTGATCTCACCTATGGAAAGGCCCACGTGGCAAAGAACTGAGCTTCTTAGTTCAACAACCCTCAGAAACAATTCTGTGAATGATCACATGAGTAAGCTTGGAAGAGAATGCTTCCTCATTTGAGCCTTCAGACGAGACTGCAGCCTCAACTCACATTTTGGTTGCAGCCTTGTGAGAGACCCTGAGCTAAGGTGCACTCTGACTTCTGCCCCACAGAAATGGTGAGATTATGAATATGTGTTATTTTAAGTCCCTAAATCTGGGAGTTGTCGTTTCACAGCAATAGGTAACTGATGCAGCATCCATGAAATTTATAGTGTTGATTGTTCTTGGATATATGCTTCTCAGCAGAGCTGTGTTTCATCTTTGCCAGCTTCTCCCATCTCCTTTCTCCTGCTTCTCTACTCCCGCTTTCCTATTATTTATTAATCTTCCTTTCTTTATTCCCACTCCATTTGAGTTCCACTTCTCTGCAACTGTAATTGCATCCTTGGCCATTGATTAGGGAGGCTTAACTAGAGGCACCTTATTTGTGGAGACAATGTGCAAGTCAGAAAGATTCCCCATCCTTGGCCAGTAGCAAAATCGTTTTCTTTGTTGAAATCAATTGCTTCCAACTTACTGTGGCTACATCATCCAGGGCTGCAATGCTTCTTATTTGGTCTTGAGCCAATGCTTAGTGTTTGAATGAAATTGGCTTTACCATTCTTTCCTCAGGGGAGTGTGGACAAATAAATTTTCTGCTTAAGAATGCAGTTTCTTTCTGACTCAAACAGCTGATCCTATAAACTTGGACTTCATAGTCATCAGTTTCAATTCAGAACCAACCTTTTAAAAATTATATGTTATTTTGATATAAAAAGTACCAAAAGCAAATCTTCTGAAGGAATAGAACTCCAGACGGTTTTGTTAGGTTTCCAAGGTTATTAATCTAAGAATATGTTGCAAATAAATACATAAATAATGGCCACAATAATCATAATCATACCTATCTTTTTAATTTTTTTATTTCTGTGGGTGTATAGTAGATGTATATATTTATGAGGTACCTATCCTTTTTTTGGTACTTGCTATGTGCCAGGCACTATGCTATGTAATCACCACCACAACCATATTAAAATAGAAACTGCTATCCTCATTTCAAAACTGAGGCAGTGAGAACCAGGGACTACACATAAATTGTCCCCAGGAATTTTTGGAATACCTGCATGGATTTGTATTTATATAAGTGTTTCTAGTGACTAAAAATGAAAACCCAAGAAACTAAAGAAGAAAACAATTACTAGATTATTAGGTCATAAAGTTGACAGGGTATTATAGAAAGCTGGGTGGGTTCTTCAGAATCCACCTATCTCACTGTTATCTATTTTAAAAGTTCAGAGCCATACATGATGACAGATATTTATTTCCTTTATGTTTATTTTTTTATTTTGGAAAATTGTTTATTCTATTTGAAAAGATAGACACTAAAATAAAACACTGAATTTTACCAGTCGCTGACATGTGTAAGTAGTCCACTAATATGGGCCGATAAGAAAGCCCAAAAGCTGAAATTCTCCTGTATTTGTGAAATCTAAATTATTTTTTCTTAATGGAAAGAGCCACTGCCATTGACTATCTTGATTCCACTTACTCTAAGTGGTCTGGAAACTTCCAAGTATAAGCAACCAGCCCACTGGAATTTCTAACCAAATGTCCCTTAGACACCCTTCCCTGTGTCCCTTTTTAACACGCACAGTCACACACAGTTATGCGAATGTGCACATACATTCATACACACATGCGCATGCAAACATGCACATATATTCACACACACTCAACATAAACATGCACACAGAAGTCACAAATACACATACACACTATTAAACACATGCACACTCACATGGACATGCACACACACAGCACATGCATGCACATGCTCACACATGGACACCTAAACATACAGGCACACCTAGTCTATGATCCATTCAGAGTTAATTTTTATATATGGTGTAAGATGTAGATTGAGTTTACTTTACTGAAGTCCATTTGCTCCAGCATCATTTTTTGGAAAAGTCTATCTTTTCTCCATTGGATTGTCTTTGTGCCTTTGTCAAAAATCAGTTGTCTTTTGTTTTAGTAGTAAACGTGTCTATCCTTTACTATCCCAATACTATACTGTCTTGGCCACAGGAGGTTTATAATGCATCTTAAAATCAAGTGTGCGAGTCCTCTAACTTTTTTCTTTTTCAACGTTGTTTTGGCTAATCTAGTTTATCTTTCTATATAGATTTAGAATCAGCTTGTCTGTGCCTACAAAGAAACCTGCTGGAATGTTGACTGGGATTGCACTGAATTTATAGATCAGTGTGACTATACTTGACATCTTAACTGTGGTATATCTTACAATCCATAAAAACAATACATCTCTCTATTTAGGTCAATTTTGGTCTCTTTTGTCTGAATTTTGTGAATTCCTTAGTTAGAATTTTTGACTGTGTCCTGGCTCTGTTGTTCTCCAGGTCTACATGGACCCTGTTCCCTTTTTCTAGCTTTGCACCACTGTCCATACCTCTTCCCCAATTACATGGAGCTCAGCCCTCCACTTTGCAAAATCCCCAGTCCTCTGTGGTTTTCAGATGAGATGTCACTTCCTCAGAGCCTCTCTCACTCTCTCCTCCACTCCAGTCTAGCATGGGTGCCCTTCCCTTGTGCCTGACACCATCTTGTCTCTCATAGCTCTAAGCATCATATAACTGCCTCATTAATTTGCTTTTTAGGCCAGCAGCCCAAATACTCTTAGAAGGTAGAGACCCTGCCTAATTTTAGGTTGTATCCCTAGCACATAACACAGAGCAATGGCCCAGTTAATGGCAGCTGAGTGTAAGAATGGAGCAATGAAAGAGTGAAAGGAACTGAAAAGGGGGAAGTAAACTAGCCTTGAGTGAGGCTCTGCTCTGTGTCAAGCACCATGAAGGTAGGTCAACAGTGGTCAATAGAAATTAGACTGTCAGAGAGAAATTAGACAGTCATTATTAGACAGTGAAACACAGTCAGACAGAAAGGTATAGAGGGAGAAAGGAAAGGAGGGAGGGGGATATATAGACAGACATTCAGGCAGGTTTTGGATAATCAGATAAATACATTCATAGGCATACGGGTAGATATGCACACAAACAAGATAGATTGAAAGACATACAGACAAGGAAAAACATTGAGACTCCAGATGGACAGACAGAAAAACAGAGAGTTTCTAGCATAGAGAGACAGACAGGTGGTCATATAGACAGATATATAGCACAAAGACCTACAGACATACTGACAAATAGACACCCAGAAACATGCATAGGTGGGTGGCTGGGTGGGTGGGTGCATGGATGGATGGATGGATGGAGACAGGTAGAAATAGACAGGATGGCAGAAAGAAAGAAACATGGATAGTTAGACATCTACTTAGCAGACACATGACCAACAGAAGGGGAGACAGAAAATCAGGAAAGAGGAAGGCAGACAGACAATGAGAAAATTAATAAGAAAGATAGATACATACGGACAGGAAAAAATATATATCAAAAGATACATAGGTAGGTAGGTAGGTGGGTGGAACAAGAAAGGGAGAGATAGAATATAGATTGAAGATAGATGATAGGTGGACAGACAGGCAGGCAGACCGATACATATATTTTTATTTAGGTTTATTTAAACTTAACAAATTTCTAAGAAAGATATGGTATCTTCCGCATGTATTGATGGGGAAGTGGATTCACAGGGGTTTAGTGACTTCCTAAAGACCACACTTGAAGAGAATGGCAAAACCTCAACTCAAAACTAGCCCTGCCTTTCCCCGGGGTTTGTGCCAGCACAGCCTGCATGGATTCTCCAGCCCACATCACTTCAGCTGCTAAACAAAGTGCACCTTTCTACTCTTCTCTTGCTTGCATCTGCCTCCATCTGGAGCCCAGTCCCCTGTCATTTCTTGTATCTTATTTAATAGTTTCAGTAGGAAATGATGCTTGAAGTATGGTTTATTATGTGAGCAGGGGACAAAGAGTTTGGGAGGCCTTAAAGTAGAGATGAGTGTCCTGCTCCTTCCCTCCCGGGTCCTGAGCTCCTAAGAGCCCTCATGACCATAGCCAGTTTTCCTTCTGGACAGTTTTCTACCCATGAGACCTTTTTCCCGTTAGTATTGTTTAATCACGCTATAACACATTAATATCTTAGAGACACTTTCATGATGACACCTGTAATGTAGTCCAGGTACTGATATAATAGGCTTGATTCAGTCAATCTCCTATGGACAAACTTTTTTTACATTTCCAGCTATGCTGTAGGGAACATCCTTAGACATGCCTCTTTGTACACATAATTAGAGTGTTCTCTCAGGAAGATACTGAATGGCAGAATTGTACAGTTACAATTCTATATTAAAATGTGTATTCTATATTAAAAACAATTTTAGATACTAAAAAAATGCCCCCTGCTGACCTCACCACTAGCCCAATATTCTCCTACTAGCAATGTTAAAAACTACCAATTTCACTTCACCAGGACTTGATGTTTTCAGGCTTTTTTTCCCTTGCCAATTTGATGCATGAGGGCTTGGGTGAGGGTGGTTAGTGATTATCTTGTCGAATTTGTATTTTCATCATTATGACTAAGGTTGATTCTCTTTTCATTTGTCGACTAGTCATTTGAGTTTCCTGTAAATTACACAATCATATAATATGCCAATTTTTTAATTGGTCCTTTGAATACCAATGCCTTGTTTTTATGTTTTTTCCAGAACTTCTTATTCTGTTATGTAACTTTAAAATATCTATGATTTTTTTCTCATATAGAACTTTGTTTATTGTCTTTGGTTTTTGCTATTATCAGTTTTATCAACTTTATTTTGATGGTGTATTAGTCTGTTTTCACACTGCAATAAAGAGCTGCCCAAGATTGGGTAATTTATAAAGGAAAGAGGTTTAATTGGCTCACAGTTCAGCATGGCTGAGGAGTCCTCAGGAGACTTACAATCATGGCGGAACGTGAAGGGGAAGCAAGGCACATTTCTTTACAGGGCAGCAGGAAGGAGAAATGCAAGCAGTGGAAATGCCAGGCACTTAGAGAGCCATCATATCTCATGAGAACTCATTCACTATCATGAGAACTCACTCACTATCATGAGAACAGCATGGGAGAAACCACCCCCATGATCCAATGACCTCCACCTGGTCCCACCCTTGACACATGGGGATTACAATTCAAGATAAGATTTTGGGTGGGGACATAGCCAAACCATATAATTCCACATCTGGCCCCTTCCAAATCAAATCTCATGTTCTCACATTTCAAGACACAGTCATGCCTTTCCAACAGTCCCCCAAAGTCTTAACTTATTCCAGCATTAACCCAGAAGTCCAAGTCCAAAATTTCATCTGAGACAAGGCAAGTCCCTTATGCCTATGAACCTGTAAAGTCAAAAGCAAATTAGTTACTTCCTAGATACAATGGGGGTACAAGCATTGGGTGAATACAGCCATTCCAAATTGGAGAAATTAGCCAAAACAAAGGGGCTGCAGGCCCCATGCAAGTCCAAAATCCAGTAGGGCAATGTTAAACCTTAAAGTTCCAAAATGATCTCCTCTGACTCCATGTCTCACATCCAGGTCATGCTGATGGAACAGGTGAGCTCCTACAGCCTTGGGCAGCTCCATCCCTGTGGTATTGCAGGGTATAGACCCGCTCCTGGCTGCTTTCACAGGCTTGTGTTGAGTGTCTGCGACTTTTCTAGGTGCACAGTACAAGCTGTTGGTGGATCTACGATTCTGGGATCTGGAGAATAGTGGCTCTCTTCTCACAGCTCCACTAAGCAGTGCCTCAGTGGGGACTCTTGTGTGGGGGCTGTGACCCCACATTTCCCCTCTGCACTGCCCTAGCAGAGGTTCTTCATGAGGGCTTTGCCCCTGCAGCAAACTTTTGCCTGGACATCCAAGCATTTCCATAGATCCTCTGAAATCTAGGCAGAGGTTAACCTCAATTCTTGACTTCTGTGCAGCTGCAGGCCAACCACCACATGAAAGCTGCCAAGGCTTGGGGCTTGCACCCTCTGAAGCAACAACCTGAGCTGTACATTGGCCCGTTTTAGCCACAGCTGGGACACAGGGCACCAAGTCCTGAGACTGCACAAAGCAGCAAGGCCCTGGGCCCAACCCACAAAACCGTTTTTTTCCTCCTAGGCCTCCTGGCTTGTGATGGGAGGGGCTGCTGTGAAGACCTCTGACATGCCCTGGAGACATTTTCCCCATTATCTTGGTGATTAACATTTGGCTCCTCATTACTTATGTACATTTCTACAGCCAGCTTGAATTACTCCTCAAAAAATTGGTTTTTCTTTTCTATCGCATTGTCAGGCTGCAAATTTTCTGAACTTTTATGCTCTGCTTCCTTTTAAACATAAGTTCCAATTCCAAACCATATCTTTGTGAATGAATAAAACTAAATGCTTTTAAGAGCACCAAGTCATCTCTTAAACACTTTGCTGCTTAGAAATTTCTCCCACCAGATACCCTAAATCATCTCTCTCAAGTTCAGAGTTCCACAGATCCCTAGGGCAGGGGCAAAATGCCACCAGTCTCTTTGCTAAAGCATAAAAAGGGTCACCTTTGCTCCAGTTCCCAACAAGTTCCTCATCTCCATCTGAGACCACCTCAGCCTGGACTTGATTGTCCATCTCACTGTCAGCATTTTGATCAAAGCCACTCAGCAAGTCTAGGAAGTTCCAAAGTTTCCCACATCTTCCTGTCTTCTGAGCCCTCCAAACTGTTCCAACTTCTGCCTGTACCCAGTTCTAAAGTCACTTCCACATTCTTGGGTATCTTTATAGCAGCACCCCACTCTCTGTGATACCAATTTACTCTATTAGTCTGTTTTGATACTGCTATAAAGAACTGCCTGAGACTGGGTAATTTACAAAGGAAAGAGATTTAATTGACTCACAGTTCAGCATGGTTGGGGAGTCCTTAGGAAACTTACAATCATGGTGGAAGGTGAAGGGGAAGCAAGATACCTTCTTTACAGGACAGCGGGAAGGAGAAATACAAGCAGGGGAAATGCCAGGCACTTATAAAAACCATCAGATCTCATGAGAACTCACTCATTATCATGAGAACAGCATGGGGGAAACCACCCCCATGATCCAATTACCTCCACCTGATCCCACCCTTGACACATGGGGATTATGGGGATTACAATTCAGGATGACATTTTGGGTGGGGACACAGCCAAACCATATTGGATGGACCTTCACTTTTTAGCTCTTAAAAAGGCTTTATTTATTAGTTAGGGCTGGCTAAATGCTAAAATGAACATCCCCACAAATCTCAGCACTTTAACACAAGGCAGCTTTATTTCTTGCCATGTGCCAGCCTGATAGAGACCACACCATCATGTAGGGACCCACATTTCTCCCATCCAGCAGCTCTACTATCCCCTGGAGTCACTGACTCTCTGCTGAATCCTCTCTAATGAGCTGAGCTGGCAAATAAGAGATAAGGGAGAAGTGGGGATGCAGTGGGAGACTGGGGCCAGGCCTGGAAATGGCTCACGTTCCTTCCATGCCATATTCTATTTTCATGGAACTTAAGTCACGTGGCCACACCTTGCTTGGCCTTGGGAGGCCAAGAAATGTGACCTAGAAACACAAAGGCAAGGGCCATGGTCAACATCAGGCAGGGTCTCCAGCACACTTTATTACCGCAAGGTCATAAATGTATTCACCTATACTTTTCTCTGGCACACTTACAGTTTTACTTCTTGTCTATGTGTATTTAATTCCTGTGGAATTTGTTGGTCAGTGATATGATGTAGGGAATCTTGCTTTATTTTTTCCAATTAGGTTTCCAACTTATTTTATAAATTTTATAATGTGGTCCTTTTCCCACAGGTTTTTCAGAAATTTGGGATTCCCCACGTGTGTCATTCTGTCAGTTAGCGATGCTTTCAGCTTCGTTGGAGATGTTTAATTTCACAAGACAGAGTTGGGAGCCAGTGCACCATTGGGTTGACTGCTCAGTGATGTCATGGCAGCATCTTTCAGGTTCTCTTGACCCGTCCCTCATGGTCACAGGCCAGCACAGCTTCTCGTATCACATCACTTCAAGGTGGAAGGATTCTATGCATACCTCTTAGGAAAGCAAAACATTTGCCAAAAGTAGCCTAGCAGATTTCCTGTTGCATTTTGGCAGCTCATGGAGGAGAAAGAACTGGCCACATGGATACTTTTAGCTGCAGGAAAAACTGGTAAAGCAGAAGTCAGAATTGTCTTGATTCACTTAGCCCAATCATCAGCCCATGTATTAAGCCCGTGGATTTACTACATGGGGCTGAGCACATTGTAGCCATGAGCAAAAGCAAAGGTCTGTTGGCAATAAGGAAGGGGAATGGGTATTGGATGGGAAGTTAAGGGCATCTGCCATTATCATCTACCAAATTCTCTCTCTCTTCTCCCACTACCCTCACACATCTCTGCATTTTCTGTTCTCCTCCACAGGTCCATGTGTCTCTGTCTGTTCCTGTGTATCCATCACTTTAGTCACAATATCTTTATGTGTGAAGTGTGGGAGAACAAACATGCAACTTATTTTCTTCAAAATTGTCTTGGAATTACTGGCTTATTCTTCTAAGTTTTAGAAACTGTTTGTCAGCTTCCACAAAAAATTCTGTATTGATTGCATTCAATTTATTATACATATTAGAGAGGAACTGGCAACTTACCAATATAGTCTTCCCATCCATTTATTGAAGTTCTCTTTCTATACCTCATTAAAGATTTATTGTTTTCTGCAAAGGAAAAAAAATAAAGGTTTCCTTCTTTTTGTGTGTTTTTCCTAATTAACTTACAGGATATTTGGTGGGGGTTGGTTGGCTATTATGAAATAGATCTTTTTGTGTTGTTTTTAAAATTCTAACTTGGCTAATGTTGACATGTAGGAAAAGTGTTGATTTTTGGATGTTGATCTTGTTCCAGCCATTTAAAATGTTCTCATTTGTTACAATACTTAGTCATGAGTTTGTTCTAAACCTTGATGGAAATGCTTCTAAAGTTTTCATTATTAGGTCTGATAAGTCCTAAAAAATTAGAATCAATATCATTTAATAAGTAGAAAAAAAGGTTCCTTCTATTCCTGGTTTGTTTCAACGTGGTATAATGAATAACTGTGGGCTTTTTGGCATCTTTTAAGATGACCGTATGGTTTTTCTCCTCAAATTTGTTAAGATAGTGTATTGGCATGAGAATCATGTTTGGCTGTTAGTAACAGAGAGGAGACATTATGGCAGATTTAACAAGAGGAGAATTCACTTCTCTCACATGTACGAGAATGAGGCACTCCAGGGTTGGTAATGGCATCTCTAGAACCCCACAGACTCATCTCTTTCCACCCTAATAACCCCCACAACCAAGCACCCAAGATGGCTGCAGCAGCTCCAAGGCTCTAATTTGTCTCTTTATGTCTTTTTCTGTGTTATGGACTCATTTGCTAATCTTTAATTTTAAGTTGTACATCTATGTTTATAAATGGTATTTGCCTTGGGTTTTTTTTTTCTATTGCCTCTTTTCTAGTTCAGACCTCTAAGTCATTTTACCTTTGTCTATCAATTAGGAATACATTCAGCTACAAGTAACCAGACATTTGACTTAACTGGCTTGAAAAAATAGATACTTAGATGAGAAGTATAATAAGAAGTCCACGGGTGGACTGTCTACGGCTGGTGCAAGTGTTCCATGATACCATCGGAAATAGCTTCCTACTCCACCCAACTTTTCTTGGGTTTTGTCCTCTTGCATTATGTTTTGTACTCCCAGAATGGTGGGTGGACTTGCAGATGTTATTTCCTCACTCAAGGCAGAAAGAAGGGGAAAAAGGCATCATGAGAAAGGACTATTCCATTTAAGCCTGTCTCTTTCTATCAGGTAAGCAAGTGCTTTCCTCTAAACCCAACCAGTTGGAAACCCAACCATTTCCATCAGGTAGACTGGATCGTCGTCCAGCATGGCACATGCAGATTGGTGAATCACAAGTCAGGGAATAACGGGCTTTTACCAATTGCATTTCATCCCTGGGTGCTAGGAATTTTGTCTGTCTTTTCTGAAATCCAGGGTCTCAACTGCTCCCTGATAAACCAAGATTCAGTCTGCAGTAGGTGCAAGGGTATGCAGTGGACAACATCTAAGAAGCTGGGCTAGCACCTGCCCGTTGCCTTCTAGGCTCTGGATGCCAATTTTTTGTATCTTCATTTATTTTCCTAAAGCATGTCATTCCTGTCAGTTCTGTCTTCTGAAATTCTCATCAGCCTCCCACTGGCCTCATAACATAGGTAAGCTACTCACCCTGGCAGCCCCCAGGGCTGGCCCTCACCTTCATCCCCAGCCTCTTGGCCACCGGCTCTCCTGGACACACTGGGGTATCTGTGCCCGGCCAACACCCATGCTGCTCATCCAGCCCAGAATGCCCTCTTTGCACTTTTCCTTAATCCTCCTAAAAAATTTATCTTACCTTCAGCTGTCTTCATCTGCCAGGCACAGAGAACTGTTCCTTTCTTATATTCCAATGGGTTTACTTGTAAGCAGTATTAGAGTACTGATTCCAATCTAGGTGGAATTTTGGGTATTTTCATGTCTGCCCATCAGAATGGAGTATGAAGGTAGGTTTAGTGTTTTTAGTTTCCTTTTGTTCATTTATTCAGCATACTTATTATCCGGTATATTCCAGCTTGTGGTGATGTTAAGACAAATAAAACATGAACCCTGTCCTCCAGGGCAGCCTTCACAGAGAGAAGAAGGAGGCAAGTAGGTTGGGGTGACAGCTCAATGCGCAAAGTGTGCCCCAACACTTGTCACAATGACAATGGCAGGCCAGGAAAAGAGGCTGACCCATTAGGCTGTCTTTTCCTTGAAAATAAGGTGCCTTTACCCAGAAGAACTGATTTAATGATTGGAATCGATAGGAAAAGTAGCAACCTGATTTGTAAGGTTTTTGGATTTTTTTTAAACCCTTGTCAATGGCACATTGGTCTGATTCAGGCACATATTTTATGCCAGTGTAACAGCTAGATTTGTGAGCCTGAAGAATAAAAACATAAATCTTTCAAAGCAAAGCGGCCTTGCAAGCATTCCAATGCTGAGGGTTTAGAATTGTCAGTCAAGCTCTGCTGCGCATTTTCAGGGATGAGATAATCTCTGTGACATGGAGGTTCTCGTGTAAGGTGATCTTTTCAGGGTGTGGGCACATTACACTGTTGCAAGATTGTAGTTTTCTACAAGTCAGAACAAGTGTTACCATGTTTTGGGTCCTTACAAAGTTCACTTTCATGTTTAAGACTTTTCTTCAAAACTATTGATTATTATTCCTTGTGGATACTTTAGGAATTGTCTACAAACTAGTCCAAATTTAGAATGGTTGGACTTAGGATTTTCTAACTTTAGGATAGATTTCTTGGGAGGTTACCCCATCATAAGTCAAGGAGCTTCTGGACTTAACGATGGTTCGACTTATTTCAGCTTTAAGATGGATTTATTGGAATATTAAATTCATTTTCAACTTAATGTATTTTCAACTTAAGGTAAGTTTATTGGTGTATAACCCCATCATAAATTGAGCATCTGTAGTTTTTATGAACAGTCTGTAACCTTTTTGGGATCCTAAGCCCATGACTGTAATGACAGCTATACACTTGCTGTCATAGGAGGAACCCTGGAAGAATTCTATATGCCATTGATGAGTATATCATTTCAGTGCACACAGGAGAAGACTTCAGTAGGTCCTACACTTACTGCTATTCCCAAATATGTAAATTTTAAAAGAGACTTTTCTTCCATCTTTCCATACTGGGAGAAAACTATGGGAAGGTACAACTGAGTGAGTGTCAACTAAGGAAATGTTTTGCTTCCAATCATGCATCTATGCACATAATATATTTCAAAGGCACCAGATGTTTTGACCTGACACCTTTTGAAGACACCCCGTTCCATTGTAAAGGGATGGTATTGTGTGATGGAACAATGGTGACTTTTGGATCAAAGTGAGTCTATGTGGGAATCCTTACTCTGCCACTGGGCACTCTGGGCTTTAGTAAAGTGGAACTAAACCACTGTCCCTGTGGAATTGTTGCCTGTAGGAGAGTTAACTCACCCTTAAAGCAGTAAGCACGATCAATGTAATTGTGGGCACTCAGCAAGTAACATTTATTTTCCTTAGTGAGATAGATAGGGGATTTAGGCCCATGGGAAGAATCTTTTTAACTCCATTCAAATAAATTTGAAAACCAAGTTAAGATGGATAAATCTCTAGGAAAATATGACCTAACAAAATTAAACCATATAGAGATAGAAAGACTGGGCAGAGCAATTTCCACAGGAAAAAATTAGAGGAAGGTGTAAAAGAGCTCCCTGAAAAAGAAGGACCAGGAAGATTGATTTGTGGGTCAAATCTACCAACCTTCAGATATCGAATGGCCCTGGTGCTACTTAGGTTAATCCAGAGCATTGAAAATAAAGTGAAACTTTCAATTTTGTTTTATGTATATAATATTAACTATAAAGCCTGACAACGATTACACATAAAAGTAAAAACCATAGCTCAATCTAGTTTATTAATATTAATTTAAGAATTTTACAGAAAACCAAATGCCGCGTGTTCTTACTTAAAAGTGGGAGCTAAGCATTAAGTACACACGGACTCAAAGAAAGGAACAACAGACTCCGGGACCTACTTGAGGATGGAGGGTGGGAAGAGGATGAGGATAAAAATACTACCTAGCAGGTCCTATGCTTATTACCTGGGTGGCAAAATAATCTGTACACCAAACCCCCATGACATGCAGTTTACGTATATCACAAACCTGTGCATGTCCCCCGAGCCTAAAGTAAAAGTTAGAAAAAAATAAACAAGTATTATGGGAATCGTTTAAAAAAGAGTTTTAAATAAAAATTAGCAAAACCAAATCAAAAAGCACATAAAAAGAAACATCAATGAATGATTAAAGGAGATTTATTCCAGAAACATGAGTTAGGTTCAGTATTAGGAAGCACATTAATATAATTCATCATATTAGTAGATTTTATGAAAAAAATAGTATGAAAGTCAACATCTATCCATAATAAAACCACTCAGTAGAAGAGGTTCATGTATACCTTTTAAACGTGTGTGTCACTACCCAACTTCAAACTATACTACAAGGCTACAGAAACCAAAACAGCATGGTACTGCTACAAAAAACAGACACATAGACCAATGGAACAGAATAGAGATCTTGGAAATAAGACCACACATCTGCAACCATCTGATTTTTGACAAAAACAAGCAATGGGGAAAGGATTCCTTATTTAATAAATGGTGCTGGGAAAACTGGCTAGCCATATGCAGAAAATTGAAACTGGATCCCTTCCTTACACCTTATACAAAAATTAACTCAAGATGGATTAAAGATTTAAATGTAAAACCCAAAACTATAAAAACCCTAGAAGAAAATCTAGGCAATGCCATCTAGGACGTAGGCATGGGCAAAGATTTCATGGCAAAAACATCAAAAGCAATTGCAATAAAAGCAAAGATTGGGATCTAATTAAACTAAAGAGCTTCTGCACAGCAAAGGAAGCTGTTGTCAGGTGAACAGACAGCCTACAGAATGGGAGAAGATTTTTTTTTTTTTTGAGACGGAGTCTCGCTTTGTCCCCCAGGCTGGAGTGCAGTGGTGCAATCTCGGCTCACTGCAAGCTCCGCCTCCCGGGTTCATGCCATTCTCCTGTCTCAGCCTCCCAAGTAGCTGGGACTACAGGCGCCCGCCACCACGCCCGGCTAATTTTTTTTTTGTATTTTTAGTAGAGACGGGGTTTCACCTTGTTAGCCAGGATGGTCTTGATCTCCTGACCTCGTGATCCGCCCGCTTCGGCCTCCCAAAGTGCTGGGATTACAGGCGTGAGCCACCGCGCCCGGCCGGGAGAAGATTTTTATAATCTAGCCATCTGATAAAGGTCTAATATCCAGAATCTACAAGGAACAAATTTACAAGAAAGAAACAAACCCATTAAAAAGTGGGCAAAGGATATGAACAGACACTTCTCAAAAGAAGACATTTAGGTGGCTAACAAACATATGAAATAGAGCTCAACATCACTGGTCATTACAGAAATGCAAAGCAAAACTGCAATGAGATACCATCTCGTGCTAGTCAGAATGACAATTATTAAAAAGCCAAGAAGCAACAGATGCTGGTGACGCTGTGGAGAAATAAGAATGCATTTATACTGTTAGTGGGAATGTAAATTAGTTCAACCATTGTGGAAAACAGTGTGGCGATTCCTCAAAGACCTAGAACCAGAAATAACATTTGACCCGGCAATCCCATTACTATATATACCCAAAGGAATACAAATCATTCTGTTATAAAGATACATGCATGTGTGTGTTCATTTCAGCAGTATTCACAATAGCAAAGACATGGAATCAACCCAAATGCCCATCAGTGATAGACTGGATAAAGAAAATATGGGATCTTCATGGCTCTGACTCAGATGGACACAGCAGCATTCCGAGGCTTGCATCGTGAATTTTTAGCTCCAGATCGACTGCAAGAACAAACCAGCAGTCCTGAGAGGACCCACAGACCCTCTGAAGGAAGCAGACTGCTCCTGCAGGACCCAGGAAACACCTCAAATACTGTGAGTGCTCACCTGCGGAAGTGGAAAAGGGAGATCCTGCTCTCCCGAACACACACCCCCAATGGAGAAATTGAAGGTCTGTTTGCAGGAGAAGTTTCCGACCTTAACTGGAGCTGAGTCAGTTTAAAGAACTGAGTGAAATACAGGGGTAGAGGAAGCAGTGGGAAAGGCCCTGGGAGCTCCCTGGGTCCCCAAGCAGGCCATTCCTGCCTGGCACCACAGGGATCCTTTGGGAGGGAAGCCAGAGGAGGGGGGAAAAACACCACAGGGAGAAGGAAGTCTCCAGCTGAACTTTGTAACAATTTGAACTGGGTGAGAAGCCTCTTTGCCAGAACTCAGGGGAGGGTGCGAATCTGTCCTGCAGACTCTCCACAGGCGGGGGTAGAACCAAGCCCTTTTCTTTCTAGCTGGGAAGCAGGTAACCTGGGGCAAGTTCTCAGCTCTGCTCACCCACTGCCTGGAAACAGACTTGGGGCTGTTAGGGGAGGCACAGTGGGAGAAGACCGGCCCTTCGGACTGCATGGCAGCTGGGTGAGGCCTGCGACTGCCGGCTTTCCCTCACTTCCCTGACAGCCTGCATGACTCAGCAGAGGCAACCATAATCCTCGTAGGTACACAACTCCATTGACCTGGGAACCTCACCCCCATCCCCCACAGCAGCCTCAGCAAGACGCACCGAAGGACAGTCTGAACTACGACACCCAACCCTGCCCCCACCTGATGGGCCTTCCCTATCCACCCTGGTAGCTGAAGATAAATGGCATGTAATCTTGGGAGTTCTAGGGCCCCACCCACCACTGGTTCTTCTCCATGCTACCACAGCTGATGCTCCCTGGAAAGTGCCATCTCCTGGCAGGTGGCCAACCATCACAAAAATAGGATATTAAACCACCAAAGCTAAGAATCCTTGCAGAGTCCATTTGACCCCACCACCAGCTCCAGGAGAACAGGTGCTGGTGTCCACAGCTAAGACACCCATAGATGGTTTACATCACAGGGCTCTGTACAGACAATACCCAGTACCAGTCTGGAGCCAGGTAGACTTGCTGGGTGGCTAGACCCAGAAGAGAGACAGCAGTCGCTGCAGTTTGGCTGGCAGGAAGCCACAGTTATAGGAAAAGCAGGAGAGTACTGCTACAATGGAACACGCCATGAGACAAAAGAATCTGAACAACAGCCTGCAGCCCTAGACCTTCCCTCTGACAGAGCTTACCCAAATGAGAAGAAACCAGAAAACCAACCCTGCTAAGATGACCAAACAAGGCTCTTTAACACCCCCCAAAAAATCACACTAGTTCACCAGCAATGGATCCAAACCAAGAAGAAATCTCTGATTTACCTGAAAAATAATTCAGGAGGTTAGTTATTAAGCTAATCAGGGAGGCACCAGAGAAAGGCAAAGCCCAATGTGAGGAAATCCAAAAAACAATAAAAGAAGGGAAGGGAGAAATATTCAAGGAAATAGAGAGCTTAAAGAAAAAACTATCAAAACTTCAGGAAACACTGGACACACTTATAGAAATGCAAAATGCTTTGGAAAATCTCAGCAATAGAATTGAACAAGTATAAGAAAGAAATTCAGAGCTCGAAGACAAAGTCTTTGAATTAATCCAATCCAACAAAGACAAAGAAAAAATAATAAGAAAATATGAACAAAGCCTCCAAGAAGGCTGGGACTATGTTAAACAACCAAACCTAAGAATAATCAGTGTTCCTGAGGAATAAGAGATTTCTAAAAGCTTGGAAAAATATATTTGGGGGGAATAATGGAGGAAAACTTCCCTGGCCTTGCCAGAGACCTAGTCATTCAAATACAAGAAGCACAAAGAACACCTGGGAAATTCATCTCAAAAAGATCATCACTTAGGCACATTGTCATCAGATTATCTAAAGTTCAGATGAAGGAAAGAATCTTAAGAGCTGTGAGACAGAAGCACCAGGTAACCTATAAAGGAAAACCTGTCAGACTAACAGCAGATTTCTCAGCAGAAACCCTACAAGCTAGAAGGGATTGGGGCCCTATCTTCAGTATCCTCAAATGAAACCATTTTCAGCTAAGAATTTTGTATGCAGCAAAACTAAGCATCATATATGATAGAAAGATACAGCCTTTCAGAAAATACAGAGAGAATTGACCACTACCAAGCCACCACTAGAAGAACTGCTAAAAGGAGCTCTAAATCTTGAAACAAATCCTAGAAACATATCAAAACAAAACTTTGTAAAGCATAAATCACACGGGACCTATAAAACAAAAATACAAGTTAAAAAGCAAAAACAAAAAATGAAAAAACCAAGGTACACAGGCAACAAATAGCACAATGAATGCAATGGTACCTCACATCTCAATAATAACATTGAATGTAAATGGCCTAAATGCTCCACTTAAAATATACAGAACTGCAAAATAAATAAGAACTCACCAATGAACTATCTGCTGCCTTCAGGAGACTCACCTAACACATAAGGACTCACGTAAACTTAAAGTAAAGGGGTGGAAAAAGGCATTTCATGCAAATGGACACCAAAAGCAAGCAGCAGTAGCTATTCTTATATCAGGCAAAACAAACTTTAAAGCAACAGCAGTTAAAAGAGACACAGAAGGACCATTATATAATGGTAAAAGGCCTTGTCCAACAGGAAAACATCACAATCCTAAACATACGTGCACCTAACACTGGAGCTCCCAAGTTTATACAACAATTACTAATAGACCTAAGAAATGAGATAGACAGCAACACAATAATATGGGGGACTTCAGTACTCCACTGACAGCACTAGACAGGTCATCAAGATAGAAAGTCAAAGAAACAATGGATTTAAACTATACCTTGGAACAAATGGACTTAACAGATATGTACAGAACATTTCATCCGACAACCACGGAATGCACATTCTATTCAACAGCACATGGAAGTTTCTCCAAGGTAGACCATATGATAGGCCTCAAAATGAGCCTCAGTAAATATAAGAAAATTAAAGTATATCAAGCACTCTCTCAGACCACAGTGGAGGCAAACTGGAAATCAATTCCAAAAGGAACCTTCAAAACCATGCAAATACATGGGAATTAAATAACCTGTTCCTGAATGAGCATTGGGTCAAAAATGTAATCACGATGGAAATTTAAAAATTATTCAAACTCAACGACAATAATGACACAACCTATCAAACCTCTGGGATACAGCAAAGGGGATACTAGGAGGAAAGTTCATAGCCCTAAACACCTATCAAAAAGACTGAAAGGGCAGAAACTGACATTCTAAAGTCACACCTCAAGGAACTAGAGAAACAAGAACAAACCAAACCCAAACCCAGCAGAAGAAAGGAAATAACCAAGATCAGAGCAGAACTAAATGAAATTGAAACAAACAAAATACAAAAGATAAATGAAACAAAAGCTGATTTTTTGAAAAAATAAATAAAATTCAAGACCACTAGCAAGATTAACTAAGAAAAGAAGAGAGAAAATCTAAATAACCTCATTAAGAAACAAACGGGAGATATTACACCACAGAAATACAAAAGATGTGACACCACAGAAATACAAAGGATTATTCAAGGCTACTATGAACACCTTTACACACATAAACTAGAAAACCTAGAAGACATGGATAAATTCCTGGAAAAATACAATCCTCCTAGCTTAAATCAGGAAGAATTAGATACCCTGAACAGACCAATAACAAGCAGTGTGATTGAAATCTTAATTTAAAAATTACCAACAAAAGAAGTCCAGGACCAGATGGATTCACAGCAGAATTCGACGCTATTCCACAAGACAGAGAAAGAAGAAAGCCTCCCTAATTCATTCTATGAAGCTAGCCTCACCCTAATACCAAAACCAGGAAAGGACATAACCAAAAAAGAAAACTACAGACTGATATCCTTGCTGAACATAGATGCTAAAATCCTTAACAAAATACTGGCTAACAGAATCCAACAAAATATCAAAAAAAAAAATCCACCATGATCAAGTGGGTTTCATACGAGGGATGAAGGGATGATTTCACATACGCAAGTCAATAAACGCAATGTACCACACAAACAGAATTTGGAACAAAAATCACGTGATCGTCTCGATAGATGCAGAAAAAGCATTCAACAAAATCCAGCATCGCTTTATGATTAAAACTCTCAGCAAAATCGGCATACAAGGGACATACCTCAATGTAATAAAAGCCATCTGTGACAAACCCATAGCCAACATAATACTGAATGGGAAAAGTTGAAAGCTTCCCTCTGAGAACTGGAACAAGACAAGGATGCCCACTCTCACCACTCCTCTTCAACATAGTACTTGAAGTCCTAGCCAGAGCAATCAGACGAGAGAAATAAAGGGCATCCACATCAGTGAAGAGGCAGTCATACTATCACTGTTTGCTGATAATATGATTGTTTACCTTGAAAACCCTAAAGACTCCTCCAGAAAGCTCCTAGAACTGATGAAAGAATTCAGCAAAGTTTCTGGATACAAGATTAATGTACACAAATTGGTAGCTCTTCTATACACCAGGAGAGACCAAGCAGAGAATCAAATCAATAACTCAACCGTTTTTATAACAGCTGCAAAAATAAAATCAAATACTTAGGAATATACCTAACCAAGGAGATGAAAGACCTCTACAAGGAAAACTACAGAACACTGGTGAAAGAAATCATAGATGACACAAACAATTGGGAACACATCCCATGCTCATGGATGGGTAGAATCAATATTGAGAAAATGACCATACTGCCAAAAGCAATCTACAAATTCAGTGCAATCCCCATCAAAATACTGCCATCATTCTTCACAGAATTAGAAACAGCAATTCTAAAATTCGTATGGAACCAAAAAAAGAGCCTGCATAGCCAAAGTAAGACTAAGCAAAAAGAACAAATTTGGAGGCATCACACTACCTGCTTTCAAACTATACTATAAGGCCGTAGTCACCAAAACAGCGTGGTACTGGTATAAAAATAGGCACATAGAGCAATGGAAAACAATAGAGAACCCAGAAATACACCCAAATACTTACAGCCAACTGATCTTTGACAAAGCAAACAAAAACATAAAGTAGGGAAAGGATGCCCTTTTGAGCAAACGATGCTGGGATAATTGGCTGGCCACATGTAGGAGAATGGAACAGGATCCTCATCTCTCACTTTATACAAAAATCAACTCAAGAGGGATTAATGACTTATATCTAAGACCTGAAACTATAAAAGTTCTAGAAGATAACATTGGAAAACCCCTTGTAGACATTGGCTTAGTCAAGGATTTCACGAGCAAGAACCCAAAAGCAAATGCAATAAAAACAAAGATAAATAGCTGGGACTTAATTAAACTAAAGAGCTTTTGCATGGTAAAAGGAACAGCCAGCAGAGTAAACAGATACCCCACAGAGTGGGAGAAAATCTTCACAATCTATACATCTGACAAAGGACTAATATCCAGAATCTACCACAAACTCAAATCAGTAAGAAAAAAAAATCCCATCAAAAAGTGGGCTAAGGATATGAATAGACAGTTCTCAAAAGAAGATATACAAATGGCCAACAAACATGAAAAAATGCTCAAATCTCTAATGGTCAGGGAAATGGAAATCAAAACCACAATGTAATACCACCTTACTCCTGCAAGAATGGCCGTAATAAAAAAAAAAAATCAACAAACAGTAGATGTTGGCATGGATGTGGTGAACAGGGAATGTTCTGGTGGGAATGTAAACTAGTGCAGCCACTATGGAAAACAGTGTGGAGACTCCTTAAAGAACTAAAAGTAGAGCTACCATTTGATCCAGCAATCCCACTACTTGGTATCTACCCAGAGGAAAAGAAATCATTATACGAAGAAGATACTTGCACACGCATGTTTGTAGCAGCACAGTTCACAATTGCAAAATCATGGGACCAACCCAAATGCCATCAATCAATGAGTGGATAAAGAAACTATAGTATATTTATACAATGGAATACTAGTTGGCCATAAAAAGAAATGAATTAACATCATTTGCAGTGACCTGGATGAGACTGGAGACTATTATTCTAAGTGAAGTAACTCAGGAATGGAAAACCAAACATCGTATGTTCTCACTGATATGTGGGAGCTAAGCTATGAGGACGCAAAGGCATAAGAATGATACAATGGACTTTGGGGACTTGGGGGGAAGGATGGGAGGGGAGCAAAGGATAAAAGACTGCAAATAGGGTTCTGTGTGTACTGCTCAGGTGATGGGTGCACCAAAATCTCAAAAATCGCCACTGAAGAACTTACTCATGTAACCAAACACCACCTGTACCCCAATAACTTATGGAAAAATAAAAATTTTTTAAAGAAAATGTGGTACATATACATCATGGAATACTATGCAGCCATAAAAAGGAAACAGATCATGTCCTTTGCAGGGACATGGTTGGAACTGAAAGCCATTATCCTCAGCAAACTAACACAGGAACAGAAAACCAAACACCACATGTTCTCACTTATAAGTGAGAGCTGAACAATGAGAACACATGGACACAGGGAGGGGAACAACACACCCTGGGGCCTGTCGGGGGGTGGGGGGGATGGTGAGCATCAGGATAAATAATGCATGCAGGGCTTAATACCCAGGTGATGGGTTGATAGGTACAACAAACCACCATGGCACACGTTTACCTATGTAACAAACCTGCACATCCTGCACATGTATCCTGGAACTTTAAATTTTTAAAAACTTGTGTGTGTGTGTGTGTGTGTGTGTGTGTGTGTGTGTTTAGCCCAAGACCCCACACCCAGCATCTTTTTCAGTGTGGAAACACCAAAGTTATTTCCACTAAAGTTAGGAGCAAAGCAAAGATGCCCATAACATCTCATAGTATGTAATATTATATTGAATGCATTAATCAAGGAAATCGGACAGGATTTGGCAATAGAGGGATACTCCATCTCAAAAAAAAAAAGAGTTAACACAAACTATATTTGCATTTGATATGATTGTGTATCTGGAAAACTAAAAAAAACTGAAAATTTGCTATAAATTGTAAGAACTTAGTAAAATAGCAAGATATAAATTTAGCACACAGAAATCAATAGCTTTGATTTGAGCAGGATAAATTGAAAGAGTAACTGTGTAATATGCTATCATTCCTGATTTTATTAGGAACTAGGATTTGGTGTGGGAAGGAGGTTCATCTGTAAAAGAGATTAGGTTAAGTAAAAACTCCTAAGTCTTCAATTTGAATTGGAAATATTAGAATGAACTCAAAATTTGTTTTTAAAACAAACATATTTCTTAGCTGTCCAAGAAGTCCTGTAAACAATGACTAAACCACTAGTTATGGGTACACCAAGCATTCAGATTGTGGTCTTGAAAAACCATTCTCAATAAAAAAGACTCATAGTTCTTTGGAGAAATGTTGAATTCTAGATCCGGAACAGTAAATGTAGAAAAGGGACCTGAAACATTTTGTCACACAAGATATGTAGAAAAGACTCTATCAGCTACACTAGTGTCAAGGGAACTTGATTCAGGACTTAAGCATCAATAAAGACAACAACTGCTCTATATTGGATAGATTGAAATGCATAAAATATGTTTAAATCGACGAATGCAAAATATTTCAAAAAAAGAAGTAACAAATTGATCCCGTGGAAGGAAGCTAGTGAACCAACTTGTCCAAGTAAAATGATGAATTAAAAGGTCATAAATAAAGCATCTATCTTGCCTTTTCTATTAGGTGTCTACCACTGGGTGACCAAATAGTAGATTAGTAGAAATTTCCCTTTAAGAATTCCAGCTAATAAATAAAGAATGAATAAAAGAATTATGCTGCCAGTATACGCAACCCCTCTTGAATTGCTGGGTCTAGGCAATGATCATCAGTGGCTGCGACCATCACAGGCAGAGACAGATACTCAGTGCCAACTGATGGAAGAAGACAGCACCAAAGTGTGCCCCAAATTGAATCTGAATCTGATCGAGTCTTACATCCCAGTGCTGATTTACATGAAATAGAGAGGACAGAGGAGCATGTGACATGGCACCATAGGAGCAATCAGTAAAAGCCAGATGATAGAAAACTCTAGAGAAAAATATATATATAAGATTTTTCAACAAACAGAGGGAAAAAGACGGAGGCAAAATCTGTAGATTAAAAAAGACATATCAACCAATTACAATAAGAGATCTTACTTGAATTCTGATTCAAACAAACTGAAAAAGTAAATATGTGAACTTACAACATTTGATATCATTGGAAATTTGCACACTGGATATTGCACTGAAGAATTTTTGTTATTTTTAGGTGGGATTATGGTACTGTGGTTATGTTTTAAAGAGTCTTAGAGAGAGATGGAAGTAGTTGTGGATGAAATAATGTGTTATCTGGAATTTGCTTCAAAATTATGTGAGCAGGAGAAGGGTTGGAGATAGAGAAGAAGCATGGTTGGCTAAGAATTGATGATTGTCATGCCTGAGGCATGGGTACATTGGCTTTAATATCCTTTTCTGTCTACTTTTATACATATTTAAATTTTTATTAGAAAAATATTTTTAAAATATATACCATCAGGTAATTCTGTGTTCTCCTTGTTAGCCTAAAAATCTAAGCTCAAGAGTAGAGAGACTGGAATGTTGAGGTGCCATTTACAATTTCTAGTGCCCCACTTTCTCCTGTCAGTTAAACTACTGTTTAACTCGTATTAAGAACCATTGAAGAATTTGATATGTCATTGATGAGTATATCATTTCAATGCATGTAAGACAAAACCCCAGTAGATCCTACACTTACTGCTATTCCCAAAGTTATACATTTTAGGAGAGACTTTTCTTCCATCTTTCCATACTAGGAGAAAATTATGAAAAAGTATAATAAGTGAGTGTCAACTAAGGAATTGTTTTGCTTCCAATCATGCATCTATGCACGTATTTTATTTTAAAGGCACCAGATGCTCTGAGAGCTGGCACAAGGCCCAGTCATGGCCCCTGAACAGAAGGCATGTCTCCTTCCCATTGGGCCCATTGGGTGTCCAGCCCGCGGCACCTGCTGGACAAGTGAAATGGGCTCAAAGCCCACACATGTGCCTTCTCCGAGCCTCAGGTACAAGTGGTGTGTCCCAGCACTGCCCACTGTTGCTGCTGGAGCCTTCCTCAGTTCCTACAAGACAATGTGTTTGAGAATATCAGCTTCAACAAGGGGAAAACTAAAGAGTGAAATGATCCTGCAACAATGCGAAGAACTTCAATGTGCCCCACAGACATTCCTATAGCCACTTTTGATTTTCACACAGCCCTATCTGTCGCTGTCTGGCCAAACTTCTCTTCTTATTCCTCAGAAAGAAGCACCTTTCCTCTCCTCACCCAGGGCTTTTTACATTGAATTTCCTGGAGAACTTGCTTCATCACAGTCCAAATTACTCTTAGACTCATCTTTATCTCTAGCTGGTGTTGTGGAGGTTATGTAAGTAATATACGTGGCCAAGCTTTGGAAATGATAATGTGCTCTACGCATATGAATGTTTGGCAGAACCAACCTTCCCAGAACTCATGCCCCCGCACTGAAAGACACTGGGCTTTCTTAATTTTCATCTAAACCGTGAAGATGCTCTGGAAGATGTGTTTCCCTAATGTGGCATCCACAGAAGCCTTTCTGCCCTAGTGCACCACGCTTGCCCAAGGTCACAATGGCGTCTGGCAAGGGATGGGCCACACAGGCTCTTGGAATGTTGACATCTGAGTTGAGACATCCAATTCATTTCACCACGGGAGCCCAGGCATCTGATCTTCTTACCAGGGTGGGCTTCCTCGCCAGGCCGGACAAGATGAACGCATGCCTGACCTTTTTTCATATTTAACCATTCACCCCCTTAACAGGGATGTATAAATGTATGGGTAGTCAAGGGTGGATTCTCAATACCAGAACAGTACATTTGCCTATTGTTTTAATCTATGTCAATGGTAATAATAGTAATAGTGCATGTTCTTTCAGTGTCATCTCACTGTATCCTTACTGCAATTCTAAGAGGCAGGGTTGTTCTCACCCTCATTGCTCAGATGTGACAACCAAGGCTTCAAGAAATGAAGTAGCCTTTCCAGGGTTGCAGGGGCTTTGCACCCAGCCAGGCCATCAGCTCCCAAGCCTGTGCTCGACCCCAGATCTGTTCATCCACCCCTCTGTTCCCTTATCCCTGTGTTCAGTGTGCTGTATCATCAAACAGACCTGATGAGAGCGAGCTCCCACTCCCCACTCACTTGTGTGCCCCTTCCCGTGGCCCTCGCTGGCCCTCTCTGAGGTCAGGCTCTCTGGCTGTGATGGGTGTTCACTGGGCTGCCTCCCAACCACCTGCCTCCCAGGCAGCAGCTTTGAGCTCATGCCAGGGCCTGGCAGCCCTGCAGAGCCAGGGGCAAAGGAAAAATGGTCATGCCAACCTTGCCTTCATTTAAAAGGCTGACATTTTGTTCCTCAAAGATATTTTTGCGCTAATTTTTATTTTTGCAAATATAGCACTAAAATGTTGTTTATGTCGATTCCTGAGTGTTTTTGCACCCTCTTAGATTCTGCAGCAGTGGCAGGTGCCTCCTCGCCTCACCTTAGAGTTGGCCCTGCTGTGTGCCAGGCACTGTGAGCAGGAGGATAGAAAGGAGGATGAAGTGGATCCCAGCTCTCAGGCAGCTGGCCCTCTGTTAAGACAGATGTTAAAAGCATTCACTACCCTGTTTGCTGTCCTGAGAGTGAAGAGTAACCTCCAGGCACTCATTCACCCATAGTCTTCCTGTACCTGTCCCCAGGGATCAGACCACAAGCCTCTGCCATCATCTCCCAGTCTCATTCTCCATCTACCCGTTTTATTGCCTTCCAGTGTCCAGTTATAACATCTACAAATATAATGCAGCAGTGTTTTATTTGAGCTTCATTGAAACAGAAGTTTTAATTTTATTTTATTTATTTATTTATTTATTTATTTATTTATTTATTTATTTATTCATTCATTCATTCATTCATTCATTCATGCCCAGGCTGGAGTGCAATGGCGCGATCTCAGCTCACTGTAACCTCCACCTCTCAGGTTCAAGCAATTCTCCTGCCTCAGCCTCCCAAGTAGCTGGGATTACAGGTGCCTGCCACCACACCTGGCTTTTTTTTTTTTTTTTAATTAGTAGAGACGGGGTTTCACCATGTTGGCCAGGCTGCCCTTGAACTCCAGACCTCAGGTGATCTACGAGCCTCGGCCTCCCAAAGTGCTGGGATTACAGGTGTAAGCCACCGCACCTGGCCAAAACAGAAGTTAATGAAAAATGGATCCTGAGGTAGTTTGGTCTTTATCCTGCTACACCTCTGTCTTGCAATTTTACTCTCTCTGGTTGGACCACTTCCTCCACTAAGTGTCTTCCAAATCCAGCAGTTGGTCTCTGAGACCTGTATGTGTGTGTCTGTCCCTTTCTGCTTACTGGGGAGATCCTGGGAAGGCTCAGGGGGCTCATAGTTCCCACAGAGTCCCTGCAGTCATGGCCTGAACAGAGTAGCAGCTCCATGAAGGTTGCTTAAGTGATCAATGAACACTGCAACCTCGGATACGGGAAAGAAGACGGAATTGAAGGCAGGAGCCCCCACCAGTTTAACCCTCTGTGATTCCAAGCCAAGGCACTAGAGGTAGGCCCCTTATTCCTGCCTTCAGCAAGCTGGTGGAAGCAGTTTTCTTGCTCAGTGGAGACCTGGGAAGGCAAGGGTGGTCTCAGGGTCCCTGTTGAGAGTTCATTCATTGGCTCATAATTAATGTATATTGAGCATGTACTATGGGCCAGTACATTTTGTGCATGAGTTCCTTAAAATTTCATAATAACTGTGAGATACAATTATTATTATAATTGTATTGATGAGGAAACTGAGGCACAGAGAGGCGATATAACATGCCCAAGGTCACACAAAGTGGTGGAACCATTTTGGCCCCAGAGACTGATTCCAGGGCCAACGCTCTGTCCCCACACGGCACTGCCCCTCCTAAGGCAGTCACCATGCATTGATGGGACACATTACTCTCCCTGGGGTGGCTGATGAGACCTTCAGAGACATTCTGTCCAAGGGCTAGGATGCACTGAGGAGAACAGGAATGCAGGGCCAGGGCACGGCCACCCAGAGCCTCATGCTGTTCAAAGCGGCTGAGTGAGTGCTTTAGACCACACAAGGCAGGTTGAGAGGCACAGTGCATGCTTGGGAGGATGGCACGGAGCAGTGGGTGAGGATGGCCCAGGTAGCTGGGGTCAAATGTCCCCACCAGCCCAGTCCCTCCCATATCATCATGGGACATGAATGTGAGGGTGTGGTGATGGTGGCAGTGTGAGGTTTAAGAAATACATCTGGAAAGCTGGGTGTGGTGGCTCACGCCTGCAATCCCAGCACTCTGGGAGGCTGAGGTGAGCGGATCACAAGGTCAGGAGATCGAGACCATCCTAGCTAACATGGTGAAACCCTGTCTCTACTAAAAATACAAAAAAAAAATTAGCTGGGCATGGTGGTGGGCGCCTGTACTCCCAGCTACTCAGGAGGCTGAGGCAAGGAGGATGGCATGAACCCGGGAGGCGGAGCTTCCAGTGAGCCGAGATCGCGCCACTGCACTCCAGCCTGGGCGACAGAGCAAGACTCTGTCTCAAAAAAAAAAAGAAAAAGGAAAAGGAAAAAACAGCTCTGTGCTGTGCAAGTAATCCTCACTGAAATAGATGTGCTTGCTAAAACGAGGAAAGCTGAGACAGCCCCTGGCCAGGCCCGGGCATGGGAGTTGCTGGTCAGCTGGTAAGCGGGGACCTGTAGGGCCCAGGAAGACAGAGTACATGCCTCAGGCAATTGGCCAAGGCCAAGATCCAGCCTCCTGTGACAAAAAGCCAAGCCTTCGGCCTCAGTCTGAGAGTAAGGAGATCACATGCTCTTGTTCTCTGATCTGTCCCCCAGGTGGCAGTGACGAAAGAAGAGACTCTCCCGGCCGAGGCCCCAGTGCATGGAGAGAAGGAAGAAATCAATTTCCTAATTGGTACCATATACATCAGGTCAAATAATTTTCTTCTTTTCTGGCCGCATCAACTAAAAATTGTACCCAATAGGAGCTGTGTGCAAGACGGGGTGGTCACAGTGAATGTCTCTGAGGGTACAGACCTCCCTGCCTGAGACCCTCAGTCCTCAGGGTCTTGCACGTTAGGTGAGCTCATTTCCTGCATTCCTACAGAAAATCAGGAGGGCTCAGAGAGGTGAAGCCCATGTCACAGCTGGACAGGGGCAGGGCCAGGGTCAAATCAGGCTATGTGCCTGGCTCTAAAGCATGGGCCACTGACACAGGACCTACTCCACCAAGCAGCACCCATCCCAGTGGGTTACTGTGAAAGAAAGAACAGAGGACAGTCATCAATAGCATGGGATTCAAACTCACCCCACAATATGTAAAATTAATTACATACTTCCTAGCATAAAATTTTCCATTGCCTGTAATGGGGTCTGCAAGCTTTTTCCATAAAGTTCCAGGAAGTACATCTTTTCAATTTTGTGGACCTTAAGGGTCTCTGTTTTAACTACTCAACTCAGCCAGGTGCAAAAGCAGCCACAGACGCTATGCAAATGAGTGGGTATGGCTGTGTTCCCATAAAACTTCATTTACAAAAATGGGTGGCAGACCACATGTGGCCCATGGTCTATAACTTGCAGACCTCTTATCTACACAAACACAAGGATGCATTTGCACTCCACCGGCAAAGATTGAGCACCCACTGGGGCCCCAGCACCATTCACTAGTGTAAGTTACTCTCACTTGTAATGTCACAGTTGCTTTTCCCCAGCAGTCAGCTGCTACAGTCAGCCTGGGTCAAGCTGCTGTACATCCATTCTATTTCTCTGGCTGGGATCATGCTGCCTGGGAAATCTGACATTCTTAAGAATGTTGTTGGATTGATGGCAGCTCTTAGAGGGATGGTAGATAGTTCAGTAGCCATCTTCAGCAAGTGTGGTATTTCCGTCAACTGTGGATTAACCTTGGCTATTAGTCTTTCCTAATAGCCAAGTAAGGGGTGAGAGCTGAGGGGGTAGGATGGCACACTGATAAAGGCATAATTGGAATAGAGTGGGTAACATTCATCACATTGTGGAAGTATTACAAGTCTATACAATTCGGAAGAGGATTAGAAATCTAGCAACTCCAACTGAATTTTTCTAGGTATACTTAGGTGTTTGAAATTTTAAAATAGTCTTTTTTCCTCATCAGTTATTGGAATTAATAAAATGTAAGTTCAGGAGTGCTGGAGATAGTGATGACCCCTTGCCTTAGTCTATCTGGGCTGCTATGTCAAAATACAATAGCTTGGGAGGCTTATGAACAACAGAAATGTATTCCACACAGTACTAAAGGCTGGGAAGTCTAAGATCAGGGAACCAGCAGATTTGGTGTCTAGTAAGGGCCCATTTCCTGCTTCATAGATGGCACTGTCTTTCTCCATCACCTTGGAGATTAGATATCAACATATGAATTTTGGGAGGGAACACAAACATTTGGCTCATAATACCCCTTCTCTCACATGGCATGTACACAGGGATGAAATTTTAGTTAGCATTCTATAATATAATGTCTTGCATGAAGAATCAGGCAGTTGGACCAAACCAATTCTAAAAAATATGACAGCAGGTGGAAATGGCTCCACCCTCGAGGGTTCTCTCGCTCAGGTCTCTGCATGTAGTTGTCACTTGCAGCTCCATTTCCATCACGTGGTAAAATGCCCTTTCTCTTCTTTCCTGCAGATGGATGGTTTCTAGTGTGCTTCCAAACCCCACCTCGGCTGAGTGTTGGGCAGCACTTCTACATGATCCTATGACTCTTGATATGGACGCAGTCCTGTCAGACTTTGTTCGGTCCACGGGGGCAGAACCTGGTCTGGCCAGAGACCTGCTGGAAGGTAAGCCCACCTCCTTGTTCCCCACACCACCATTCTGGGCATAACCACCTTCCAAATAAGAAGATTTCCAATACCTGATGACAGTGGTACTTGAGCACTAAGTGGGCTTTGCTTTGTGTTACATCTTACCGATATTAAGTCAAAATTTTATCACTAATTATTATATTTAAGAAAATATGTTCAATGGAGCAGAAATTATAAAACATTCAAGAAAATACTTTTGTGGTAGGCCTTAGTTTCATATCTCTGTGTTAGCGGAGACGAAAATACTCTAGGCCAGGGTTTTTGGTGGAAAAAGCACCTACTATCCAGGAAAGCCACTGGGAGTAATTCACAAGCAAGAAGACAGCCTTCATCCTCCAGCTTTTCACGTAGATACCATTTGCTGCATGAGAAATTGCATCCTCCGTATGTATGATGTTTTCAGATATGTATTCAGCCATAACCATAGTGAACTAAAATGAAAGTGTAGTTTCTATGTCTCTAAAATGGATTTACCTTTCTTTTTTTTTTCTGATGGCGGCAGTGGTATGTAAAGGTGGGAGGGACCAGTTACAACTTCTCAGGACAGTCAGCTGTGTGAGAGGAGAGAACTTTGTAATGTTTACTCTTTACTTCAAATGTATAAACTGCAATTTGTGGAGTTAGTAAATACTTGGTCAAGAATTGTAAGTCACAATGATTCTTTAAGTCACTTAGGGAAAATAAGAATTATTGTACATTTGCAGAAGTGGAGAGAACTATTCAATCATATTGAAAATTAAGAACCACCTACTGGAGGATTATCAAAAAATGGCAATGGCAAAAGCATAGTTTTTAAATTTTCCCCAACCTATTAGAATTTCAAACCAACTCCAAGTTTAGAATAAAATATGCTGAGAGTTTTTGCAATCTATGGAAATCAAAATATGATTCTCCCTTCCTGCTATTTATATTATATAATGTCTCCCTGTCAGTTTCCATTATTTTCATTAAGTGGGCAGCAGAGTGGAGAAGCAGGCTTGGAATAAGGTCGGCAGTGAAATCCGAGTTTGAGTTCAGATTCAGCCACTTATCAACTATGAGATATAGGACAAATTATTTTACTTCCCTTACCCTGAGATTTCTTCTATGTTGAGCTTAACCCACCTTACAAGGTGACTGTGAATATTAGAAGTTGTGATATAAAATGTGTGGTAAAGAAGCAGCATGTAGCAGATGCTCAAAAAAGTATAGAAGACCATGCTTGTGGTGGCCATTATTGTAATTAGTACTAACATCAGTATTAATGTCTAGACAGCCTTATAGGAAGCAAGAGTTGTCATCTCTTTTCTTTATTTTTTTTACTTATATTTTTCACATTAAGATACAGAAAAATTGAGTTTTTTGTGTCTAGTTCTATGAACTTTAACACATGTATGGATTTGTGTTATTACTACCACATTCAGGACACAGAAGCACTTCATCCCCTCCAGATTCTCTGTCCTGATGTCTTTTATAATCAGACCCTCCCCTACCCCAACCACTGGCAGTCAGTGCTCTGTTTTCTATCACTAGTTTTGTCTCTTTGCAAGAATGTCAGATAAATGTCCTACAGAGCCTAATCTTCTGAAACTGGCTCCTTTTCATGCAGGGAGATCATTTTGAGACTCATCAAGTCATGTGTCAGTAGCCGGTTCCTTTTTGTTGCTGAGTAGTATTCCATTCTGCAGGTACTCCAGAATTTCTCCACTCATCTGTCCAGGGGCATTTCAGTTGTTTTCCATTTTTGGCAGTTACAACTAGAGCTTCTAGAAACATTTAAGAACAGGATTTTGTGAATATAGTTTTAATTTTTCTTTGTTTTTTCTTTTTTTTTTTTGGTGACACAGAGTCTCACTCTAGCCCAGGCTGGAGTGCAGTGGCGCTATCTCGGCTCATTGCAACCTCCGCCTCCTGGGTCCCAGTTCAAGCAATTTTCCTGCCTCAGCCTCCTGAGTAGCTGTGATTACAGCCGCGCATCACCATGCCCAGCTAATTTTTGTATTTTTAGTAGAGACGGGATTTCAACATATTGGCCAGGCTGGTCTTGAGCTCCTGACCTCGTGATCTGCCCGCCTCAGCCTCCCAAAGGGCTGGGATTATAGGTGTGAGCCACTGTGCCTGGCCTAGTTTTAATTTTTCTAGGCTAAATACATGTTAACCTTGTAAGAAACTGCCAACCTGTTTTCCAGAGTTCTGTACCACTTTGCATTCCTACCAGCAGTGCCTGAGAGCTCCAGCTGCCCCACATCCTTGTCAACACTTGGTATTTCTTCCTTTTTTGTTTTTTCATTTTAACCATTTGATAGCTGTGTGATGGTATTTCTTCATGGTTTTAATTTTCATTTTCCTAATAATTAATGACGTTGAAAATTTTCATGCTGTTTATTTTCCATCTTTTTATTCTCTTTCGTGAAATGTCTGTTCAGGCTTTTTGCCTATGTCTAAATTGAGTTGTTTGATTGAGTTTTAAGAGTTCTTTACATATTCTGAATATAAATCTTTTGTTCAGATTTGTGATTTGTGAATATCTTCTCCCAATCTGTGCTTGACTTTTCAGTCTCTTAACAGGGCCTTTTACAGGGCACAGTTTTAAATTCTGATGCGTTCCAACTGACTTTTTTCTGAGGATCATGCTTTGAGTGACATATCTGAGAAATTTTGCATAACTCCAGGTCATGAAGATTTTCTTGTAGTTGGTCTTTTAAAAGTTTTATACTTTCATGTTTTACATTTAGATCTATGATCCATTTGAGATGATTTTTGTATAATATGTGAGATTTAGGTCCAGATTCAGTTTTATGCATACGGATATCCAATTGTTTCAACATCATTTATAGAAAATATCCTCCTTCTTTCATTGAAATTGAATTGCCTTTGCAATTTGACGAAAAGCCAACTGAGGGTATTTGTAAGGAATATATTTCTGGACAGTGGTTCTGTTCCATTGATCATTATGTCTGTTCTTTTATCAACATTGTGCCATATTGATTTCTGTAGCTTTGTAATGAGTCTTAAAATCAGATAGTGTGATTTTTCTAAATTTATTCTTCTTTTTCAGGAGTGTTTCAGCTATTCTTTTTTTTTTTTTTTTTGCCTTTCTATGTGAACTTTAGGATCTGCTTACCTCTATCTACTCTAAACTGTTTTGCTGAGATTTTGTCTACAATTTTAGTAAATCTACAACTCAATCCTATGTTATGTCTTTCAGTCCATGAAGGAGTGCCATAATTTCCATTTGCTTGGGCCTCCATTAAGTTCTTTCGTCAACATTTTATGGTTTTTGGCATGTAGATCCTATACATGTTTTGTTCTATGTGTATTGGGGGGCGGGGTTGTAAACTATTGTACATGGTATTTTTTATTTCAGTTTCTACTTGTTCATTGGCAATATACAGAAATATAACTGATTTTTGTGTGTTGATCTTGCATCCTGCAATCTTGCTAAAGCTAAACTCAGTTTGTTCTAGGAGGGCTGTGTGTGTGTGTGTGTGTGTGTGTGTGTGTGTGTGTGTGTGTTCCTTGGGATTTTCTACATAGGTGATCATGTTATCTGTGAGTAAGGACAGTTTTATTTCTTCCTTTCCAGTCTCTAGGCCTTTCTGGTTTTCTTGTCTTATTTCACTGACGAAGACTATTCAAAAGGTTAAATAGTGGTGTTAAAAAAGAAGATCCTTGTGTTGTTCTTAATCTCTGAGAACAAGCAGTATTTCACCATTAAGTAGAATGTTGGCTATAGGTTTTAGTAGATGGTCTTTATCAGGTGAAGAAAATTTCTTTCTATTCCAAGTTTGCTGAGCGTTTTATAATAAATAGATACTGAATTTTTAAAATGAAGATCAAGTGGGTTTTTTGCTTTAAACTGTTGCTATACTAGATTAAACTGATTGCCTTCTAGTGGTAAACCAGACTTTCAGCTATTTCTTTCCATGTTTCTATGTTCTGCCCTTTTTTTCTTTCCTTCTGGGACTCAGATGATAGGAAGCTCGGCCCTTTTGTTATTACCTAAGGTCTCTATGGTTCTGTTCAAGGTTTTCAAGCTTTGTCTGTTATTCAGATTCAGTCATTTCTATTAATTTATTTATGAACTGACTGACTACTTCCTCCATCATCTTCATCCCAGTAGTGAGCCCAGCCAGTGTGTTTTCTATTTTTGTAGTTGATTTTTTTCATTTCTAATATTTCCACTTAGTTCTTCTTCATATCTTCCATTTCTTTGCAAAATTTTCTATATGTTTTAAGAGTACCCTCCTTTACTTGTACAATATTTTTAACAACTGCTTGAAAATCTTTGTCAAATAATTCCAGTATCTGTTTCATCTCAGAGTAGCTGTTGGCTTTTTGTATGCTGAGTATGGTTTCAGTATGCTGAATTGTATCCTAGACATTTTAAATACTATGTTTTGAGATTCTGGTTATTGTTAAAATCTTACAGTGAACATTATTAACTTTATTTTAGAAGATAATCACCCCAAATGGGTTCAGACCACAAATTCCAAGTTCCTGCAAGACTTGTGTGGATTGTGGTTGCTGTGAGTCTGTGAGATGTGGATCTGTCTGGCACAAGCGCCACCTAGTGGCCAGCCTGGGACTCTGGTGGTAATCTATCCCACATTTCAGCACTCAAAGTCTGTGTGGTCCGTGTAGGGTCGGATCCATACATGTAGAGCTCAAGGGTAAGCCCAAGAGTTCATGAGCAACTTTCAGGGGTTGCTCTCCCGAAGCCCTTCCTCATTGTAACCTGCCCAGTAGTGTCTGGGTCCCTGGGCTCTACCTTTTCAGCCCTCCAGCCAGCTTGGGTGGTTGAGGCTTGATTTACCCTACTCTCTGGTGCACTTGACTGAACCACGTCAGAGCTAAGCAGCGAGAAGCCAGAGAGAAAAAGCATGAAGGTTTCCCCACCCTCTGGGGACCTCAGACTCTCTGGTTGGAAAGGAAGTTTGCCTGGCCTGATGACTTTAATTATCTGCCATTTCTCACTAGGGCCACAAAATTTCTTGAGGTCTGGGGCACAGAGAAGAAAAAATTTTAGAAGAAAAAGAAAAAAAAAAAGGATAAATTAGAGATTTCCAGACTTTCTTAGAACGGTAGAGACCCCTTTCCTGCTTCTGTACCCGAGTTGGCTGGGCTTTTCCTGGAATTAGTGCCCACTCTGGGTTAGGAGCTGCATTGACTCCACACTGGGGAGACTGGAGGAAGGGAAGTGTCTCGCTCACCTCCAACTCTGTGGCACTTCCAACTGTGGTCTCCTTTCTGCATCAGCACCTCCAACTGTGATCCACCTTCCTGAGCCCGGTCGCTGCTGCCTGCACGCTGTCCAGGGGTCCCGGCTGCACCCAGTGGGACAGAGGGTGGCAGTGGTGAGTGCTCACTCACCTCACCCACTGCTGGGTCCTGCCTTTGGCTTTCACAGGTAAGAGGACTGTGGTTCCATTGTGTATGATGGATTATTTAAGGTGTCAAAGTTATTTGGGTGAAGATTTCTCTAAACCCAGTGTTTCAAAGAATGAAATATTTTTGTTGTAAGTCCTCAGAAAGATGTGTATTGGGAGGATGTCAGTAATGTAGGAATTTAGAGGGGAGATGTCTAAAGGGAAATAAATCCTCATGGTGGCAAAAGCTGAGCGGAAGGTACATGGTCCTCATTTGTAACTTCTTGTATTTTTATTTATTTCAAAAAAAAAGTTAAAAAAACACTGCAATGATGGGAATCACAGTACAGCAGAGGGAGGCCAATAAGAGAAAGGAGGAGCAGAGGCTGATCACAACCTTGGTAAACTGAGGCAAGTGAACACTGACCTGCCTCCAAACAGAAGAGGGTGGCCTTGCCTGTTCACCTGCTTCCTGTGTTACCAGATCAAAGTTGGGTCTGGCTCTCTGGCACAGCAAAGCCAAAAACTGGCGTCAAGACTGCAGTAAGAGAAAGTGAGACATTTATTTCAGGGCAGGAAGCCAGGAGAATTGGGCAGCTCATGTTTAAGCCCTGAATCCCCCAGTGCCATATAGGTAAGCGTTTTTACAGGCAGGAAGAGGCTGGGCGTGGTGGCTCATGCCTGTAATCCTAGCACTTTGGGAGGCCTAGGCTGGTGGATCACCTGAGGTCAGGAGTTCGAGACCAGCCTGGCTAACATGGTGAAACCCTGTCTCTCCTACAAATACAAAAATTAGCTGGGTGTGGTGGCATACACCTGTAATCCCAGCTACTCAGAAGGCTGAGGCAGGAGAATCGCTTAAACCCAGGAGGCGGAGGTTGTAGTGAGCTGAGATCGCACCATTACACTCCAGCCTGGAGACAGAGCGAGACTCCATCTTGAAAACATAATAATAATAAAATAAAGGCAGGGGGCAGAAGTTACAGGCAAAGATATAAATCAATACACGGAGGCTGTACATTGGTTTGACCTAAAAAGACAGGACATCTTGAACCAGATGTGGGGTGGAGGGCATAGGTCATAGGTAGATTTGAAGATTTTCTGATTTACAATGGGTTAAGGAGACGAAGCTTTGTCTGCAAATTTGTGATCAGGAGAAAAGAACGTTAGCTCTGGTCTCTGGGCATGACTTCCTCCAGGCCCCTCAGGAAGAAATTTAGAACAAAGAGTGGTGGTCCAAGCTCAGTCCTCAGTTTCCCCTGTCTGAGGTCTGCATGCCAGCAGATAGCACTTTTCATTTGTTGGTGTCCTGGTTTCTGGAAATCAGCTCAAGGACTTGTGTTAAAATGTTATCTTTAGTCTCTGTGGGAACTTTGATCTATTCTGTGACTTAAACTTCCCTGGCTATTGTTTTAAGTTATTCTTCCCTTCTTGCTTCAGTTGCTCATTTACTTCCCAGTGCTGGCTAGGTACCTGGAAATGCCTTTGAAGGAACTCAAGATTTCCTTTTATTTCCATGCTTGGGGGCAGGTGCCCGGCAGGCCCCTAAGAGGGGTCTCTGCTCCATCTCATCTTCATATCAGTCCCTTGCATGTCCCTGAAGTGGTTCTCCCAAACAAATTCAAGTCAGGTAACTCCATTTCCTCCAATTTTTCATACTCCGTCCCCATTACCTGCAAAATAAACTTCTCCACCTGGTACTCCAGCCCTTCAGCATCTAGTCCTATTCCGTCCCTCCCCTCATTACCTGAGGCATCTCTTCACCATCCCTTTCCCTGACTTGACACCCACCTCTGTGCTTCTGCCTCCGCCCATTGCTCCTGCTGCTCCTCCCCCTGCACACACTGCCTCCCTGTTGAAATTCAGCTCTCCCTCCACGATGGATCATGAACTCCCCGACAGCAAGGACCATACAAGGTTTTGTTCACTGTTTGCCCAACACCCAGCACGTATGAGTCCCTCAGTAGAGTGATCTATTAATAGCTGCTGAGGTGCAGTGATGAGCAGCCAGACAGAAATTGCCCACATGGAGACAGATGGAAATAAGTTATATAGTGTGTTAGCCATTAGTGCTGTGGAGATAACTAAGTCGGGGAGAAGGAAGCAGGTATGAGTGTGTACAGTTTTAAATTAGGGTTGTCAAGGAAGGCTTCACTTAAAAAAAATAGGATCTGAGCAAAGATTTGAGGAAGTGAGAAAGCAAGCCACGTGGATGTCTGGAGGAAGAAGTTTCTATGACGAGGTAAGGATTCACTGATAATTCCTTGCCCTCCTGTGGAACTTTGTGGACTTCTGCTGCAGCTTGTGTTTGGTTGTGCCTTATTTTATAATTCATCACATGCTTATCAAGCTGGATTTGCCCAGTCTTGAGCACATGCCACTGATTTAGCAGAATTCACGGCTCTGGCGTTTTCAAGTGTGTGCGATTAGAGGACTGCCATGGGCAAATCCCACACCCTTGAATGGGAACAAAAAGGTGGTCTAGGGACCATGAATCCTAAGCAGGAGTTAACACTCGACCACAAGGTGTGATGGCCCTTGGCCGGGGCTGGGACCATCAGTGGGTCTAGAAATACTGAAAGGAAACCGTTGGCTGCCCTTCCAAGTGTCCCGTTCCCACTAGAGAGAGCTCTGCCGTTAGACCAGACGTATTTGGGGAAAAAATGTCAAAAAAAATAAAAATAAACATCTCCAGATCAGAATTCTAAGATACTCCCTCTCGCCTGGCCTCATTCAGGAAGACACATTCTTCCTTTAGAGAGATGAGTGTATTTAAATACTCTTAAACAGACCCATTAAGACCATTTGCAGTGAGTTTCCTTGTGTCACGCTGATCAATTAAGTAGATCTTATTTCCTTCCTATTGGGGAAGCTTGTAACCCCCAGGTACCATCACTGGCCTATTTTGTTGGTTTTACTCAGAAGTCTGTGCCATTGTGGCTGCTTAAAATTAAACACTTTGGCCAGGCTTGGTGGCTCACGCCTGTAATCCCAGCACTTCGGGAGGCCAAGGCGGGCAGATCACGAGGTCAGGAGTTCGAGGCCAGCCTGACCAACATGGTGAAACCCTGTCTCTACTAAAAATACAAAAATTAGCCGGGTGTGGTGGTGTATACCTGTAATCCCAGCTACTCAAGAGGCTGAGGCAGGAGAATTGCTTGAACCCAGGAGGCAGAGGTTGCAGTGAGCCAAGATCACACCATTGTACTCCAGCCTGGGCAACAGAGTGAGACTCTGTCTCAAAAAAAAAAAACAAAAAAGAAAGAAAAAGAAAGAAGGAAAGAAAGGGAAAGGAAAGGAAGAGAGAGAGAGAAAGAGAGAAAGAAAGACACTTCCTCTCTGGAAAGCCAGCCGTATTCATCCCAGCGTCTTTCTTGGTGTCTGTGCATGGATAAAGCCTCCCCATTCCCCCGTGCCCCCCACCACTTTGTGTCCTTTCACTTTGCTTCACTTATGTGCCCACCACTCCAGGGCTCCCTGAGGTCCAGGAATTCCATGCCATTCCCTTTCACATGGCTGAGAGCCCCAGCCCTGTGGATGAGCTGTCCTGAGTGGGCACTCAGTAATGTGGGCGTAAGCTGAAGAGGGAAGGAGCAAAAAAACAACCAGAAGCCCTCAGATTCAGAGTCATGTCGTTAAACACTTTTTAAGATAAAAAATTGGCTGTGCGAACTGAAATCAATTTAAACTATTTTCTTTGATTAGGCAGGAAAGAGGAGGCTGCTGCATATTAAGAACTCCCACTTAAGCCAAACCTTCATGTTTCCAATCTCCAAGCAGGCGTTGAGGGCCTCTGGGCTGAGTGTGGGAGACCCAGGAAGAAAGAAGAGTAGGCCCTGCCTTCAAGGTCCTTCCTGCCTAAAGCAATCTATAGGCAGCTGTGTTCTAACAAAACTTTTATTTATAAAACAGGCAGCCAGCCAGCCTATGGGCAGTAGTTTGCCAACCTGTGCTGTAGATTAAAAAAGGCTTAAGAGATCTGTCAAACAGTGATAATGTATGCACATTATTTGAATACTGATTCCAACAAACTAAAAAAGAAAAATTATAAGACAATCTGGGAAATGTGAGCACTTAACATTTACTGGATATTTGATATTAAAGAATAACTACTTTTAGATATGATATTTTTATTATGATAGTGCTAAGAAAAATAAGATACATACTGACGTGGATGGATGAAGTAATATCATGCAGGGGTTTTCTGGGGACAGGCGAATGGGTGGGAGAGGAGATGAAACAATATTATCCATGAGTTGATTTTGATTAAACCTGGATAGTAGATGCAAACAGGTTTATTATAAGTGATGTACGAATGTTTCCATAATAAAAAGTTTTAAAACAGACAGCACCAGGAAACTTCCACTTCCAGCCAAGATGAAGTATCAGAATGTGGGTGTGCCCTCCTGCCTGAAAAAGAAAAAGACAAATATGATAAACAAGACACTGAACATTAGACAGTAAAGGACAGTAGTCCCCAAGAGATTGGAAACAAACAAGGTTAGTCCTGTAATTGCCCAGCTCACTGCCTTGAGAAAGTTTCTAATCCGTGGTACAGGGAGGGGGAACCCAGAGGAAGCTTGCCTGACTCCACAGTGGAAGGAGACAGAGCTTAGAGTCCCAGGAGTCCAGGAGGCTGGAGTCCACAGGTCAGAGCCTGAGAGCGGAGACAGCTACACAGAGAGAACTGCAGCGATTCACAGAGGGTTTGCCTCTGCCACTCAGCCAAGTGCCGATCAGTGCCTGTGTGTGAGGAAGCTGTGTGCAGCTGGGGAGAGAACCACCTGAGAGGATTAGAGGAAACAGTGCCTGGGGCTGATACAGAGCCATGGAAAGTGCCTGTGCTCACCAGCCAGGCTGGACAAGCACTGAATATAATACCTAGAAGGATCTTGCCTCAGTAATTGGGAATAATTAGCCCTGTAATGAAAACTTTTCTAGGGCTAGACACAGTAGCTCATACCTGTAATCCCAACACTTTGGGAGGCCAAGCCAGGAGGATCGCTTGAGGACAAGAGTTCAAGACCAGCCTGAACAACATAGCAAGACCTCTGTCTCTACAAAAATCTTCTAAAAATTAGCTGGGCATGGTGGCATATACCTGTGGTCCTGGCTACTCAGGAGGCTGAGTTGAGGAGATCACTTGAGCCCAAGAGTTCGAGGTTATGGTGAGCTATGATCACACTGCTGACTCCAGCCTAGGCAACACTAAGACCCTGACTCTAAAAAAATAAAAGTAAATAAATCACTCTGATCATACCTAATGAACCTTAAAAGCAAGAAGCAAGATCCACAAGGATCACAGTGAAATGGCCTCATTGCCTGATCCAAAGTTCTTGATCTCACAGCCAAGGAAGTCAAGGACACGGCCACACCAAGGGTGAGGTTAGAGCAGAAGCAGAAGTTTATTAGGCAAAAGAAAGATAACAGCTCTCTGCAGCAGAGAGGGATCCCCAAAAGCGTTGCCATTCAGCAGTGAAATGCAAGGGTTTTTATAAGCTAGCTAGTGGGGAGGTGAGGTGTTATCTTACCTACATAGGGTGTGAAAAACCCCAGGTGTGCCATCTGCGTAGAGCATGAATCTCTGGCATCCCCCACCCCACCCTTTTATTATACAGGCAGGTCTTTTGCCTGAGCTACTCCACGTTGCTTTCCTACTGTGTATGTGCTTCAAAGGGGGAGGTGGAGCCTCCATGGTGGACACACCTGGCCCCAGGTACCCCTTTCTGTCTGTGCAGCTGCAAGCATCCCCCCGTGCAAGCTCCAGCTTCCTTATCTGTTTGCAGCCCGGTCTTCCAGGCTGCTTTCTATTAGAAGAGGAGTGATTTCCTGGGCTGCTTTTTGTTAGAAGGGAAGTTCTGCCAAGGACTCTCTGCCCTAACTATCTGCCTAGCTGGTCTCTTTTTACCTCCTCTCTCAAAAGTATTTCCAAGAAATGTAACTTCATTCTACAACAAAGCTCAATAATATTTATAGAAATATAAACTTGTCCAGCACCAAATAATGTAAAAGTCTTGCTGTCTGGCACTCAATCAGAAGTTATCAGGAATGCAAAGTAGCAGGAACATAGGACCCATAATGAGGAGAAACTGTTCAATCAAAGTCAAACCAGAACTGCTAGAGATGTTAAAATTATCAGACAAGGGCACTAAAAGTTATTATAACTGTACTCTATAGAATAGAATAAGGTACATACTGACATGCTGTTCAGATGTTTAAGTAAAGTTATGGAAGATACTTTTTAAAGCCTGAGTTGAACTTCCAGAGATGAAGACTACATCTGAGATGAAAAAGTAACTCAGTGGAATTAACAGCACATTGCTTAATACAAAAAAAAGAGAAAGGTTAGTGAACATGAAGACATAGCAATGGAAAATATCCAAAATGAAACACAGAAAAAAATAGAAGTAAAGAAATATTAAAGGCATCAGTGAAAGCCAGGTGCAGTGGTGCATGCCCGCAATCCCAGCTACTTGGGAGGTTGAAGCAGAATTATTGCTTGAGCCCAGGAGTTTGAGGCTAGCCTGGGCTACATAATGAGACCCTCATCTCTAAAAAAGAAAAAATAATTAAAAATTAAAGCATCTGTGAGCTGTGGAAAAATGTAAGCAGCCTAAAATAAGTGTAATTGGAATCCTTGAAGGAGAGGCATGAACAATAGGAAAAAATGATTCAAGGAAACAGTACCTATAAGAAAATGTATAAGTTAAACACCTCTATTAGAAAAGAAGCAGGGCCTCAAATCAGTTACCTTAATTTTTATCTTGAAAACTAGAAAAAAAAAGAGCAAATTAAACCCAGACAGAAGAAATGAAATAATAAAGACCAGAACAAAAAACAGTGAAATAGTAAATGGAAAAATAGTAGAGAAAGTCAGTGAAACCAAAAGTGGGTTCTTTGAGATCAATAAAATTGATAAACCCATAGCCACATAATCAGAGGAAAAAGAAGATACAAATTAACAATATCAAGAATGAAAGAGATGACCTCAGTACAGATTCTCAAGATATTAAAAGGATTATAAAGGAATATTATAAACAATTCTATGCCAATAAATGCAGCAAGTTAAATGAAATTCACAAATTATTTGAAAGGTACAAAATACCAAAGCCTATGCAAGAAAAAAAAAAAATGATTTGAATAGGTCTATATTTATTAAAGAAATCTAAGTTGTAGTTGAAAACTTTCTCACAAAGATAACTGCAAGCATCTATAGCTTCATTGGTAAATTCTACCACACATATAAAGAAAAAATTATACCAGCTCTTCCAGGAAATTGAAAAGGGGTTATACTTCCCAACTCATTCATTCTTTGCGCCAGCATTACCCTAATACAAAACCAAGAAAGACTACAGACAAATATTCCTCATGAAGAAAAGTGTGAAAACACTGAAAAAGATTTTAGCAAATCGAATTTGGCAGCATATAAAAAGGATACTACCTCATGACCAAGTGGGTTTTATCCCAAGAATGCAAAACTAGTTTAACATTCAAAAATCAGTCAACATAATTTTCCATATTAACATACTGAGAAACAGAAGGTATACAATCATCTCAGTAAATGCAGAAAGAGCTTTTGGTAAAATCCACATTCGTCCTTGATTTTTAGAAAACACTCAGAAAACTAGGAATAGAAGAAAACTTCCTCAATCTTATATAAAGTATTTACAAAAAAGCCTACAGCTAACCTGACACCTAGTGATGAAAGAAAGCTTTTCCCCAAAGATCAAGAGGGAGATAAGAATGCGCCCTTTCACTACTTCTATCCAACATTTTCCTGGACATTCTGGCCAGTGCAGTCAAACAATAAATTATAATTAAAAAGCACCCAGATTGGAAAAGAAGAAGCAAACTATCTTTATTCACAGGTGACATGATGACATATGTAGAATATCTAATGGAATTTAAAAGCATTTTTTGGAACTAGTAAGTGAAGTTAGCAGTGTTGTAAGATACAAAACCAATATAGAGAAATCAATTGCATTTTTACAATTGCAATGAATAATTGCATTATTTTTTAAAATAAATTTTAAAAATACTTTATTCAGTAGCATCCAAAAATATAAAATATGAATAAATTTACAACTGAAACTTCAAAACATTGCTTAAAGAGATGAAAAACCTAAATAAAGGGTTAAATGTACCATATCCATGGGTCAAAAGACTCAATATTGTTGAGATGTTGGTTCTCCCTAGATTGCTTTAAATTCAGTATAATCTCAATAACAATCCAAGCCAGCTTTTTATGTAGAAATTAACAAGTTGACTTTAAAATTCATACATAAATCCCAGGACAGAGAATAAACAAAACAAACTTTGAAAAATTGGAATAAAGTTAGAAAGCATATTTGTTCTCACATTGCTATGAAGAAATACCCAAGACTGGGTAATTTATAAAGGAAAGAGGCTTAGTTGACTCACAGTTCCACATTACTGGGGAGGCCTCAGGAAACTTACAGTCATGGTGGAAGACAAAGGAGAAGCAGGCACCTTCTTCACAGGGCAGCAGGATGGAGTGAGTGCAAGCAGGGGAGAGGCCAGACACTTATAAAACCTTCACATCTCGTGAGACTCACTCATTATTCACAAGAACAGGATGGGGGAAACTGCCCCCATGATCCAATGACCTCCACCCACTCATGCCCTTGACACGTGGGGATTATGGGGATTTCAATTCAAAGTGAGATTTGGGTGGGGACATAGAGCCAAACTATATCAGAAGTCTGACAATACCTGATATTAAAACTCATAAGAGTACAGTAATCAAAACTGTGATGTTGATCAAATGTTCAACATGAAGACTATCATTAATAATATTGCATAGTGTACTAGAAAATTTGCTTTCAAGGCACACACACATACACACACACATACACACACATATGCACAAAGGGGTAACCGTGAAATGATGAATAAGCTAATGTGCTTGACTATAATAACCATTTCACTATGTATAAGTGTATCAGAACATCATATCATATACCTTAATATATACAATAAAGTAGTTTTTTTAATGTAGAGAATTAGATCAATGAAACAAATTGGAAAGTTAAGAAATAGTTCACATATGTGGACAACTGGTCTTCAATAAGCATACAAAAGTAATTCAGTGCAAAAAATAATCTTTTCAACAAATTGTGGGATAATTGGATTTTCATATGCAAAAGAAATGAACTTTGGTTTACATCTCACTCATATGCAAAAATTACCTTAAAATGGATGGTATCCCTAAATATAAAACCTAAAGCTAAAAAAGTCTTCTAGAAAAAAACACAGGAGAAAATCTTTTTATTTTATTTTTATTATTTTTTTTTATTTCCGTAGGTTATTGGGGTACAGGTGGTGTTTGGTTACATGAGTAAGTTCTTTAGTGGGGATTTGTGAGATTTTGGTGCACCCATCACCCGAGCAGTATACACTGAACCCTATTTGTAGTCTTTTATCCCTGAGTCCTCAAAGTCCATTGTGTCATTCTTCTGCCTTTGCATCCTCATAGCTTAGCTGCCACTTATAAGTCAGAACATACGATGTTTGGTTTTCCATTCCTGAGTTACTTCACTTAGAATAATAGTCTCCAGTCTCATCCAGGTCGCTCAAATGCCATTAATTCATGAGAAAATCTTTTTAACCTTGTCTTAGGAAAAGATTTTCTAGACATGATACCCCATGAACAATCCATAAAAGAAAAATTAATAAATTGGACTTCATTAAAAACTTAAACTGCTTTTTGAGGATAGTGTTAAGAGAATGAAAAGATAAACTGCAAGTTGGAAGAAAATACTGCAAATCATATATCTGGTAAAGTACTTGTTTCTAGAATATGTAAAGAGTTCTCATGACTCAATTATTTTTGTAAAAACTATCCAATTAAAAATAAGCAAAAGCTTTGAACAGACTTCACCAAAGAAGATACATGGATAGCAAATAAGCAGGTGAAAAGATGCTCAACATCATTAATCCTTAGGGAAATGTAACTTAAAGCCAGAATGAGATAGCACTACACACCTATGAGAATGACTAAAACCAACAATACTGAGCATACCAAATCTCAGCAAGGATGTGGAAAAACTGGTAAATTTGTACGCTGCTGGTTTTGAATGGAAAGTGGTGCAGCCACTTTAGAAAACAATTCAGCAAGTTCTTCAAAATTAGACATGTACCTAGTGTACAATCCAGCAAATTTTACTCCTATTTATTTACTTAAGAAAACCGAAAGCCTTTGCCCATAGCAAAGCTTGTACACAGATGTTTTTGGCATTCTTAGTGAGGGCTAAAAAACTGGAAGCAACCTAAATACCCATCACAGGTAAACGGGTAAACAAATGGTGGTAGATACATACACTGGAATGCTACTCGGCTCTCAATCCAAAGGAGTGAATTATTGATAACGTGCAACAACAGAGATGACTCTCAAAATAATTACATGAAGTGAAAGAAGTGAGACAAAAAAAAACTACATATTGTGCAATTCCACTTATGTAAAGTCTAGGAAATGCATAGTGATCTATAGCGATGGAATGCAGGTCAGTGATTGCCTCAGACAGGGCTGAGGGCAGCAGTGAGCAGTGGGGATTACAAAGCAGCTGAGGAATCTTTTTTTTTTTTAGACAGAGGCTGGAGTGCGGTGGCGCGAGCTCGTCTCACTGCAAGCTCTGCCTCCCGGGTTCACGCCATTCTCCTGCCTCAGCCTCCCGAGTAGCTGCGACTACAGGCACCCGCCACCATGGCTGGCTAATTTTTTGTATTTTTAGTAGAGATGGGGTTTCACCGTGTTAGCCGGGATGGTCTCGATCTCCTGACCTCATGATTTGCCTACCTCGGCCTCCCAAAGCGCTGGGATTATAGGCGTGAGCGACCGCACCTGGCCTGAGGAATCTTTTGAGAGTGGTATATATGTATGGTATCTTGCAGTGATAACAGACCTCAGAGGTATTGCAGATTCAGTTCCAGACCACTGCAATAAATATAGCAATAAAGCAAGTCACATGAATTTTTTGGTTTTCTAGTGCATATAGAAATTATGTTGGCTAAGCACAGTGGCTCACACCTGTAGTCCCAGCACTTTGAGAGCCAAGGAGGACGGATAGCTTGAGCCCAGAGTTCCAGACCAGCTTGGGCAGCATGGTGAGACCTCGTCTCTATTGAAAAAAAAAAAAACAAAAACCTACAAAAATCAGCCTGGTTTGGTGGTGCATGCCTGTCGTCCCAGCTACTGGGGAGGCTGAGGTGGGAGGATTGCTTGAGTCGAGGAGACAGAGGTTGCAGTGAGTGGAAATCACGCCACTCTACTCCAGTCTGGGTGACAGAGCAAGACCCTGTCTCAAAAAAAAAAAAAAAAAAAGTTATCTTTATACTATTCTGTAGTCTACTAAGTGTTCAATAGCATTATATCTAAAAAATGTACATAACTTAATTTGAAAAAATACTTTATTGCCAAAAATGCTAACAATCATCTGAGCCTTCAGTGAGTCATAATCTTTTTGCTGGTGGAGGGTCTTGCCTCAATGTTTATGGCTGCTAACTGATCAGGGTGGTGATTGCTGAAGGTTGGGGTGGCTGTGACAATTTCTTAAAATAAGACAATCGTGAAGTTTGATGCATTTAATTGACTCTTCCTCTCATGAAAGATTTCTCTGTAGCATGTGTGATGCTATTTGATAGCATTTTACCCACAGTGGAACTTCTTTCAAAATTGAAGTCAGTCCTCTGAAACCTTGCTGCTGCTTTATCAAATGCATTTTGTAATTTCTAAATCCTTTTTGTCATTTCAGCAGTGTTCACAGCATCTTTACCAGGAGCAGATTCCATCTCAAGAAACCACTTTCCTTGCTCATCCATAAGAAGCAACTCCCCAACTTGAGATTGTAGCAATTTAGTCACATCTTCAGACTCCACTTCTAATTCCAGTTCTCTTCCACCACATCTGCAGTTAATTCTTCCACTGAAGTCTTGGACCCCACAAAGTCATCCATGAGAGTTGGAATCCATTTCTTACAAACTCCTGTTAATGTTGATAATTTGACCACCTCCCATGAATCACAGATGTTCTTATTGACTTCTAGAGTTGTGAATCCTTTCCAGAAGGTTTTCAATGTACTTTGCCCAGATCTATCAGAGGAATCACTATCTATGGCAGTTATAGCCTTATAAAATGTATTTCTTAAGTAATAAGAGTTGCAAGTCAAAATTGCTCCTTGATCCGTGGAGTACAGAATGGATGTTGTATTAGCAGACGTGAAAACATTGATCTTGTACATCTTCATCAGAGCTCTTGGGTAACTAGGTGCATTGTCAAATGAGCAGTAATATTTTGAAAGAAATCTTTCTTTCTGAGCAGCATGTCTCAGCAATGAGCTTAAAATATTCAGTAAACCAAGGTATCAACAGATGTGCTGTGCCCAGGCTTCTTTGTTCCTATAGAGCACAGGAAGAGTAGATTTAGTGTCATTCTTAAGGGCACTAGAACTTTCAGAATGATAAATGAGCATTGGTTTCAACTTAAAGTCACCAGCTACAATTGTCCCTGTCTGTAGAAGCTTTGAAGCCAGGCAGAGACTTATTCTCATCTAGCCTAGATAACATCTTCTTCCAATAGAGGGCTGTGTTGTCTACATTGAACATCTGTTGTATAGTGTAGCCACCTTAATCAGCGATGTTAGCTAGATCTTCTAAGATCTAGAGATCTTGCTGCAGCTTCTCCATCAGCACTTGCCACTTCCCCAGTGCAATAACATGAAACTTTTATGTTATTGAAGATGGCTTTTTTCCTTAAACCTCATGAACCAGCCTCTGCTAGCTTCTAACTTTTCTTCTGTAGCTTCCTCACCTCTCTTAGCCTCCGTAGAATTGAAGAGAGTTAGGGTCTTGCTCTGGATTAGGCTTTGGCTTAAGGGAATATTGTAACTGGTTTGATCTATCCAGACCACAGACCACTGAAACTTTCTCCGTATCGGCAATAAGACTGTTTCACTTTCTTATCATTTGTGTATTCACTGGAGTAGCACTACTAATTTCTTTCAATAATTATTCCTTTGCATTCAAAAGTTAGTTAACTGTTTAGTGTAAGAGGCCTAGCTTTTGGCCCATCTTAGCTTTTAAAATGCCTTCCTCACTAAGCTTAACCATTCCTAGCTTTTGATTTAAAGTGAAACATGAAATTCTTTTTTTTTTCCATTTGAACAACTTGACATTTTAGGGTTGTTAATAGCCTAACTTTAATATGTTGTGTCTCAGGGAATAGGGAGGCCTGAGGAGAGGGAGACAGGAGAATCACTGGTCAGTGGAGCAGTCAGAACACACACAACGTTTATTAAGTTCATCGGTATGTGTGGGTGTGGTTCGTGGTGCCCCAGAACCAGAACTGTTGTAATTACAACAGTAACATCAAAGATCACTGAGCACAGATCACTATAACAGATATAATCCTAATGGAAAAGTTTGAAATACTGTGAGAATTCCCAAAATGTGACACAGAGATGCACAGTGAGTGCATGCTGTTTGAAAAATGATGCCAATAAACTTGCTCAGCACAGGGTTGCCACAAACCTTTAATTTGTAAAAAGAAAATGCAGTATCTTCAAAGGGCAATACAGTAAAGCACAGTAAAATGAGGTGTGTCTGTATGGACACGTGTCAGCTTCTCAAATTATAAACTTAAATATGTGCATTTTATTTGGTGTCAATTGTATAAAGCGATTAAATTTTTAAAAGGACTGATGCAGACAGCACCTGGCGTCTGGGATAAGGTGTATCATTTTCCTCTTTATGGCAGGAACTGCCACGCCCCCTGTTTTCATGCTGCCGGAGACCAGCTGGCAAGTGGGGGGCAGTGGCTCTCCTTGCCAATCCTGGGCATGCAGGTGACAGTGCAGGGAGAGTGCCCTTCCCACATGGCCCCCGTTTGTAGCCACAGCTGTCCCTACAAAAACTGGGCAGCCTGAAGTGAATTAACAAGACAGTTTTCAGATCTTCACTTGCTTGTGGGTTTCACATGTCACATTTAACCTCCAGTTACATCGACTTTTTCAAACCCCACTTAGGCATCTTAGAATTTTATCATTTGCATTCTTTTATGTTGAATAAGAGAGTTGTAGTACATGCCCCACTGTCTGCTTTCTAAAACATCCAGGTTGGAGTTAGCGCCTTCATACACCCTCCCTGGAAGCACCAGGTGCCATCCTCAGTGCAGCGGCAAGGCAGTGTCGGGGCTCTCTGCCCCCAGGTCTCTCCCCGCCTGGTTCCATTGGCTGCTGGGAAGGATGCTTGGATGGGAGGTCTTTGTGTTTTCAGGCAGGAAATATTATTTGCTCCGCTAGCCCTAGGTCTTACTAATTTACTGTGCAATCTTCAACAAGTTTCTTGATCTTCTTGCTCTGTTTTCTCATCTGTAAAATTGAGGGCAGTGAGCAAGGTGACCTGTAGGTCCCAGGAGCACCAAGGTAGTGCCGTATTTAGTACCAGGTTTTCCTAAGAGGAAATGGGGGCTACTTGGGGTCAAAACAAAGGAGAGTCTTTCTAGATAGGGAAGGACTAGCAGTGGGTCAAAACTTGCCAAGAAGGACTATGAATGGAGCTTTGCTTGGGGTTTAAAAGCTTCAGTCACAGACTTGGAGGGGCTCAAACCCCTTGCTTTAGAAGGCAGAAACCAAGAACCACTAAGGACCTAGGACTTGCTGATGGTGTCTTTGGAGTTTAAGGTGGAACTGAAGTTAGAGCTGATTTCCTTCCTGTCACATCCAGTAAGACTGGGAATGGTTGGGTGCCAGAGGCAGGTTCCAGAAGGTGGGAAGAGTCCTGTCTGCGTCCCCAGGGTCCCAACCTTGAGGAAAGCTTGCTGTCCTTCTGTCCTGCTTCACACTCCCTTTGGTTAAAGGTTTCAGTCAGAGCCCGATAGAAACCTTCAGGAAAAAAGGGCCCCAGACTGAGGCGAGGACACTGGGGAAGCCTTGGGCGGTTTCTGTGTGGGGCAGCCCCTGCTCTGTGAAGCACAGGGGAACGGGACTCCATCGCTGTCATCGGCACTCATGCCCTGGTGCAGACCTGCAGGAACATTGCCTGCTGTATACAGGGCAGATGGGCACTGTGCCGGGAGAAGCCTGTAGGAAGGGAGGCCTTGAGGGATAAGGAGGGAACTCCGGCCATGAGCATGCACAGAGCTCCGTGAAGGAAGGCCTTGACAGACAGAGGCATGGTGGGTGGAGACGGGTGGAGAACATCCCGGCAGAACACAGAGCACGTGCTGTGGCTTGCTGGCAGGGACATGTATGCTGTGTAAAGGCAGGGAGTAGGTCCAGGTGCCCTGGGAAGAGTGTGTGTAGAGAAACGTCGTGGAAGAGGAGACACCCAACGCGAGGTCATGGCTGGTTTGCTTGCTGTGTTTAAACTGCCATAGACTGGCTTTTGTCAGCAGTGGCAGAGAGAGGGGGTTGCATTTTTCTCTTTTTAGTTTGCTTTTGAGGTCTCCCTCTCTCTGTAGAGTGGCTGTGAAGTCCAGCCCTGCCCTGACGGGGCTCCAGGGGAGGTGGTTGTGCATGTTTATGATGTGCCTTCACGGGGTACTTCTTTATCCTGGTGGATGGCAGAATCCCTGTGTCTGACCTGTGCCCAGGTCTCTCCTGGGAGACTTGTTTACCCTCTTAGACACCCTTGAGTCTCTTGTCTGTGTCTGGTGTATTTATTTATTTAGCCTACCAAGATAGCCACTCTTTAGGACAGTTCTGAATTTGGAAAGAAGTTAGGTTCAGGTGTGTCGGTCGAGTGAGACACAGAGGAGGCCACTCAACAAAACCTATGAAATACCAGAAGCAGTGAGTTCCTCGCAGGTCCGGAGAGAAGAGGGCAGCACGCTGGACTAGGGGAGCCGTCAGGACCTGTGTGCTCGCTAGCGGGTGGGGAGCAAGATAGATGGAGTGTGGGCTCTGAGGGCTGAAGCCTTTATGGGGTCCAGGCCATCACCCCAGCAGGTTCCCCACAAGGAGTTGTAATTCGTTGGGTTAGAGCAGGTAGGCACAAGTTACAGGAGGCCATGCTGTGAGTGAAGGGTGGTCATGGCAGCATATCTGAGCAGTCCATGCTGGGTGTGAGGGTCTGCAGGGTGGGTCAAGTAGGTTGCATCTAGCTGTCCCTTAGGGACTTGGTCACCAGGAGGCAGCTATATAAGGCACATCTCTGGATCGACCATTTTGAGGGCCTGGGAAGAGGTGGAGACCTGGAAACTTTCAAGGATGACTAAGCCCTGCTTCTGGTATGAGAAAGTCCAACATACATTCAAAATAGGTACCAAGAAAGCATAACATTATAAGAATTCACTGCAGAGGATCATCTGAAAGGTCTAAGGTGAGAAATGAATATCTAGTGTAGAAGTTGGAGAGGCATCCATAGGAATGATCTCTAATGAACTGGATCTCCCTCCAAGATAGAGATCAAAATTGGTTTAAAACAAATACAGGGGGGTGGAGCCAAGATGGCCAAATACGAACAGCTCTGGTCTACAGCTTCCAGCGTGAGCAACACAGAAGACGGGTGATTTCTGCATTTCCATCTGAGGTACCAGGCTCATCTCACTAGGGAGTGCCACACAGTGGGTGCAGGACAGTGGGTGCAGCGCACTGTGCGTGGGCCGAAGCAGGGCAAGGCATTGCCTCACTCGGGAAGCTCAAGGGGTCAGGGAATTCCCTTTCCTAGTCAAAGAAAGGGGTGACAGACGGCACCTGGAAAATCGGTTCACTCCAACCTGAATACTGTGCTTTTCCAACGGGCTTAAAAAACGGCACACCAGGAGATTATATCCCGCATCTGGCTCGGAGGGTCCTACGCCCACGGAGTCTCCCTGATTGCTAGCACAGCAGTCTGAGATCAAACTGCAAGGTGGCAGTGAGGCTGGGGGAGGGGCGCCTGCCATTGCCCAGGCTTGATTAGGCAAACAAAGCAGCCGGGAAGCTCGAACTGGGTGGAGCCCACCACAGCTCAAGGAGGCCTGCCTGCCTCTGTAGGCTCCACCTCTGGGGGCAGGGCACAGACAAACAAAAAGACAGCAGTAACCTCTGCAAACTTAAATGTCCCTGTCTGACAGCTTTGAAGAGAGTAGTGGTTCTCCCAGCACACAGCTGGAGATCTGAGAACGGGCAGACTGCCTCCTCAAGTGGGTCCTTGACCCCCGAGCAGCCTAACTGGGAGGCACCCCCAAGTGGGGGCAGACTGACACCTCACACGGCCAGGTACTCCTCTGAGACAAAACTTCCAGAGGAAAGATCAGGCAGCAGCATCTGTGGTTCACCAAGATCTGCTGTTCTACAGCCACCGCTGTTCTACAGGCACCGCTGTTCTGCAGCCACCGCTGCTGATACTGAGGCAAACAGAGTCTGGAGTGGACCTCTAGCAAACTCCAACAGACCTGCAGCTGAGGGTCCTGTCTGTTAGAAGGAAAACTAACAAACAGAAAGGACATCCACACCAAAAACCCTTCTGTACGTCACCATCATCAAAGACCAAAAGTAGATAAAGCCACAAAGATGGGGAAAAAACAGAGCAGAAAAACTGGAAACACTAAAAAGCAGAGCACCTCTCCTCCTCCAAAGGAACGCACCTTCTCACCAGCAACGGAACAAAGCTGGACGGAGAATGACTTTGACGAGCTGAGAGAAGAAGGCTTCAGACGATCAAACTACTCTGAGATACAGGAGGAAATTCAAACCAATGGCAAAGAAGTTAAAAACTTTGAAAAAAAACTAGATGAATGGATAACTAGAATAATCAACGCAGAGAAGTCCTTAAAGGAGCTGATGGAGCTGAAAGCCAAGGCTCAAGAATTACGTGAAGAATGCAGAAGCCTCAGGAGCCGATGCAATCAACTGGAAGAAAGGGTATCAGTGATGGAAGATGAAATGAATGAAATGAAGCGAGAAGGGAAGATTAGAGAAAAAAGAATAAAAAGAAATGAACAAAGCCTCCAAGAAATATGGGACTATGTGAAAAGACCAAATTTACGTCTGATTGGTGTACCTGAAAGTGATGGGGAGAATGGAACCAAGTTGGAAAACACTCTGCAGGATATTTTCCAGGAGAACTTCCCCAATCTAGCAAGGCAGGCAAACATTCAGATTCAGGAAATACAGAGAACGCCACAAAGATACTCCTCGAGAAGAGCAGCTCCAAGACACATAATTATCAGATTCACCAAAGTTGAAATGCAGGAAAAAATGTTAAGCGCAGACAGAGAGAAAGGTCGGGTAACCCACAAAGGGAAACCCATCAGACTAACAGCTGATCTCACGGCAGAAACTCTACAAGCCAGAAGAGAGTTGGGGCCAATATTCAACATTCTTAAAGAAAAGAATTTTCAACCCAGAATTTCATATCCAGCCAAACTAAGCTTCATAAGTGAAGGAGAAATAAAATACTTTACAGACAAGCAAATGCTGAGAGATTTTGTCACCACCAGGTCTGCCCTAAAAGAGCTCTTAAAGGAAGAACTTAACATGGAAAGGAACAACTGGTACCAGCCACTGCAAAAACATGCCAAAATGTAAAGACCATCAAGGCTAGGAAGAAAACTGCATCAACTAACGATCAAAATAACCAGCTAACATCATAATGACAGGACCAAATACACACATAACAATATTAACTTTAAATGTCAGTGGGCTAAATGCTCCAATTAAAAGACACAGACTGGCAAATTGGATAAAGAGTCAAGACCCATCAGTGTGCTGTATTCAGGAAACCCATCTCATGTGCAGAGACACACATAGGCTCAAAATAAAGGGATGGAGGAAGATCTACCAAGCAAATGGAAAACAAAAAAAGGCAGGGGTTGCAATCCTAGTCTCTGATAAAACAGACTTTAAACCAGCAAAGATCAAAAGAGACAAAGAAGGCCATTACATAATGGTAAAGGGATCAATTCAACAAGAAGAGCTAACTATCCTAAATATATATGCACCCAATACAGGAGCACCAAGATTCATAAAGCAAGTCCTGAGTGACCTACAAAGAGACTTAGACTCCCACACATTAATAATGGGAGACTTTAACACCCCACTGTCAATGTTAGACAGATCAACGACACAGAAAGTTAACAAGGATACCCAGGAAATGAACTCAGCTCTGCAGCAGGCAGACCTAATAGACATCTACAGAACTCTCCACCCCAAATCAACAGAATATACATTTTTTTCAGCACCACACCTATTCCAAAATTGACCACATAGTTGGAAGTAAAGCACTCCTCAGCAAATGTAAAAGAACAGAAATTATAACAAACTGTCTCTCAGACCACAGTGCAATCAAACTAGAACTCAGGACTAAGAAACTCACTGAAAACCACTCAACTACATGGAAACTGAACAACCTGCTCCTGAATGACTACTGGGTACATCACGAAATGAAGGCAGAAATAAAGATGTTCTTTGAAACCAACGAGAACAAAGACACAACATACCAGAATCTCTGGGACACATTCAAAGCGGTGTGTGGAGGGAAATTTATAGCACTAAATGCCCACAAGAGAAAGCAGGAAAGATCCAAAATCGACACCCTAACGTCACAGTTAAAAGAACTAGAAAAGCAAGAGCAAACACATTCAAAAGCTAGCAGAAGGCAAGAAATAACTAAAATCAGAGCAGAACTGAAGGAAATAGAGACACAAAAAACCCTTCAAAAAATTAATGAATCCAGGAGCTGGTTTTTTGAAAGGATCAACAAAATTGATAGACTGCTAGCAAGACTAATAAAGAAGAAAGAGAGAAGAATCAAATAGACACAATAAAAAATGATAAAGGGGATATCACCACTGATCCCACAGAAATACAAACTACCATCAGAGAATACTACAAACACTTCTACACAAATAAACTAGAAAATCTAGAAGAAATGGATAAATTCCTGGACACATACACCCTCCCAAGACTAAACCAGGAAGAAGTTGAATCTCTGAATAGACCAATAACGAGCTCTGAAATTTTAGCAATAATCAATAGCTTACCAACCAAAAACGTCCAGGACCAGATGGATTCACAGCCGAATTCTACCAGAGGTAAAAGGAGGAGCTGGTACCATTCCTTCTGAAACTATTCCAATCAATAGAAAAAGAGGGAATCCTCCCTAACTCATTTTATGAGGCCAGCATCATCCTGATACCAAAGCCTGGCAGAGACACACACAAAAAAGAGAATTTTAGCTGAATATCCTTGATGAACATTGATGCAAAAATCCTCAATAAAATACTGGCAGACCGAATCCAGCAGCACCTCAAAAAGCTTATCCACCATGATCAAGTGGGCTTCATCCCTGGGATGCAAGGCTGGTTAAATGTACACAAATCAATAGATGTAATCCAGCATATAAACAGAACCAATGACAAAAACCACATGATTATCTCAATGGATGCAGAAAAGGCCTTTGACAAAATTCAACAACCCTTGATGCTAAAAACTCTCAATAAATTAGGTATTGATTGGACATATCTCAAAATATTAAGAGCTATCTATGACAAACCCACAGCCAATATCATACTGAATGGGCAAAAACTGGAAGCATTCCCTTTGAAAACTGGCATAAGACAGGGATGCCCTCTCTCACCACTCCGATTCAACATAGTGTTGGAAGTTCTGGCCAGGGCAATTAGGCAGGAGAAGGAAATAAAGGGTATTCAATTAGGAAAAGAGGAAGTCAAATTGTCCCTGTTTGCAGATGACATGATTGTATATCTAGAAAACCCCATTGTCTCAGCCCAAAATCTCCTTAAGCTGATAAGCAACTTCAACAAAGTCTCAGGATACAAAATCAATGTGTAAAAATCACAAGCATTCTTATGCACCAATAACAGACAAACAGAGAGCCAAATCATGAGTGAACTCCCATTCACAATTGCTTCAAAGAGAATAAATACTTAGGAATCCAACTTACAAGGGATGTGAAGGACCTCTTCAAGGAGAACTACAAACCACTGCTCAATGAAATTAAAGAGGATACAAACAAATGGAAGAACATTCCATGCTCATGGGTAGGAAGAATCAATATCGTGAAAATGGCCATACTGCCCAAGGTAATTTATAGATTCAATGCCATCCCCATCAAGCTACCAATGACTTTCTTCACAGAATTGGAAAAAACTACTTTAAAGTTGATATGGAACCAAAAAAGAGCCCGCATTGCCAAGTCAATCCTAAGCCAAAAGAACAAAGCTGGAGGCATCACCCTACCTGACTTCAAACTATACTACAAGGCTACAGTAACCAAAACAGCATGGTACTGGTACCAAAACAGAGATATAGATCAATGGAACAGAAGAGAGCCCTCAGAAATAATGCCACATATCTACAACCATCTGATCTTCGACAAACCTGACAGAAACAAGCAATGGGGAAAGGATTCCCTATTTAATAAATGGTGCTGGGAAAACTGGCTGGCCATATGTAGAAAGCTGAAACTGGATCCCTTCTTTACACCCTTTACAAAAATTAATTCAAGATAGACTAAAGACTTAAACATTAGACCTAAAACCATAAAAACCCTAGAAGAAAACCTAGGCAATACCATTCAGGACATAGGCACGGGCAAGGACTTCATGTCTAAAACACCAAAAGCAATGGCAACAAAAGCCAACATTGACAAATGGGATCTAATTAAGCTAAAGAGCTTCTGCACAGCAAAAGAAACTACCATCAGAGTGAACAGGCAGCCTACAAAATGGGAGAAAATTTTTGCAACCTACTCATCTGACAAAGGGCTAGTATCCAGAATCTACAATGAACTCAAACAAATTTAAAAGAAAAAAAACAAACAACCCCATCAACAAGTGGGTGAAGGATATGAACAGACACTTCTCAAAAGAAGACATTTATGCAGCCAAAAAACACATGAAAAAATGCTCATCATCACTGACCATCAGAGAAATGCAAATCGAAACCACAATGAGATACCATCTCACACCACTTAGAATGGCGATCATTAAAAAGTCAGGAAACAACAGGTGCTGGAGAGGATGTGGAAAAGTAGGAACACTTTTACACTGTTGGTGGGAGTGTAAACTAGTTCAACCATTGTGGAAGTCAGTGTGGCGATTCCTCAGGGATCTAGAACTAGAAATATCATTTGACCCAGCCATCCCATTACTGGGTACATACCCAAAGGATTATAAATCATGCTGCTATAAAGACACATGCACACGTATGTTTATTGCAGCACTATTCACAATAGCAAAGACTTGGAACCAACCCAAATGTCCAACAACCATAGACTGGATTAAGAAAATGTGGTACATATACACCATGGAATACTATGCAGCCATAAAAAATGGTGAGTTCATGTCCTTTGTAGGGACATGGATGAAACTGGAAACCATCATTCTCAGCAAACTATCTCAAGGACAAAAAACCAAACACTGCATGTTCTCACTCATAGGTGGGAATTGAACAATGAGAACACATGGACACAGGAAGGGGAACATCACACTCCGGGGACTGTTGTGGGGTGGGGGGAGGGGGGAGGGATAGCATTAGGAGATATACCTAATGCTAAATGACGAGTTAATGGGTGCAGCACACCAGCATGGCACATGCATACATGTGTAACAAACCTGCACATTGTGCACATGTACCCTAAAACTTAAAAGTATAATAATAATAATAAAAGAAGTTGCCATAGCCACCCTAACCTTCAGCAACTACCAGCCTGATCAATCAGATGCCATCAACGTGGAGGAGAGACCCCCCATTAGCAAGATTACAACTTGCTGAGGGCTCAGATGATTGTTAGCACTTTTTTTTTTTAACAATAAAGTAATCTTTAAGGTGTAAAAAAGAAACCATAAAAACAAAAAAACAAAACAAAAAAAAAACAAATATAGGCCGGGTGCAGTGGCTCACACCTGTAATTCCAGCACTTTGGGAGGCCAAGGCAGGAGAATCACTTGAGGCGAGGAGTTGGAGCCCAGCCTGGGCAATATAGTACAACCCTGTCTTTACTAAAAATACAAAAATTAACCAGGTATGGTGGCACACACCTGTAGTCCTGGCAACTGAGGAGGCTGAGGCAGGAGAATCATTTGAACCCAGGAGGTCAAGGCTGCAGTGAGCTATGATTGCACCACTGCAATCCAACTTGGGCAACACAGTGAGACCCTGCCTCAAAAAAAATTATATTCTGATTTTCTGAGTCCATGAACACATTGTCCAAATGGATTTTTCTAGCTCCTCCAAGTTACAGATAGTTCCATGCACACACAGAACCCACCACTCTCAAATATTTTCCCCACTAGTATACTATTAAATTTTTCAAACATGCAAAAGATGAAAGAATTGCTCAATGAACACCATGTACCCACCACCTAGATTCTACAATTAACATTTTACCCTACTTTCTTTGTCACATATATGTACCTATCCATCTACCCATTCTTCCATGAATCCATCAATTCATCTAATTTTTTGTATATTTCAAGGTAAGTTGTAGATACGTAGCTTACATTTCACCTTAAATGTTTCCGCCTGGCTATTATTAACTGGAGTGCAATATGTTTTTGGTTCTTTATGGTAAAATCTATGTGCAATGAAATGCACAAGCCTTAGGTATGCCATTAATAGGTATTGACGAATAGACACACCTTGTGTCTGAAACTGTAATAAAAAAATCAAACACTACCTTCCTTTCAAAAAGTTTCCTCACTTCTTTTCTTGGTCAAAACCCCTCCCCACCTCAGCCCACCCCTCAGCAACCATTGTTCTCAATTTTTTTTTGCATTCCTAGATTGATTTTGCTTGTTCCATAACCTCGTATAAATGAAAGTGTACAGTGTGCAAGGTTTGTGTCTGGTTTTTCCACCAAGCACATTTCTGAAATTCATCTATGTTGAGTATATTAGCAGTTCATTTCTTTTGAAGAAAGAATGAAGTGTGCTAAGTAGTGTTTCATTGTGTGGCTATACCACAGTTTGTTTTTTTATCCATCACTATTTAATGGGTATCTGGGTGGTTTCTGGCTTTGGCTACTATCAGTAAAGCTACTACAGACATTTCTGTAGAAGTCTTTTTATGGAGATGTGGCTTTGCTTTTCTTGGGTAAACACCTATGAGTGAACTCTCTGGATCCCAGGTAGATGTAGCTAGGTCATAGGCAGATGTATGTTGAGTATTACAGAAACTGCTAGACCTTTTCAATTGTGTTCATATTGTTTTATACTCCCACTGTAACAACATACGAGAGTCCTGCTTGCTCCATCATCTTTGATGTTTAGTGTTGTCAGTCTTTTTAACTTTAGCCATTCTGGTGCATTTGTATGTCATTCCATTGCAGTTCTTTTTTTTTTTTTTTAAATCAGGAATGTTTAGTCGAAGTCTGATATTGTGGTGTACTAGTCATCTATTGCCGCATACAAAAATCATCCCAAAATTTAGCAGCCTAAGATAACCATCATATATTTCTTACACCATTTCTGAGGCTCATAAATCCAAGCGTGGTGTAACTGGCTCAGGGTCCTTCTCGAGGCTACAGTCTAGCTGGGGCTGCAGGACCTTCTTCCATCCCCACTCGCAGGGCTGCTGGTGGCCTCAATTCTTCACTGGCGGTCAGCAGGAGACCTCAGAGCCTCACCACAGCCTCTTCCCTGGCTGCCTGGGCAACCTTGTAAAGCATCAGTTGACTTCCCTCAGAGTGAGTGATGAGGGAGAGATAAAGCGACAGCTTATGGTGGAAGCCACAGTGTGTCATGGAGTAATCTCGGAAGTGACATCCCATCACATAGGCTATAATCCATCGGTCATACAGACTAACCCTAGTACAAAGTGGAGGGGGCCACACAGAGGGATCCTTGGGGGCTATCTTGGAGGGTGGCCACCCCGTGGGGAGAAGGTGGAAGCAGCCACCTCAGGGAGGCAGATTGTAATCAGGACCCATAGGAGCAGCATGGAGCCCATGTGTTTCTGTGCAGTTTGCTGAAGCCAGTCAGAACATCCTGAGTCTGACTTATCACCCTTCTCTGGCCTGCTGGGGTTCCTGAACCAAGTAGTTTAACTTGCCAAGCCTTAGTTTCTGCAGTTATAAAATGGTGGTATGAATGAATGAAACAAGGTATCCGCAACACTGAAATGGAACATAATAGGGCCTGAACAGAGGACAGTTATGAATATTTCCATACAAAATGCAATTTTATGCCCTTCATCAATGGTCATTTTCTCTCATTTTACTTTTGAGGACTAGATTTGCCAAAGTCCCTCTGGGGCCAACCCAGTACACCACTGAGAAGCCCTTTGAAAAAGCCAGCTTTATCATCGTTTTGTTTTTATTTCTTGATATTTGGAAAGTTTTCTTCCTTCTGTTTCTATGTGTCCTCTGCCTAACTAGTCATGGTGACTCCTTGGATAGTATTCTCCATGGTTTCTTGTGAAATATTAATGCTTACCTTGCAATCTTGCAGCTTTTAGCATGAATTATTTTGCTGATTATAATCAGGCCTCTAGGATAAGTACCACTGATTTTAATTTAATGTTAAATTTGTACTGAGTGAATCATAATGGTCAGACTAATCTAAATGGTGCAGGTATATAAAACTACATGCCCATGTGCTCAGTTCCTGCTTGTTGATGTTTTGTTATAAAGTAACAGCTTTTTAACATCAAATGTATTCCAAGTAGCCACTTTACAGTGACACTGCAAAACCTACTACAAAGCAAAGCCAATAAGACAAAGTCAAAATATTTCAAAGTTTCTTATTGAAGTATTGCATACCTCTAGAAATTACAACATAACTGTACAACTTAATGAATTCTCAGAAAATGTAGCATCAGTGCAAATATCATTGAAATCAAATCGGTGGGGCAGTTCCAAGTTGGCCGAATAGGAACAGCTCCAGTCTACAGCTCCCAGCGTGAGCGATGCAGAAGACAGGTGATTTCTGCATTTCCAACTGAGGTACCGGGTTCATCTCACTGGGGCTTGTCAGACAGTGGGTGCAGGACAGTGGGTGCAGCGCACCGAGCATGAGCCGAAGCATGGTGAGGCATCACCTCACCCGGGAAGTGCAAGGGGTCAGGGAATTCCCTTTCCTAGACAAGCAAAGCTGTCACAGATGGCACCTGGAAAATCAGGTCACTCCCACCCTAATACTGCGCTTTTCCAATGGTCTTAGCAAATGGAACACCAGGAGATTATATCCCACGCCTGGCTCGGAGGGTCCCACGCCCACGGAGCCTCGCTCATTGCTAGCACAGCAGTCTGAGATCAAACTGCAAGGCGGCAGTGAGGCTGGGGGAGGGGCGCCCGCCATTGCTCAGGCTTGAGTAGGTAAACAAAGCGGCCAGGAAGCTCAAACTGGGTGGAGCCCACTGCAGCTCAACGAGGCCTGCCTGCCTCTGTAGACTCCACCTCTGGGGACAGGGCATAGCTGAACAAAAGGCAGCACAAACCTCTGCAGACTTAAATGTCCCAGTCTGACAGCTTTGAAGAGAGTAGTGGTTCTCCCAGCACGGAGTTTGAGATCTGAGAACAGACAGACTGCTTTCTCAAGTGGGTCCCTGACCTCTGAGTAGCCTAACTGGAAGGCACCCCCGAAGTAGGGGCAGACTGACACCTCACACGGCTGGGTACCCCTCTGAGACGAAACTTCCAGAGGAAAGATCAGGCAGCAACATTCGCTGTTCAGCAATATTCGCTGTTCTGCAGCCTCTGCTGCTGATACCCAGGCAAACAGGTTCTGGAGTGGACCTCCAGCAAACTCCAACAGACCTGCAGCTGAGGGTCCTGACTATTAGAAGGAAAACTAACAAACAGAAAGGACATCCACACCAAAACCCCATCTGTACGTCACCATCATCAAAGACCAGAGGTAGATAAAACCACAAAGATGGGGAAAAAACAGAGCAGAAAAACTGAAAATTCTAAAAATCAGAGTGCCTCTCCTCCTCCAAAGGAACGAAGCTCCTCACCAGCAATGGAACAAAGCTGGACGGAGAATGACTTTGACGAGTTGAGAGAAGAAGGCTTCAGACGATCAAACTTTTCTGAGCTAAAGGAGGAAGTTAGAACCCATCACAAAGAAGTTAAAAACCTTGAAAAAAGATTAGACGAATGGCTAGCTAGAATAACCAATGCAGAGAAGTCCTTAAATGACCTGATGGAGCTGAAAACCATGGCATGAGAACTACGCGACGAATGCACAAGCTTCAGTAGCCAATTCCATCAACTGGAAGAAAGGGTATCAGTGATTGAAGATCAAATGAATGATATGAAGCAAGAAGAGAAGTTTAGAGAAAAAAGAATAAAAAGAAACAAACAAAGCCTCCAAGAAATATGGGACTATGTGAAAAGACCAAATCCACGTCTGATTGGTGTACCTGAAAGTGAGGGGGCGAATGGAACCAAGTTGGAAAACACTCTGCAGGATATTATCCAGGAGAACTTCCCCAACCTAGCAAGGCAGGCCAACATTCACATTCAGGAAATACAGAGAACACCACAAAGATACTCCTTGAGAAGAGCAACTCCAAGACACATAATTGTCAGATTCACCAAAGTTGAAATGAAGGAAAAAATGTTAAGGGCAACCAGAAAGAAAAGTCGGGTTACCTACAAAGGGAAGCCCATCAGACTAACAGCTGATCTCTCGGCAGAAACTCCACAAGCCAGAAGAGAGTGGGGGCCAATATTCAACATTGTTAAAGAAAAGAATTTTCAACCCAGAATTTCATATCCAGCCAAACTAAGCTTCATAAGTGAAGGAGAAATAAATCCTTTACAGACAAGCCAATGCTGAGAGATTTTGCCACCACCAGACCTGCCCTACAAGAGCTCCTGAAGGAAGCACTAAATGTGGAAAGGAACAACTGGTACAGCCACTGCAAAAACATGCCAAATTGAAAAGACCATCGATGCTAGGAAGAAACTGCATCAACTAACGAGCAAAATAACCAGCTAACATCATAATGGCAGTATCAGATTCACACATAACAATATTAACCTTAAATGTAAATGGGCTAAATGCTCCAATTAAAAGACACGGACTGGCAAATAGGATAAAGAGTCAAGAGACATCAGTGTGCTGTATTCAGGAAATCCATCTCACATGCAGAGACACAAATAGGCTCAAAATAAAGGGATGGAGGAAGATCTACCAAGCAAATGGAAAACAAAAAAAAAGGTAGGGGTTGCAATCCTAGTCTCTGATAAAACAGACTTTAAACCAACAAAGATCAAAAGAGACAAGGCCATTACATAATGGTAAAGGGATCAATTCAGCAAGAAAAGCTAACTATCCTAAATATATATGCACCCAATACAGGAGCACCCAGATTCATAAAGCAAGTCCTTAGAGACCTACAAAGAGACTTAGACTCCCACACAATAATAATGGGAGACTTTAACACCCCACTGTCAACGATAGACAGATCAACGAAACAGAAAGTTAACTAGGATATCCAGGAATTGAACTCAGCTCTGCAGCAGGCAGACCTAGTAGACATCTACAGAACTTTCCACCCCAAATCGACAGAATATACATTCTTCTCAGCACCACGTCACACTTATTCCAAAATTGACCACGTAATTGGAAGTAAAACACTCCTCAGCAAATGTAAAAAAACAGAAATTATAGCAAACTGTTTCTCAGACCACAGTGCAATCAAACTAGTACTCAGGACTAAGAAACTCTCTCAAAACCGCTCAACTACATGGAAACTGAACAACCTGCTCCTGAATGACTACTGGGTACATCACGAAATGAAGGCAGAAATAAAGATGTTCTTTGAAACCAACGAGAACAAAGACACAACATACCAGAATCTCTGGGACACATTCAAAGCGGTGTGTGGAGGGAAATTTATAGCACTAAATGCCCACAAGAGAAAGCAGGAAAGATCCAAAATCGACACCCTAACGTCACAGTTAAAAGAACTAGAAAAGCAAGAGCAAACACATTCAAAAGCTAGCAGAAGGCAAGAAATAACTAAAATCAGAGCAGAACTGAAGGAAATAGAGACACAAAAAACCCTTCAAAAAATTAATGAATCCAGGAGCTGGTTTTTTGAAAGGATCAACAAAATTGATAGACTGCTAGCAAGACTAATAAAGAAGAAAGAGAGAAGAATCAAATAGACACAATAAAAAATGATAAAGGGGATATCACCACCGATCCCACAGAAATACAAACTACCATCAGAGAATACTATAAACACCTCTACACAAATAAACTAGAAAATCTAGAAGAAATGGATAAATTCCTGGACACATACACCCTCCCAAGACTAAACCAGGAAGAAGTTGAATCTCTGAATAGACCAATAACAGTCTCTGAAATTGAGGCAATAATGAATAGCCTACCAACCAAAAAAAGTCCAGGACCAGACAGATTCACAGCCGAATTCTACCAGAGGTAAAAGGAGGAGCTGGTACCATTCCTTCTGAAACTATTCCAATCAATAGAAAAAGAGGGAATCCTTCCTAACTCATTTTATGAGGCCAGCATCATCCTGATACCAAAGCCTGGCAGAGACACACACAAAAAAGAGAATTTTAGACTAATATCCCTGATGAACATCGATGCAAAAATCCTCAATAAAATACTGGCAGACCGAATCCAGCAGCACCTCAAAAAGCTTGTCCACCATGATCAAGTGGGCTTCATCCCTGGGATGCAAGGCTGGTTCAACATACACAAATCAATAAATGTAATCCAGCATATAAACAGAACCAAAGACAAAAACCATGTGATTATCTCAATAGATGCAGAAAAGGCCTTTGACAAAATTCAACAACCCTTGATGCTAAAAACTCTCAATAAATTAGGTATTGATGGGACATATCTCGAAATAATAAGAGCTATCTATTACAGACCCACAGCCAATATCATACTGAATGGGCAAAAACTGGAAGCATTCCCTTTGAAAACTGGCACAGACAGGGATGCCCTCTCTCACCATTCCTATTCAACATAGTGTTGGAAGTTCTGGCCAGGGCAGTCAGGCAGGAGAAAGAAATAAAGGGTATTCAATTAGGAAAAGAGGAAGTCAAATTGTCCCTGTTTGCAGATGACATGATTGTATATCTAGAAAACCCCATTGTCTCAGCCCAAAATCTCCTTAAGCTGATAAGCAACTTCAGCAAAGTCTCAGGATACAAAATCAATGTGTAAAAATCACAAGCATTCTTATGCACCAATAACAGACAGAGAGCCAAATCATGAGTGAACTCCCATTCACAATTGCTTCAAAGAGAATAAAATACCTAGGAATCCAACTTACAAGGGATGTGAAGGACCTCTTCAGGGAGAACTACAAACCACTCAATGAAATAAAAGAGGATACAAACAAATGGAAGAACATTCCATGCTCATGGATAGGAAGAATCAATATCGTCAAATGGCCATACTGCCCAAGGTAATTTATAGATTCAATGCCATCCCCATCAAGCTACCAGTGACTTTCTTCACAGAATTGGAAAAAACTACTTTAAAGTTGATATGGAACCAAAAAAGAGCCCGCATTGCCAAGTCAATCCTAAGCCAAAAGAACAAAGCTGGAGGCATCACCCTACCTGACTTCAAACCATACTACAAGGTTGCAGTAACCAAAACAGCATGGTACTGGTACCAAAACAGAGATATAGATCAATGGAGCAGAACAGAGCCCTCAGAAATAATACCACACATCTACAACCATCTGATCTTTGACAAGCCTGACAAAAACAAGAAATGGGGAAAGGATTCCCTATTTAACAAATGGTGCTGGGAAAACTGGCTAGCCATATGTAGAAAGCTGAAACTGGATCTCTTCCTTACACCTTATACAAAAATTAATTCAAGATGGATTAAAGACTTAAACATTAGACCTAAAACCATAAAAACCCTAGAAGAAAACCTAGGCAATACCATTCAGGACATAGGCATGGGCAAGGACTCATCTCTAAAACACCAAAAGCAATGGCAACAAAAGCCAACATTGACAAATGGGATCTAATTAAACTAAAGGGCTTCTGCACAGCAAAAGAAACTACCATCAGAGTGAACAGGCAACATACAGATTGGGAGAAAATTTTTGCAATTTACTTATCTGACAAAGGGCTAATATCCAGAATCTACAAAGAACTCGAACAAATTTAAAAGAAAAAAACAACCCCATCAACAAGTGGGCAAAGGATATGAACAGACGCTTCTCAAAAGAAGACATTTATGCAGCCAACAGACACATGAAAAAATGCTCATCATCATTGGCCATCAGAGAAATGCAAATCAAAACCACAACGAGATACCATCTCACACCAGTTAGAATGGCAATCATTAAAAAGTCAGGAAACAACAGATGCTGGAGAGGATGTGGAGAAATAGGAACACTTTTACATTGTTGGTTGGACTGTAAACTAGTTCAACCATTGTGGAAGACAGTGTGGCGATTCCTCAGGTATTTAGAACTGGAAATACCATTTGACCTAGCCATCCCATTACTGGGTATATACCCAAAGGATTATAAATCATGCTGCTATAAAGACACATGCACATGTATGTTTATTGAGGCACTATTCACAATAGCAAAGACTTGGAACCAACCCAAATGTCCATCAATGATAGACTGGATTAAGAAAATGTGGCACATATACACCATGGAATACTATGCAGCCATAAAAAATGATGAGTTCATGTCCTTTGTAGGGACATGGATGAAACTGGAAACCATCATTCTCAGCAAACTATCACAAGAACAAAAAACCAAACACCGCATGTTCTCACTCATAGGTGGGAATTGAACAATGAGAACACTTGGACACAGGAAGGGGAACATCACACACCAGGGCCTGTTTTGGGGTGGGCGGAGGGGGCAGGGATAGCATTAGGAGATATGCGTAATGTGAATGACGAATTAATGGGTGCAGCACACCAACATGGCACATGTATACATATGTAACAAACCTGCATGTTGTGCACATGTACCCTAGAACTTAAAGTATAATAAAAAAATTAAAAAATAATAAAATAAAAATAAAAAAGGAAATCAAATCAAACTGTGACTATCAGCAGCCAGAAATCTCTTTCCTTCCCTCTTCCTATCACTGCACCTTCTTTCTCCCCAGAGGTAACTAGAACTACAGTCATGACTTCTAACACCTTAGGTTAGTCTTTCCTGTGCTTAAGCTTTGTATACATGGAATCATGCAGTATATATTCCTGTGTATCTGCCTTCTTTTGCACATAGACACATAGATATAAATGTATATAAGTCTTGCCAGAGTTATCAGTTATCTTTTTTTCTTTTTTTTTTGACATGGAGTCTCACTCTGTCACCAGGGGAGTGCAGTGGCACAGTCTGGGCTCACTGCAACCTCTGTCTCCCGGGTTCAAGCAATTCTTCTGCCTCAGCCTCCCAAGTAGCTGGGACTACAGGCACCTGCCACCACGGCCAGCTAATTTTTGTATTTTTAGTAGAGACGGGGTTTCACCATGTTGGTCAGGATGGTCTCAATCTCTTGACCTCGTGATCCATCCACCTCGGCCTCCCAAAGTGCTGGGATTACAGGCGTGAGCCACTGCACCCGGCCAAGTTATCGATTATTCTAAGTCTTTCCAAAGAACCATTTTTTGGCTTCATCGATTCTCTTTATCATTTGTCGTCTGTTCCATTAAAATCTGATGTTATCCTCATAAATGTTTGATATATTTGGTTGTAGATCTACCCTCTCAGCATTTGTGAGTTCTTTTCTTGGTCTTGTTGTTTCTCCTTTTTTCCTTCTTTATTTGTTGGTTAAATTTGCTATTTCTTAAAACTGTTTGAGATCGGTACTCAGATCAGGGGTTGGCAAACTTCTTTCCATGGCAGGACAGATAGTAAGTACTTTGGGCTTTGCAAGCTACACATGCTTCCTGTCACATATTCTTTCTTTTAAACTTAAAATGTAAAAGCTGGTTGGGCACGGTGGCTCATGCCTGTAATCCCAGCACTTTGGGAGGCCGAGGTGGGCAGATCACCTGAGGTCAGGAGTTCAAGACCAGCCTGGCCAACAAGGTGAAACCCCGTCTCTACTGAAAATACAAAAATTAGCCAGGCACAGTGGTGGTTGTCTGTAATCCCAGTACTCGGGAGGCTGAGGCAGGAGAATCGCTTGAGCCTGGGAGGTGGAGGTTTCAGTGAGCCAAGATTGCGCCACTGCACTCCAGCTTGGAGACAGAGCAAGACTCTGTCTCAAATAAATGAATAAAAGTAAAATGTAAAAGCTATTCTTAGTTTATGCATTGTACAAAAACAGGGGCAGAGTGGAATTGGCCCATGGGTCATAATTTGCAAACCCCCAACTTAGATTGTTGAGGCCCAGCCTCTTCTTTTCACATATATATATAAATGGTTATACATTTCCAGTTAATTCCTCAGCATGTAAGGATTTTCCACTTCTCTTTCTGTTATTGATTTCTGTCAAGCGCACACACCAGACAAGGCAAGAGCAAGGTCTGCCTGATTCAACCAGTAAGGATGCGACAGGCCAGTTTTAGATGCAGACGGTTTATTACTTACATAGACAGCAAAGGAGAGAGTAGCCAAGGTGCCAGCTCCCAGGTCCTTGTTTCACATGCCAGAAAGCATGACACTGAAACAAAAGGGATGGAGTGCTGCATGAGTTGTGCAAGACCCCATTGCTGGGGAGCCTGTTCTGCGCTGCAGCTAAGAGGTTTCACCGCTTTATTACAGTTTTATTTTCATTCATGTCTACCATCCTGAGGGGGTGGGAGAAGAAAGGCCCATACCTCATCAGAACAGTGAGGCCAGGTGGAGCTGTCTGATGACTGCCTTGCAGGGGAGAGAGAAGGTGAGGGAGAGATGTCCTCAGAGCAGTGCCTGACAGACCTCCCATCTGCCCCTGTGCCAGAAGGATCCCAAGGCATTCTGCCAAGACTCAGACCGCGGTTGAAGCCTGTGCCTGTGGGGTCTCTGTTGGTACCTGGAAGGTCACCTGGGCACGGTGGCACAGCCAGTCCCCTACAATTCCCTGTCCTCTTCCAGTTGGTCAGAGAAGAGAGTCTGAATGATTTCAGCCTTTTGAAATTTGGGACTTGCTTTATGGCCTAGCATATGATCAATTTTGGTAAACGTTCCATGTTCACAAAGAAACAAAAAGTGGATTTTGTGATTCTTGGTGCAGTGATCTGTATATGTTAATTGGATCGTATTTTTCATGTGATTTAAATCCATACTGATTATTTTTGTCTGCTTGTTCTATCAGCTACTGACAGCACTTTGTTAAAACCTCCAACTATGATCGTGGACTTGTATATTTCTCTTTATTTTCTGTCGATTTTTCCTTTATATAATTTGAAGTTAAGAATAGACTTGTCATAGCTTCCTGTAGGACTGATATTTTATTATAAACTTTTTTCTGTCATTACTAAAGTTTTATTTTCATTAACGTCAACTTGTCTGACATTGGTTTTTCTACATTAGCTCTTTTGATTAGTGTTTGCATGATATATTTTTAAAATCATTCTACTTTCAACCTTTGTGACAGTTTGTGATTCAGATGTAAGCAATGTAAAATTAAGGTTTTTTAAATCCAGTCTGATCATCTGTTTTTTACTTGAAGCATTTTAGTTTACCTACATTGGATGTGATAACTGATCTAGTTGGTTATAGATCTAACATCTCATTATTTGCTTTTGTTTGCCCTGTCATTTCCTTTTTCATCTTTCCTGCATAATTTTGTATAAATCAAAGTATTTATTAATGTTCTATTCTATTAGCTTCTTCCCGGTACATTCCTTTACTATTCTTTTGGTAGTTACGATAGAGGTTACGATATACATCCTTGACTATCGAGTTTCCCTTAAAATAGTACTTGTACCATACTTTGGACAATTCAAGGAACTTAGTACTTCTGAACACCATTTAGCCCCTTCTGCCTTGTATATTAATATTGTCCCATAATTTGATTCTCTTTCAAATTCCGTAGGGCAACGTTATTTTCTATAGGGTCAATACCCACTTGGCTATAATGATTTTCCGTTGTTCTTTATTTTTTCCTGTAGCTCTGAGCTTCAATCTGAGATTATTTCCTTCTACCTAAAGAACACCTTTTAGTATTTTCTATAGTGTGGTCCCCTGGTGATAAGTGTCTGAAATTTTTTTTTATTTTGCATCTGCTTTTAAAGAATAATTTTACAAGATATAGGACTGTAGACTGGCATTTATGTATGTATTTACTTATTTTTGAACTCTGAAGATATTCCATTTTCTTCTGGCCTTTATTATTTCCATTTAAAAGTCAAGGTAGTCTTTTTTCTTATACTGTTTCTAAAATATTTTCCTTTATCATAGGTTTTCAGCAGTTTTATTATAACATGCAGACTTGCATTTTTCTTATATTTATGCTCCTTGGGGTTCATACCACTTCTGGATCTGTGGCTTGATATCTTTCACTAATTTTAGAAAATTCTCAGTCATTGTCTTTTTTTTTCTATTTTTCCATAGGTTATTGGGGTGCAGGTCGTGTTCGGTTACATGAGTAAGTTCTTTAGTGGTGATCTGTGAGATTTTGGTGCACCCATCACCTGAGCAGTAATACACTGCACCCTATTTGTAGTCTTTTTTCCCTTGCCCTCCTCCCATTCTTCCCCCAAGTCCACAAGTCCATTGTATCATTCCTATGCCTTTGTGTCCTCTTAGCTTAGCTCCTACATATCAGTGAGAACATATGATGTTTGGTTTTTCATTCCTGAGTTACTTCACTTAGAGTAATAGTCTCCAATCTTATCCAGGTTGCTGCGAATGCCTTTGATTCATTCCCTTTTATGGCTGAGTAATATTCCATTGTGTATACATATATATATACACCACAGTTTCTTTATCTACTCATTGATTGATGGACATTTGGGTTGGTTCCACGATTTTGCAGTTGTGAATTGTGCAGCCACAAACATGCATGTACAAGTGTCTTTTTCATATAATAACTTCTTTTCCTCTAGGTGGATACCCAGTAGTGAGATTGCTAGATCAAATGGTAGTTCTAGTTCTTTAAGGAATCTCCATACTGTTTTCCATAGTGGTTGTACTAGTTTACATTCCCACCAGCAGTAGAAGTGTTCCCTGATCACTGCATCCATGCCTCAATCTACTGTTTTTTGATTTTTTTATTATGGCCATTCTTACAGGAGTAAGGTGGTATCACATTGTGGTTTTGATTTCCATTTCCCTGATCATTAATGATGTAGAGCATTTTTTCATATGTTTGTTGGCCATTTGTATATCTTCTTTTGAGAATTGTCTGTTCATGTCCTTAGCCCACTTTTTGACGGGATTGTTTGTTTTTTTCTTGCTGATTTGTTTGAGTTTGGGTTCTAGATTCTGGATATTAGTCCTTTCTCAAATGTATAGATTGTGAAGATTTTCTCCCACTCTGGAGGTTGTCTGTTTACTCTGCTGGCTGTTCCTTTTACCATGCAAAAGCTCTTTAGTTTAATTAAGTTCCAGCTATTTATCTTTGTTTTTATTGCATTTGCTTTTGGGTTCTTGCTCATGAAATCCTTGCCTAAGCCAATGTCTAGAAGGGGTTTTCCAATGTTATCTTCTAGAATTTTTATAGTTTCAGGTCTTATATATAAGTCATTAATCCCTCTTGAGTTGATTTTTGTAAAAGGTGAGAGATGAGGATCCTGTTTCATTCTCCTACATGTGGCTAGCCAGTTATCGCAGCACCATTTGTTGAAAAGGGTGTCCTTTCCCCACTTTATGTTTTTGTTTGCTTTGTCAAAGATCAGTTGGCTGTAAGTATTTGGGCTTATTGCTGGGTACTCTATTCTGTTCCATTGGTCTATGTGCCTACTTTTGTACCAGTACCATGCTGTTTTGGTGACTATGGCCTTAAAGTATAGTTTGAAATCAGGTAGTGTGATGCCTCCAGATTTGTTCTTTTTGCTTAGTCTTACTTTGGCTATGCAGGCTCTTTTTTGGTTCCATATGAATTTTAGAATTGTTTTTTCTAATTCTGTGAAGAATGACGATGGTATTTTGATGGGAATTGTGTTGAATTTGTAGATTGCTTTTGGCAGTATGGTCATTTTCTCAATATTGAGTCTACCTATCCATGAGCATGGGACGTGTTTCCATTTGTTTGTGTCATCTATGATTTATTTCACCAGGGTTTTGTAGTTTTCTTTGTAGAGGTCTTTCTCCTCCTCAGTTAGGTATATTCCTAGGTATTTTATTTTTTTGCAGCTATTGTAAAAGGGGTTGAGTTCTTGATTTGATTATCCGCTTGGTCACTCTTGGTATATAGAAGAGTTACCAATTTGTGTACATTAATCTTGTATCCAGAAACTGGTGAATTCTTTTAGCAGTTCTAGGAGCTTTCTGGAGGAGTCTTCAGGGTTTTCAAGGTAAACAATCATATTGTTAGCCAACATTGACAGTTTGACTTCCTCATCACCGATTTGGATGCCTTTTATTTCTTTCTCTTGTCTGATTGCCCTGGCTAGGACTTCCAGTACTATGTTGAAGAAGAGTAGTGAGAGTGGGCATCCTTGTCTTGTTCCAGTTCTCAGAGGGAATGCTTTCAACTTTTCCCATTCAGTATTATGTTGGCTGTGGGTTTGTCATAGATGGCTTTTATTACATTGAGGTATGTCTCTTGTTGCTGATTTTGCCAAGAGTTTTAATCTTAAAGGATGCTGGATTTGTCAAATGCTTTTTCTGCATCTATTGAAATGATCACATGATTTTTGTTTTTAATTCTGTTTATGTGGTGTATCACATTTATCAACTTGCATATGTTAAATCGTTTCTGCATTCCTGGTATGAAACCCACTTGATCATGGTGGATTATCTTTTTGATATGTTGTTGGATTTGGTTAGCTAGTATTTTGTTAAGGATTTTAGCATCTTTGTTCAGCAAGGATATCGGTCTATAGTTTTTCTTTTTTGGTTATGTCCTTCCCTGGTTTTGGTATTAGGGTGATGCTGGCTTCATAGAATGCATCAGGGAGGGTCCCTTCTTTCTCTATCTTGTGGAATAGTGTCAAAAGAATTGGTACCAATTCTTTGTCTGGTAGAATTCTGCTGTGAATCCGTCTGGTCCTGGACTTTTTTTTGTTGGTAATTTTTAAATTACCATTTCAATCTCCCTGCTTGTTATTGGTCTGTTCAGGGTATCTAATTCTTCCTGATTTAAGCTGAGGGTTGTATTTTTCCAGGAATTTATCCATCTCTTCTATGTTTTCTAGTATGTGAGTAAAGATGTTCATAGTAGCCTTGAATGATCATTTGTATTTCTGTGGTGTCAGTTGTAATATCTCCCATTTCATTTCTTAATGAGGTTATTTGGATTTTCTCTCTTCTTTTCTTGGTTAATCTTACTAATGGTCTGTCAATTTTATTTATCTTTTCAAAGAACCAGCTTTTTGTTTCATTTATCTTTTGTATTTGTTTGTTTGTTTGTTTCAGCTTCATTTAGTTCTGCTCTGATCTTGGTTATTTCCTTTATTCTGCTGGGTTTGGCTTTGGTTTGTTCTTGTTTCTCTAGTTCCTTGAGGTGTGACCTGAGAATGTCAGTTTGTGCTCTTTCAGTCTTTTTGATGTAGGCGTGTAGGGCTATGAAGTTTCCTCTTAGCACCTCCTTTGCTATATCCCAGAGATTTTGATAGGTTGTGTCGTTATTGTCATTCAGCTTGAAGAATTTTTTAATTTCCATCTTGATTTCATTTTTGACCCAATGATCATTCAGGAATAGGTTACTTAATTTCCATGTGTTTGCATGGTTTTGAAGGTTCCTTTTGGAGTTGATTTCCAGTTTGATTCCAGGGTGGTCTGACAGAGTGCTTAATATAATTTCATTTTTCTGGCCGGGCATGGTGGCTCACGCCTGTAATCCCAGCACTTTGGGAGTCCGAGGCAGGCAGATCACGAGGTCAGGAGATCGAGACCATCCTGGCTAACACGGTGAAACCCCGCCTCTACTAAAAATCCAAAAATACAAAAAATTAGCCAGGCGTGGTGGCGGGCGCCTGTAGTCCCAGCTACTTGGGAGGCTGAGGCAGGAGAATGGCGTGAACCTGGGAGGCGGAGCTTGCAGTGAGCCAAGGTTGCGCCATTGCATTCCAGCCTGGGCAACAGAGTGAGACTCCGTCTCAAAAAAAAAAAAAAAAAAAAAAATATATATATATATATATATATATAATTTCATTTTTCTTAAATTTATTGAGGCTTGTTTTGTGGCCTATCATATGGTCTATCTTGGAGAAAGTCCCATGTGCTGTTGAATAGAATGTGTATTCTACAGTTCTTGGATGAAATGTTCTGTATATATCTGTTAAGTCCATTTGTTCTAAGGTATAGTTTAAATCCATTGTTTCTTTGTTGACTTTTCTGTCTTGATGACCTGTCTAGCGCTGTCAGTGGAGTATTAAAGTTCCCCACTCTTATTGTGTTGCCATCTATCTCATTTCTTAGATCTATTAGTACCTGTTGTATAGATTTGGGAGCTCCGGTGTTAGGTGCATATATGGTTAGGATTGTGATGTTTTCCAGGACAAGGCTTTTTAGCATTATATAATACCCCTCCTCCATGTCTCTTTTAACTGCTGTTGCTTTAAAGTTTGTTTTGTCTGATATAAGAACAGCTACTTCTGCTTTTGTTTTATCACATTAGCAGAGCTGATTTTCTGGTTCCTTCTCATTTGGTAGGCTCTGTCAGAGGGAAGGTCTAGAGCTGAAGGCTGTTCAGATTCTTTTGTCCCACAGGGTGTTCCCTTGATGTAGTATTCTCCCCCTTTCCTGTGAGCTGAGCTGCAGTGATTGCTATCTCTCTTCTGGGTCTAGCCATCCAGCAAGTCTGCCCGGCTCTGGGCTGGTACTGGGGGTTGTCTGCACAAAGTCCTGTGATGTGAAGCATCTATGGGTCTCTCAGCGATGGATGCCAGCACCTGTTCCAGTGGAGGTGGCAGGGGGGTGAAATGGACTCTGTGAGCGTTCTTAGCTTTGGTGGTTTAATGTTCTGTTTTTGTGCCGGTTGGCCTCCTGACGGGAGGTAGCGCTTTCGAGAGAGCATCAGCTGTGCTAGTATGGAGAGGGACCAGCAGTGGGTGGGACCCTAGAACTCCCAAGAGTATATGCCCTTTGTCCTCAGCTACCAGAGGAGGTAGGGAAGGACCATCAATGGGGGGCAGGGCTAGGCGTGTCTGAGCTCAGACTCTCCGTTGGGTCTTGCTGTGCTGCGGCTGCTGTAGGGAATGGGGGTGAGGTTCCCAGGTCAATGGAGTTGTGTTCCTGGGAGGATTATGGCTGCCTCTGCTGAGTCATGCAGGCTGTCAGGGAAGTGGGGCAATTCGGTAGTCACAGGCCTCACCCAGCTCCCACACAATCTGAAGGGCCAGTCTCACTTCCACCGTGTGCCTGCTAACGGCACCAAGTTTGTTTCCTGGCAGTGGGCAAGCAAAGCTGAGAACTTACCCCAGGCTATCCACCTCCCAGATGCAAAAGAAAAGGGCTTTAGTTCCTCCCCATCCTGTGGAGGCTACACGTCAGATTCGCGCCTTCCCCTGAGTTCTGGCCAGGAGGCTCTTGCCCAGTTCAAATTGTTAAAAAGTTCAGCTTGAGACTTCCTTTTCCTTTGCCTCTGACTGCCCCCCGATCCCTGTGGTGACAGGCAAGAATGGCCTGCTTGGGGACCCAGTGAGCTCCCAGGGCCTTTCCCGCTGCCTCCTCTACCCCTGTATTTCGCTCAGCTCTCTAAATTGACTCTGCTCCAGGTAAGGTCAGAAACTTCTCCCACAAACTAGACCTTCAGTTTCCCCAGTGAGAGTGTGTGTTTGGGGGCAGAGGATTTCCCTTTCCTGCTTCTGCAGTTTGGGCACTCCCAGTATTTGGGGCATCTACCAGGTCCTGCAGGAGCAGTCTGCTTCTTTCAGAGGGTCTATAGATTCCTGGTTTATTCCTGCAGTCATTCTGGATCTAAAATTCATGATGCGAGCCTCCGCACGCTGCTCTGTTCTTCCAAGTTGGAGCTACAGTCTAGTCCTGCCTCATGTCCACCATTATCTTTTAAAATATTGCTTCTATCCCATCCTGTATATTCTTCCTTTCTGGAACTCAGCTACAGCTGGTCACTGACTTATGATAGTTCAACTTACGATTTTTCAACTTTATAATAGGCACTTACAGTATTTTTGATTTAGGATGGGTTTGTTGGGACATAACTCCATGGCAAGTTGAGGAGCTTCTGTGCACATGTGTCAAAAAGCCCCTTTCCCATGCTTATGTGTATGGTCTTGTGCTTTTAGCTCTCATTCCACACCTCCACCTCCCACTGTGTGTCTGTGTGTCTGCATGTCTGTAAGTCTGCTTCAAACAATATTTTCTTCTGAACTTATCTTTCACTTTATTTATTCTCTTTTCTTGATTGCCCAGTCAGCTCTTAACCATATGCACCGAGTTCTTATTTTTAGTTCATCTATTTTTCAGTTCTAGACTGGACTTATTTTTATGTTTCTCAATTCAATTCCCTGCCAAAATTCTTTTTTTTTCTTCTTTGAGATGGAGTCTCAGTCTCCAGGCTGGAGTGCAGTGCCACAATCTCAGCTCACTGCAACCTCCGTCTCCCGGGTTCAAGCGATTCTCCTGCCTCAGCCTCCCAAGTAGCTGGGACTACAGGCATGTGCCACCATGCGCAGCTAATTTTTGTATTTTTAGTAGAGACGGGGTTTCACCATGTTGGCCAGGATGGTCTCGATCTCCTGACCTCATGATCCGCCTGCCTCAGCCTCCCAAGGTGCTGGGATTACAGGCATGAGCCACTGCACCCAGCCCAAAATTCTTTAACATCTACCATATTAAATATAATTATTTTAGACTACAGTCATGCATCACTTAATGATGAGATACATTCTAAGAAATGCATTGTTAGGCAACTTCCCCATTGTGCAAACATCACAGAGTTCATTTACACAAACCTAGATGGTGCAGCCTACTACACACCTAGGCTATATGGTATAGCCTACTGTTCCTAGGCTACAAACCTGTACAGCATGTTACTGCACTCAGTACCGTAGGTAATTGTAACACAATACTAAGTATTTGTGCATGTAATCCTATATAAATATAGAAAAGGTAATACATTGCACTAGAACATTATGTCACCTTCAACATCACTAGGCAATAGGAATTTTTCAGCTCCATTTTAATCTTAAGGGACCACTGGTAATTTTAATTGGGTCTTGGATATTATATATTAAGATTTTGAGATATAATTTTAGGCTATGGGTGATTTTATTTTTTTTCCTGAGAAAGTGAAGTTTGCTTATTTTAGGCAACTGGGGTGAGGACATTAGTAATCCAAGGCCACTTTAAGCCAATCAGGTATTTAAGTAATTTGAAGCTGGCCTTGATTCCCTACTATGGCTAGTTTGTTTTTAGTTTACTCTCACTCTTGGGGTATAGCCCTTCAAGTTCCCAGCCAAAAGCCTGGGGTGTTGGCCAAGGTTTGTTCTTCATTGAGGGCCCTGAGTACTAGTTTCTATCTGCCCAGATCCATAAGACTTGTTAAAAGCTCTCTTCAGCTCCTCAGCCTCTCAGCCACTGCTTTTGTCACTGGCAATATTCCCAATGGGGAAAGTAACTCCAAATGCTAGTTTATCTCTCTTGTCTCTAATCCTCTCCTAGTTCTCAGCTTAACATTCCTCACTGCCTTTATACTCTCTGATGTCATCAAACAGATCTCTTTCTTATATTTTGCCATGTTTCCTAGTTATTCCAGTGTCAGTATTGTTGTAAAACAACCTACTCCACCATTTCCAGAAGCGAAACTCCCCAGGGCAGTTTGAATTTGTTTACTGTGCTATCACTGATAAACACTTACTTCATTGCTGGAATAAGCGGACAGTAGTAGTTTTGTGTATGAAAATTTTTATGAAAGAATTCTAAACTGATTTATATGATATATAATGTCAGCATTATATAACTAATCTTGAAATAAAATGTTATTACTTAACTCACACATGAAAAAAAGTGTTTGTAAATATTACCCATTTAATGCCTAGAGGGTATCTGGTTTTGCCAATTGAATAAAGGGCTGCTGACTTCCAAAACAGAAGTCGTGCGTTAGACAGTTAATGTGACAGATGTTGACATCAGCTTTGTAGTGTTACAGTTTACACAGATGAATTTGGTGCAGGATGTGTAATTCCATTACTGTCTGACTTAGTACATATTTGCAGTATAGGGATTTTTTTCAACGTCATGAACACAGATGATCTGCTATTGTTTACATTTTACTAGTCATACTAAAAAATCCAGTTAACTTTGTTATTCATCCATTTCTGACTAATTTATTTTAAACAACTCCAAAAGCCACCAATACTAAGAAGTGACTCCCATGTTGGGAATGTAACATTTTTCAAGCTACTAACTCTGTGCACGGTCACGTGTGTGTTCATAACGGAGGCCTCTGAAACCTACCTCAGTTCTGCACCACTTCGTCTCTCCCTCCCCTGAGGCTAAAGCATACCTGCCAGAGCTTTGCACATGAAGATGGTAAAATAGTTAAACAAAGTTTCACAACAACCCTGCATATCTAGCAAGAGTTGTTTATGTGAAATATAGGTTATTCTGCATTTACACTGAGCTAAAAATTGCAAGCAAAGAGCAACTATGATGGGGATGTGAGGCCACATGCAGATCACTGGATCCAAACCAGAGACATTGGTTGAAGGTCATCTAGCTGTTTAATTTTGGTTGTGGTAAATTAGGTTTGTTTTTAATAATGTTCTTCTAAAATGGAAACTGGACTCCAAGAGTATACAGAAAGGCCTGTTGATGTTGGCATTTGTGGTTTCCCCACAGGCTCCAGCAGAAATGGTTCACTGGTTAGAATGGGAGCTCTGTCCTTTGTCACTCCCTGTCCACGGGCACAGTGGCACAGTCTCCCCGGTGGCTGGAGAGAGGGCGTGGAAAGAGCAGAGTCTGCTCAGGAGTAGAGAGGCCAGCTTTTGCATGCAGCACTGTAGCGATGTCACAGGAATGCAGTCACTGGAGTTGCTTACGTAACCAACAGTCTGTGTGGCCTGAGGCATAGATTAAGCCATTTAAGAAAATGAGTCTGAAAAAATAACTGATTGTTCTCTGCTTTAATCGATTTGTTCCATGATTGCAGGCTACATTGGAAAGTGAGCACGGAGGCGCCCCCTAATGGCTTTGCCCAATAGGAAGCCCCTCACAGCCAGGGAAGTTTCCATGCTGTTAGTTGGAGCCACTCCTTGCCCTACCCAGTTAGGATGCAGGCCCAGAGGCCACCAAGGAGAATCAGCCGTCCACCCACCCCAGAGGGCCCAGGGTGATGTTTCAGAGGAGAGAACTCAGGTGCCAAATGCCTGTGGTCCCATGTGACCAGATGCGTGGCCACTGTCCCCAGCACACCCCTGTGTGTCCAGAGTGGCCCCCACATTCCTTTGATGCAGGGTCCTTGATGTCTGTGGCTGCGATAGAGGGAGCCAGAATGATGGAGAGCCTCAGGCTGTGCACACATAACCCAACACACACCTGCCACACACATGCCACATAACATATTTACCACCCATTCCCCCTGCACACCCACACGCACCGATTCTACACAGCACAGAGAGAGTAAGTTCTAACTCCCACCCAAAATGCAAATTATCTCATCAAAAGCAAACTAAAATCAAATACAAAAGCAAAGAAACAAACAGCTGTGGAAGGCCCTACTTTCTCCTGGCCTGGCCATGCGTCCTAGCCACACTGCACCCAGAGCAGAGCCTTTGTTCCGCCCTGTGCCTCCCGGGCTGCTCTGCTCGTCGTGCCTCTTGCTTGTAGAAGCTTCTGGCTCCCTGGTGGCTCAGTTAGACCCGGAGTCTCATGCAGGACCTCCTTTCCAGTCCAATAGCCAGTCTGGACTCCAGGGCACAGAGGTGAGGGGCACAGCTTTGCCACAAGCCCTGAGCACACTTGCCCATCTTGTTGAGCTTCTCACCCCACCCTGCCCTGGAAGTCCTCCCCTGGGCTCCTGAGTGGGAGCCACAGGTTGTCCTCTGACCCACTTCTCTGGCCACATGCATGAGCCAGTTACTAACTTAATGCACTTTATGTAAAGGCACTGCTCTAGCAGCTATTTGCAAGTATTTTTGTGAAGCAGCTGAATATAGTTTTCTTTCTTTTTTTGTTATACTTTAAGCTCTGGGGTACATGTGCAGAATGTGCAGAATGTGCAGTTGTGTTACACAGGTATACACGTGCCATGGTGGTTTGCTGCACCCATCAACCCGTCATCTACATTAGGTATTTCTCCTAATGCTATCCCTCCCTTGGCCCCCCACCCCTCAACAGGCCCCGATGTGTGATGTTCCCCTCTGTGTGTCCATGTGTTCTCATTGTTCAACTCCCACTTATGAGTGAGAAAATGCGGTGTTTGGTTTTCTGTTCTTGTGTTAGTTTGCTGATAATGATGGTTTCCGGCTTCATCCATGTCCCTGCAAAGGACATGAACTCATCCTTTTGTATGGCTGCATAGTATTCCATGATGTATATGTGCCACATTTTCTTTATCCAGTCTATCATTGGTGGACATTTGGGCTGGTTCCAAGTCTTTGCTATTGTGAATAGTGCCACAATAAACATATGTGTCCATGTGTCTTTATAGTAGAATGATTTATAATCCTTTGGGTATATACCCAGTAATGGGATTGCTGGGTCAAATGGTATTTCTAGTTATAGATCCTTGAGGAATCGCCACACTGTCTTCCACAATGGTTGAACTAATTTACACTCCCACCAACAGTGTAAAAGTATTCCTGTTTCTCCACATCCTCTCCAGCATCTGTTGTTTCCTGATTTTTTAATGATCGCCATTCTAACTGGTGTGAGATGGTATCTCATTGTGGTTTTGATTTGCATTTCTCTAATGAGCAGTGATGATGAGCTTTTTTTCATATGTCTGTTGGCCACATAAATGTCTTCTTTTGAGAAGTGTCTGTTCATATAATTTGCCCACTTTTTGGTGGGGTTGTTTGTTTTTTCTTGTAAATTTGTATAAGTTCTTTGTAGATTCTAGATATTAGCCCATTGTTAGATGGAAAGATTACAAAAATGTTCTCCCATTCTGTAGGTTGCCTGTTCACTCTAATGATAGTTTCTTTTGCTGTGCAGAAGCTGTTTAGTTTAATTAGATCCCATTTGTCAATTTTGGCTTTTGTTGCCATTACTTTTGGTGTTTTAGACCTGAAGTCTTTGCCCGTGCCTATGTCCTGAATGGTATTCCCTAGGTTTTCTTCTAGGATTTTTATGGTTTTAGGTCTTACGTTTAAGTCTTTAATTCATCTTGAGTTAATTTTTGTGTAAGGTGTAAGGAAGGGGTCCAGTTTCAGTTTTCTGCATATGGCTAGCCAGTTTTCCCAACACTATTTATTAAATAGGGAATCCTTTCCCCATTGCTTGTTTATGTCTGGTTTGTCAAAGATCAGATGGTTGTAGAAGTGTGGTGTTAACTTCTGAGGTTTCTGTTCTCTTCCATTGGTCTATATATCTGTTTTGGTACCAGTGCCATGCTGTTTTGGTTATTGTAGCCTTGTAGTACAGTTTGAAGTCAGGTAGCGTGATGCCCCCAGCTTTGTTCTTTTTGTTTAGGATTGTCTTGGCTATGTGGGCTCTTTTTTGGTTCCATATGAAGTTTAAAGTAGTTTTTTCCAATTCTGTGAAGAAAGTCAGTGGTAGCTTGATAGGGATAGCATTGAATCTATAAATTACTTTGGGCAGTATGGCCATTTTCATGATATTGTTTCTTCCTATCCATGAGCATGGAATGTTTTTCCATTTATTTGTGTCCTCTCTTATTACCTTGAGCAGTGGTTTGTACTTCTCCTTGAAGAGGTCCTTCACATCCCTTGTAAGTTGTGTTACTAGATATTTTATTCCCTTAGTAGCAATTGTGAATGGGAGTTCACTCATGATTTGGCTATTATTGGTGTATAGGAATGCTTGTGATTTTTGCACATTGATTTTGTATCCCGAGATTTCGCTGAAGTTACTTATCAGCTTAAGGAGATTTAGGGCTGAAATGGTGGGGTTTTCTAAATATACAATCATGTTATCTACAAACAGAGACAATTTGACTTCCTCTTTTCCTATTTGAATACCCTTTATTTCTTTCTCTTGCCTGATTACCCTGGCTAGAACTTCCAATACTATGTTGAATAGGAATGGTGAAGAGGGCATCCTTGTCTTGTGCTGGTTTTCAAAGGGAATGCTTCCAGTTTTTGCCCATTCAGTATGATGTTAGCTCTGGGTTTGTCATAAATAGCTCTTAATATTTTGAGATATGTTCCATTGATACCTAGTTTATTGAGAGTTTTTACCATGAAGGGGTGTTGAATTTTGTCGAAGGCCTTTTCTGCATCCATTGAGATAATCATGTGGTTTTTGTCATTGGTTCTGTTTATGTGATGCATTACATTTCTTGATTTGCGTATGTTGAACCAGCCTTGCATCCCAGGGATGAAGCCCACTTGATCATGGTGGATAAGCTTTTTGATGTGCTGCTGGATTCGGTTTGCCAGTATTTTATTGAGGATTTTTTCATTGATGTTCATCAGAGATATTGCCCTGAAATTTTCTTTTTTTGTTGTGTCTTTGCCAGGTTTTGGTATCAGGATGATGCTGGCCTCATAAAATGAGTTAGAGAGGACTCTCTCTTTTTCTATTGATTGGAATAGTTTCAGAAGGAATGGTACCAGCTCCTCTTTGTACCTTTGGTAGAATTCGGCTGTGAATCTATCTGTTCCTGGACTTTTTTTGGTTGGTAGGCTATTAATTACTGCCTCAATTTCAGAACTTGTTATTGGTCTATTCAGGGATTTGACTTCTTCCTGGCTTAGACTTGGGAGGGTGTATATGTCCAGGAATTTATCCGTTTCTTCTAGATTTTCTACTTTATTTGCATAGGAGTGTTTATAGTATTCTCTGGTAGTTTGTATTTCTGTGGGATCAGTGGTGATATCCCCTTTATCATTTTCCATTGTGTGTATTTGAGTCTTCTCTCTTTTCTTCTTTATTAGTCTGGCTAGCGGTCTATTTTGTTGATCTTTTCAAAAAACTAGCTCCTGGATTCATTGATTTTTTTTAAAGGGTTTTTTGTGTCTCTATCTCCTTCAGTTCTGCTCTGATCTTAGTTTTTTCTTGTCTTCTGCTAGCTTTTGAATTTGTTTGCTCTTACTTCTCTAGTTCTTTTAATTGTGATGTTAGGGTGTCGATTTTAGATCTTTCCTGCTTTCTCTTGTGGGCATTTAGTGCTATAAATTTCCCTCTACACACTGCATTAAATGTGTCCCAGAGATTCTGGTACGTTGCGTCTGTTCTCATTGGTTTCAAAGGACATCTTTATGTCTGCCTTCATTTCATTATTTACCCAGGAGTCATTCAGGAGCAGGTTGTTCAGTTTCCATGTTGTTGTGCAGTTTTGGGTGAGTTTCTTAATCCTGAGTTCTAATTTGATTGCACTGTAGTATGAGAGACTGTTTGTTATGATTTCCATTGTTTTGCATTTGCTGAGGAGTGTTTTACTTCCAATTATGTGGTCAGTTTTAGAAAAAGTGCGATGTGGTGCCGAGAAGAATGTATATTCTGTCGATTTGGGGTGGAGAGTTCTGTATGTGTCTATTAGGTCTGCTTGGTCCGGAGCTGAGTTCAAGTCCTGAATGTCCTTGTTAATTTTCTGTCTCAGTGATCTGTCTAATATTGGCAGTGGGTTGTTAAGGTCTCCCACTGTTATTGTGTGGGAGTCTGAGTCTCTTTGTAGGTCTCTAAGAACTTGCTTTGTGAATCTGAGTGCTCCTGTATTAGGTGCATATATATTTAGGATAGTTAGCTCTTCTTGTTGCCTTGATCACTTTACCACTATGTAATGCCCTTCTTTGTCTCTTTTGATCTTTGTTGGTTTAAAGTCTGTTTTATCAGAGACTAGGATTGCAACCCCTGCTTTTTTTTGCTTTCCATTTGTTGATAAATATTCCTCCATCCCTTTATTTTGAGTCTGTGTGTGTCTTTGCATGTGAGATGGGTCTTCTGAATACAGCACACTGATGGGTCTTGACTCTTTATCCAATTTGCCAGCCTGTGTCTTTTAATTAGGGCATTTAGCCCATTTACATTTAAAGTTCATATTGTTATGTGTGAATTTGATCCTGTCATTATGATGCTAGCTGGTTATTTTGCTCGTTGGTTGCTGCAGTTTCTTCATAGTGTTGATGGTCTTTACAATTTGGTATGTTTTTGCAGTGGCTGGTACCGGCTGTTCCTTTCCATGTTTAGTGCTTCCTTCAGGAGCTCTTGTAAGGCAGGCCTGGTGGTCACAAAATCTCTCAGCATTTGCCTGTCTGTAAAGGATTTTATTTCTCCTTCACTTATGAAGCTTAGTTGGGCTGGATATGAAATTCTGGGTTGTGTTGAGTAGGGTTTCTGCAGAAAGATCCACTGTTAGTCTGATGGGCTTCCCTTTGTGGGTAACCTGGCCTTTCTCTCTGGCTGCCCTTAACAGTTTTTCCTGCATTTCAACCTTGGTGAATCTGACGATTATGTATCTTGGGATTATGTGTCTTGGGGATGCTCTTCTCGAGGAGTATCTTTGTGGTGTTCTCTGTATTTCCTGAATTTGAATGTTGGCCTGCCTTGCTAGGTTGGGGAAGTTCTCCTAGATAATATCCTGAAGAGTGTTTTCCATCTTGGTTCCATTCTCCCCATCACTTTCAGGTATATCAGTCAAATGTAGATTTGGTCTTTTCACATAACCCCATATTTCTTGGAGGCTTTGTTCATTCCTTTTCATTCTTTTTTCTCTAATCCTGTCTTCTTGCTTTATTTCATTAATTTGATCTTCAATCTCTGATATCCTTTCTTCCGCTTGATCGACTCGGCTATTGATATTTGTGTATGCTTCACGAAGTTCTTGTGCTGTGTTTTTCAACTCCATCAGGTCATTTATGTTCTTCTCTAAACCAGTTATTCTAGTTAGCAATTCGTCTAACCTTTTTTCAAGGTTCTTAGCTTCCTTGCATTGGGTTAGAATATGTTCCTTTAGCTCAGAGGGGTTTGTTATTACCCACTTTCTGAAGCCTACCTCTGTCAATTTGCCAAACTCATTCTCTGTCCAGTTTTGTTCCCTTGCTGGCGAGGAGTTGTGATCCTTTGGAGGAGAAGAGGCGTTCTGGTTTTTGGAATTTTCAGCCTTTTTGCGCTGGTTTCTCCCCATCTTCATGGATTTATCTACCTTTGGTCTTTGATGTTGGTGACCTTTGGATGGGATCTCTGAGTGAATGTGCTATTCCTTTCTGTTTGTTAGTTTTCCTTCTGACAGTCAGGCCCCTCTGCTGCAGGCCTGCTGGAGTTTGCTGGAGGTCCACTCCAGACCCTGTTTGCCTGGGTATTACCAGCAGAGGCTGCAGAATAGCAAAGATTGCTGCCTGTTCTTTCCTTTGGAAGCTTCCTCCCAGAGGGGCATCCACCAGATGCCAGCCAGAGCTCTCCTGTATGAGGTGTCTGTTGGCCCCTCCTGGGAGGTGTCTCCCAGTCAGGATACACAGGGGTCAGGGACCCACTTGAAGAGGCAGTCTGACCCTTAGCAGAACTCAAACGCTGTGCTGGGAGGTCCACTGCTCTCTTCAGAGCCGTCAGGCAGGGATATTTAAGTCTGCTGAAGCTGCGCCCACAGCCACCCCTTCCCCCAGGTGCTCTGTCCCAGGGAGATGGGAGTTTTATCTATAAGTCCCTGACTGGGGCTGCTGCCTTTTTTTTTAGAGATGCCCTGCCCAGAGAGGAGGAGTCCAGAGGCAGTCTGGCCACGGCGGCCTTGCTGAGCTGTGATGGGCTCCACCCAGTTCGAACTTCCCTGCGGCTTTGTTTACACTGTGAGGGTAAAACCACCTACTCAAGCCTCAGCAATGGCAGACGCCCCTCCCCCTACCAAGCTCAAGTGCCCCAGGTCGACCTCAGACTGCTGTGCTAGCAGCGAGAATTTCAAGCCAGTGCATCTTAGTTTGCTGGGCTCCATGGGGGTGGGACCCACTGAGCCAGACCACTTGGCTTCCTGACTTCAGCCCCATCTCCAGGAGAGTGAACTGTTCTGTCTCTCTGGTGTTCCAGGCACCACTGGGGTATGGAAAAAAAAACCTCCTGCAACTAGTTTGGTGTCTGCCTGAACGGCTGCCCAGTTTTGTGCTTGAAACCCAGGGCCCTGGTGACATAGGCACTGGAAGGAATCTCCTGGTCTGCAGGTTGCAAAGACCATGGGAAAAGTGCAGTATCTGGGCCGGAGTGTGCATAGTTCCTCAGGCTCAGTCCCTCACGGCTTCCCTTGGGTAGGGGAGAGAATTCCCCGACCCCTTGTACTTCCTGGGTGAGGCGACGCCCTGCCCTGCTTCGGCTCGCCCTCTGTGGGCTGCACCCACTGTCCAACCAGTCCCAATGAGATGAACCTGTACCTCAGTTGGAAATGCAGAAATCACCTGCCTTCTGCGTCGATCTCACTGGGAACTGCACACTGGAGTTGTTCTTATTCAACCATCTTGCCATCAATCTGAATATAGTTTTCAACTGAAATCTTAGGGCGTGCCCACATGTCAAATAGGTGGAACTTCGCTGGCTGACTGCGAGCGGAGAGCCAGAGCCTCCCCTAACCTAGGGGCAACATCACCACCACAGAACTCCCAGGCTCTCCCGGACCAGGCTCCCTTGGCCATCATATAAACCTCCAGGGCCACTCAGCCCATCTCAGCCCTGGCCACAGGGGACTGGAAACACGCTGCTCTTCCTGTCTGAAAACTCGAAAGTTCCCACTGCTTTTACTCACACCCACAGCCGGTCATCAGAAATCCTGCTGGCTCCCCTCAGAAGCCCAGCAGCCCCTCTATGGGGGTCCACAGCCCAGGCTCTATGCCCCTTGCCTTGCCCACTGCTTCTACTTTTCAGACAGCAGCCAGAGCCAAATATAAAATAGAAGTCATTCAGTTTCTCCAAAAACAAGAAGGGCTGGGCAGGGTGGGGTACTGCTGGAAGCTGATTGGGGTTGTACTGAATCTCTGAGGACCTAGGGGAGGACAGTCCTCCAGAAGAGAGCTGGAGGGCTTGCAGGCCCTGACTTCCAGCTAAAGTGATTGGGTAATATGAGCATACACAGAGACCGTGTATCCCAGAACAGGATGGAGTCCAGAGAGAGGCCTGCACCAAGGGCAAGGGGAAGAAAGGAAAGTCTTTTCAACAAAGGTGCTGAAACAACTGTAAAATGGTATGTTAAAAAAAAAAAAAGGAGGGCCTTGACGCTCTGCCTCCTACCATGCATACGAATTACTTCAAGGCAGGTTAGGCCTAAATGTAAAAACAAAACCTAAAAAGCTTCTAGAAGAAGGCATGGAGGGAAAATCTTCATGAACTTGGAGTTGGCAAACATGTTTTAGAGAGGCCAAAAAAGGGCTATGGAAAGGAAGACAAATGATGAATTGAATTTCACCAAAACAAAAAATTTTGGTTCATCAAAAGACACTTAAAATAAATAGGCTGGGTACAGTGGCTCACACCTATAATCCCAGCACTTTCAGAGGCCAAGGCCGGCAGATTACTTGAGCTTAGGAATTCCAGACCAGCCTGGGCAACATGGCAAAACTCTGTCTCTACAAAAAAAAGAAAAAAAACTAGCCAGGTATGATAGCATGCACCTGTGGTCCCAGCTACTTGGGAGGCTGAGGCAGGAGGATTACTTGAGCCCGGGAAGCAGAGGTTTCAGTGAGCTAAGATCATGCCACTGCACTCCAGCCTGGGTAATAGAGTAAAACCATGTCTTAATAAATAAAATAAAATAAATAGGTAAGCCACAAACTGGGAAATAATATTCATAAAACATGTATCTGATAGAGCACTTGTATCTAGAATGAATAAATTACAACCACAAATTAATTATAAAAATACAAACAATAGAAAAGTGAGCAAAAGACTTAAAAACAGAAAAGAAGAAGATACATGAATTACCAGTAAGCACATGAGGAAATTTTCATATTAGTCATCAGGCAAATAGAAATTAGAACCACAATGAGATATCACTGCACACCCACCAAAACAAAAAAAAATTAAGAATGCTGACAATACGAAGTATTAGAATGATGTGGAAAAATAGAACTTTCCAATGTTACAAAGGCAAAATAATAAAACCACTTTGGGAAACAGTTTGGTGGTTTCTTACAAAATTAAAAATACATTTAAGCCCTTAACCCAGCAATTCTACTCTTGGATATTAACTAAAGAAAAATGAAAACATATGTCCACAAAAAGACTTACTGGAATGTTCGTAGCAGCTTTACTTATAATCACACAAACCTAGAAGTAACGCACATATCCCTCAGCGAGTGAATAGGTGAATTCACTGCAGCGCATCCGCACAGTAGATAGTACTCAATGGTTAAAAGCAGTGAACTACTGATGCATGCTGCAACACAGATGAAACTAGAGACCTTATTCTGAGCACACCAGGAGAGACACGGAAGACACTTACTGCATGATTCCATTTATATGGAGCTCAAGAGCACAGGGGCCATGTAGAAGACAAGATTCTACAGATGTCCCTCAAGATTCCTGTTCCCTGACATTCAGCCAAACACTGCTCTGGTTACCACTGCGAAGGGACTTTGCAGATGGAATTCAGGTCGCTAATCAGGTGACTTTAAAATAGATTATCCTGGATTATCTAGGTGGGCCCAAGGTAATATCAAGGGCTTTTAGAAGCAAAAGAGGAAGACACAGGGCCCTGAGAGAAGAGGAAGAAGAGGTCACCGAGACTTGAAGTATAAAGGGGACTCCATCAGTCATTGCTGGCTTGGGGATGGAGAAAGGGGCCACAAGCCAAGGAACATAGGTGGTGTCTGGACACTGACAGTGACCTCCAGCTGACAGCCTGCAAGGAAACAGGGACTCAGTGCTACAGCCAGCCACCTGGAACAGGGTCCTGGCACACCTGAAGGAGGCTGGAAGCCAATTCTCTTTCAAGCCTCCAGGAGGGACCACGGCTCTGCTGACACCTCTTCAGCCTTGTAAGACTCAGAGCAGAGAAGCCAGCTGAGCCTACTGGACATCCAGCCTACAAAACTGTGAGATAGTAAATTTGCACTGTTTTAAGCTACTATGTGTGTGATACTTTGTAGGAAATGATGCCAGAGGGATTGGCTGGGAGGGGCATGGGGCCATCTGATGTGATGAACTTGATGTAGCCGTGATCTACTTGATCATGCTAGTGGTTACAGTGATGTGCACACTTGAAGAAGTTCACCCAGCTGGGCACAGCTCTGGGCATTCATTCTACCATGTACAAATTATCCAGACATAAAAGAGAATAAAACCCTGTCATTTGCAGCAACGTGTGTGGAACTGGAGGTAATTGTGTAAGTGAAACAAGCCAAGCACAGAAAGATACATTTTAAAACTTTTAATTAAATGAAAGACTGTGAGAACATTTCTGCAGCTAAGAATCTGCCAATGGTCTGGTCTCTTCCAAGGTAAAATCTTGCGTCCTTACCATGGCCCCATGCTGCACACTCCAGGCACAGGCTTCCCTGTCCAACTCATCGATAGACTCTACAGCCACACAGGCCCAGGGCACAGTTTGACCGTGATGTTCTAATGACCAAGAATGCTGCCCTCCAAATAGCCACATCACTCCCTTCCTCATTTCTTCAGATGTCTGTCCTGAAGTCATCTTATTAGGGAACTGTTTGGTGCCTGAGTATTAAAACAGCACACAGTAGGTGCCCCCTGAATCTCTGATGAATGCTTGAACATGGTTCCTGGGTGGACACAGTCCCCCTGATGCATGCAGGTCACTGAGGGATGCAGTCTCCTGGGAAGACAAGTGCTCCTGGGTGGACAGGGCCTCCCAGCCCTCAGGCTCACACAGCACAGTGGGTTCTGCACCTGCACCCATCCCTGTCACCACCCTCATCTGCTTCTCCTGGGTACCCAGCCTTCTGCACCAGGCAACCTGGGAAGAGCGGGGCAGGCACTGCTCACCCAAATTCTGATCCCTCCATGAGTGGGGGCTCATTATTTTGTAGACATAGAGATCCAGCAGGATTTCATTGAATCTGAACAAGCAGGAAATTTCCTAGGACAAGCAGCCTTTTTCTGTCATTTGTGTAGGCTGGTTGGCCACCCACGCCAGCTCTCTAACTGTGCTCTGGGCTTGATGACCTGGCCAGGGTGTGAGGCCTGGACCCTGGTGGCTTGCAGCAGACTCCACTGCTAACCCTGGCATACACAGACACTGTGGGAAGGAAGCGAGTGGACTTCCTGGTAAAATAAGATGGAAAGAGCTAGAAGGCTTTCTTTAGAAGTGACAAATTAAGCTCCTCCTGGAAGCCAGATTGGAAAACACTCAAGAGACATGAAGTGATTTATTTCTCATGTCTTTGGGATTTAGTTTTATTTCAGTTTTAAAAAGGTGCCTCGGGAATTTTTAACTGAAACGATTTAACTGAAAGGAATGGATTTCTTTCTTAAGTACCGTGCAGATCTCAGAACCAGGGTGCAGAGTGCCTGGTAAATCCCACATGAGAAGGCTGCTGTCACTCTCAGCAAGCATACTTTAATTTTTAGGACTGAATTCATTTTGACAGTTGGCTTCACTGTCTTTGATATTTTTATGAAAATCAGTATTTCAATTCCTTTTTAAGAACCATTTTAAGGTTAAAGGCCAGGAGACCTTACTTTGGTGAATGAAGTTAACGGTGTTGCTGATTTCAGTAAGTAGCTTTTTAGGCTGTCTAGAAAGATGATTGGGCTCAGTGAGAAGATTGACTTGCAAGTTAACTCTGGCTTTCTGCAGCATGACGTTTTATTCCAACAGGTTCCCACCTGCACTGAGGCAATAGTAGAAACACTGTTGCTTACACATCGGGGGAATGGCAGAGAGTGGGGCTGAGTAGAAATGAATATAGCCACTGAATTCATTTATTTCTCTTTAAAATCAACTTATATGTTTTTTAAAAATTCATCTGACACTTTGAAATGAAATTATATATTTTCTAAAAGTCCCCCCCGCTGGACTATCATTTTGGTCCTCTCTGGTCCCGCCCTACAGCCCAGCCCCGCTGACCTCCTGTTGTATACATGAGCCAGAGGTGGCCTCCATGTCCTGGCCCCTAGGCTGGTGGACCCATTCACTGCAGACCCATTTGCTGAAAGTCTGCCCGCCCCAAATTCAAGTTTTTACATATCCAGTTGTTTTAAACATAGGCCAATTATAAGCAGAGTTTTCGCCACGGAGAGCCTGCCAGCTTTGCATCCAGCATGAAACCTCCCCAGCATCCACTGCCCACTGGTAAGATAGAGCCTTGTGTCTATAAAGCCCCGAGATGCTGCTGCCCTCAGAGCTCTGACCCCGAGACCCCACTTCTGAGTGACATCACCTGGGCACGTGTCTCAGTCTAGGCTCTCTGGTGAAACAGAACCAATAGGAGATGTAGGTCCTGTGTGCAGTCATGTGCCACATAATGACTTTGAAGTCAATGATCGACTGCATATTCCATGGTGGTCCCATAAGGTTACAGTGGAGCTGAAAAATTCCTATCACCGAATGACATTGTAGCTGTCATGTATTTGCAGGGATGCTGCAAATAAATCTACTGTGCTGCCATTTGTATAAAAGTCTAGCACATACAACTATGTACAGTACATAATACTTGATAACAAATGACTATGTAATGGGTTTATGTATTTACTATGCTATACTTTTTATCATCATTTTAGAGTGCATGCCTTCTATATATATATATATACATATATATATACACGTGTATATATACATATATATATATATATATATATATATATATTTTTTTTTTTTTTTTTTTTTTTTTTTGAGACAGAGCCTTGCTCTGTCACCCAGGCTGGAGCGCAGGGGCACGATCTCGGCTCACTGCAAGCGCCGCCTCCTGGGTTCACGCCATTCTCCTGCCTCAGCCTTGCAAGTAGCTGGGACTACAGGCGCTCATCACCAAGCATGGCTAATTTTTTGTATTTTTAGTAGAGATGGGGTTTCACCATGTTAGCCAGGATGTTCTCGATCTCCTGACCTCGTGATCTGCCCGCCTCAGCCTCCCAAAATGCTGGGATTACAGGCGTGAGCCACCGCGCGGCCCTACTTATATATTTTTTTAAAGTTAATGTAAAATGGCCTCAGGCAGGTCCTTCAGGAAGTGTTCCAGAAGAAGACATTGTTATAAGAGATGGCAGCTCCATGCATGTCACTGCCCCTGAAGACCTACCAGTGGGACAGGATGTGGAGGTGGAGACACTGATACGGATGATCCTGACCCTGTGTGGGCCTAGGCTAAGAAAAAATGTTTAATTTTTTTTTTAAAAAAAGATTATAGAATAAGGATATAAAGAAAGAAAATATTTTTGTGCTGTTGTACATATGTTTGTATTTTAGTCTAAGTGTTAGTAACACTTTGTAATACAGGAGTCAAAAAGTTTTAAAAATTTATAAAATAAAGTAAGCTAAGTTTAATGTATTGTTGAGAAAGAAAAAATTAAATTAGTATAGCCTACTTGTACAGTGTTTCTGAAGTCTACAGTAGTGTACAGTAATGTCCTGGCCTTCACATTCACTCACCTCTCACTCACTGACTCATCCAGGGTAACTCCCAGTCCTGTAAGCTCCATTCATGGTAAGTGCCCTGTGCAGGTGTACCATTTTTTATTTTTTATACCATATTTTTACTGTACTTTTTTATTTTTAGACATGTTTAGATGCACAAATACTTACCATTATGTTACAGTTGCCTACAGTATTCAGTACAGTTATATGCTGTGCAGGTTTGTAGCCTAGGAGCAGTAGGCTGTACACAGAGCCTAGGTGTGTAGTAGTCTATGCCATCTAGGTTTGTGTAAGTGCCTTGGTGATGTTCGTTCGCACAATGATGAAATCGCCTAGTGATGCATTTCTCAGTAGGTATTTCCATTGTTAAGTGGCACATGAATGTGCAGTATGCACACATATCCATACATGTTTGTGTGTGAGTGTGCATGTACATGTATATTATAGAGAGAGTGGGGGAGAGAGACAGACCTATTATAAGGAATTGACCCATGAGGTTATGGAAGCTGAGAAGTCTCACGACCTGCAGTCAGCATGCTGGAGAACTGGGAGAGCTGGGGGTGTAAGTTCCAGCTGAGTCCAAGGCCAGCTCGATGACAGTCAGGCAGAGAGAGTGAGTTTCCTCTTATTTAGCCTTTTGTTCTACTCAGCCCTTCCGTGGATTAGATGAGGCCCATCCATGTTGGGGAGGGCAATGTGCGTTGCCCAGTTTACAAATCAAAATTAAATGTTCATCTCATCCAGAAATACCCTCACAGATACACCTCGAGTAATGTCTGAGCAAATGTCTTGTCTAGGTAAGCTCCTGCTCTGAGGATGTGCCCCTTCCCCATGTATCCGCTGCAGACCACTCCAAGCTCTCCCAGTTAAGCTTGTGCATGCCGCTGCCTGCTTGTGGTCTCATCTCTTTTCCTTGTTAAGCCACCAAATCTCTCAAACTCCCAACACCTCTATGCAGATGGTGGTTTTGCAAGCCTCTGAGCCTTTCTATGTTCTATGCCCCATATTGCCCTCCCTCTTCCTCTCCCGGGAAGCTTCCACTCCTCGCTCACAAATAGCAGGATGTGTCAGCCCTTGTGCAGACCCCCTGGCTCCTCTGCAATACCTCTCAGTCATCCCAGTCCATGACAGTTGTTCCCATGTCTGTCTTACCTCTTACTCTGTTAGCCTCTTAAGAAGCACATACGCATCTTTATTCATATCCATGCTATCAGCACCCAAGGATGCCTGCACGTACAGGGAGCCTCGTGGGGGTATGCTCAGTGAATCCATGGCCACAAGCCAGCCAGCCTTCCCTAAGGCACAGCATGGAGCACTTCCTTTTCTGTAGCTATAGGCTGTTCAGTTTAGCTATTTCTTCAGCTGCCATGAAAACGCTTTTACCATATATTTGCATCATTGTTTAGATTAATTGTATTCTGAGTACAGAGAACCCAAGCATCTGGAAATACTTAAGAATTCACTTTGTTTATAAGATATGGAGTGTGTGAAGCCCAAAAGTAGAATTTATCAGGCTGTAAGTACATATTCTTTTATCTATTCATACAACAATAAGATAATTTCGTCTGTGGAATAAGTCAACAATGAATTAATGCCTGCTATGTATGTATGTGTGTGTGTAAGGTATTTCCATCACGTGATGAATGATGATATATGTGTGTTTAATTTATTATTGTATATGTGTATATACACATACACCAAATTACACTATGCACATACTATATACATACACACATATACAATAATAAACACACACATATATAGTCATTCATCACTGAATGACAGAAATACCTTATGAGACATGTGATTGGTAATTTCATCATTGCACAAATATTAAAGTTCACTTCCATGAAGTAGATGGCATAGCCTACTACATACCTAGGCTCTAGGCTATAACCTATTGATCGTAAGCTACAAAACTATAGGCAATTGTAACACAGTGGTGAGTATTTGTATATCTAAACATAGAAAAGGTATGTGTTGCACTATGAAGTTACAAAAGCTGTGATGTCACTAGGTAATAGGAATTTTTCAGCTCCACTATACTCTTGTGAGAATACCATTGTATGTGGTCTGTCATTGACGGAATTGTCATATAGCACATGATGGTGTGTGTATGTATGTGTGTGTATAATTATAACTTGCTCTTCTTTCACTCAGTTGATATATATATAACCAAATTGAAAGGTTTTTTTCCCAAAATTATTATCCTTTTATCATAAGAATATACTAATTATATTTTACATTACCATGAGATTGATAGTTTCAATACTAATCTTACAGAGTAACACAAAATAGTTATCATTCAGTACTAAAACTGAATGATTTACTTTTCTACATTATTTAGCCAGTTGTTTGAAATAGTTGAGTACACAATTTAGTTTAGCTTTTGGATGTCTGCATATTCATTAAAAATAACCAAAAGGAGCCAGTTAGTTACCCAAACAATCACATCCGCCAGGCATTTAGGTAAACTGAGGCCCTGAGGATATTAGTATAAATTCATTGAAAAAATGCAAACAAAATGAGAAAATACAGGTGGGCATGGTAGCTCACACCTGTAATCCCAGCATTTTGGGAGGCCGAGGTAGGCAGATCCCTTGAGCCCAGGAGTTGGAGACTAGCCTAGGCAACATGGCAAAACCCCGTCTCTACAGAAAAAAAAAAAAAAAAAACAAGCCCAGGACAGTGGACACCTGTAGTCCCAGCTACTCGGGAGGCTAAGGTGGGAGGATTGCTTGAACCTGGGAGGCAGAGGTTGCAGTGAGCCAAGATCATGTCACTACACGCCAGCCTGTGTGACAGAGTAAGACCCTGTCTCAAAAAAAAAAAAAACCCAGAAAAACAAAATGAGAAAATAAAAGTCACTCCTGATCCTACTCTTTAAAGAGAATCCCAAGGCTATTTTGATATCTCTTCTTTCAGTTCTCCATACACATATCCATATACACACGTGTGTGTAGATGTAATATGCGTGTATGTATATGTATACATACACAGGATTTGTAGCATACATCTTTTTCAAATGTTTGAGGTAGAAGCAACTAGCTGTTTCCAAAACCCATCTTTCCTTCTGCCTAAGCAGGCTACGAGGCCTCATGTCCCAGTCTCCCTTGCACTTCAATGTGGCCATGTCACCCACCCCACAGTGGAACAACAGAAAGTGTGCCATGTGCCCTTCTAGGCTGGCCCATCATAGGCTGCCTGAGGAGGTGAAGTTTGAGGAGAGTCTGCAGTGAAGCCAAGAGGAAGAGGCCCTCCTCCCCTCTGAGTAGCAATCCCTGCCCTCCAGGCTGCCATAGTCCCTGGAAAAGCAGTCTCGGCTGTGAGGGACTTCCCCTGTCCCTGCTGGTTGAGTGGGCTGCTGCCGCCCAGGCAGCCTTGGAAGCCACGTGTGGAAGATGGTACCTGGATCCCTGGATGAGTGTGTGGAGCGGAACCATCAGAGGCCTGGACTCCACCCTGGACTGCTGTGTGCAGAAAGGAATAGGCCTTTTGTGTTTAAGCTCCTGATGGGAGGCAGGAGGCTCTACTGATTGCCACAGTTTAACCTACCCTGATTCATTATTTCTGTTAAATATTGAGGTGGTACAAAATTAATTTATCAGAATTCATTATGAAAATACCCAGCTTAGAAAGGGTGAGGGGCATGGAATTTGTCATTAACTTTGAAATCCCTTTGTGTTTCTTGCTAACCCATCATGTTGCCTCCCCCTGGGAAACGACCACTCACCTGAAGTTTGTGTTTACCTTTCCCTTGCTTTCCCTTAGCGTGTTGCCATGCATGTCTGCACCTGTAGTCAATATGTTGCTTAGTATTGCAAGCTTTGGCCTTCAAATAAATGGAGCCAGACTGCATGAATATTTAGGAACTTTCTCCTTTCCTACAACAAGATATTCCTGAGACTCCTCTGTATTGTTGTATGGAATTAAATTGCTTTTTCATTGCCACATAGCATTCCATTGTTTGAATAAACCAAATGTATTTGTTCATTCTACTTTTGATGAACATTTGACTTGTTTCTCTTTTGTGCTGTTATGAACAGGGCTGCTGTATGCATCTTTAGTGGCTCTATGTGCATATGGCAGATGTACGGGCATTTCTGTAGGGATTATACCAACAAGTGGGATTGCTGGATGCCAGGACACAGGGTATTTTAGATAAAAAGGTCAGGGAGAGCCTTTCTGATGAGGTGATAGCTCAGGAGAGACCACAATGAAGTGAGGGAGAAAGAGTGCAGATATTTTGAGAATGCATAATCCAAGCAGAAGGAACAGTGAGCGTTAGGGCCCTATGGCAGAAAGCCCTGGCCCAGGTCAGAGTGGCTGGAGCCCAAAGAGGGACAGCAGGCGAAGTCACTTGGTGCCCGGGGCCAGATTGCCAAGGGCCTGGAGGCCATGGGGAAGACTCCGAAGTTATTTGGAAAGTGATTGAAAGTCCCTGGGGTTTCAAAGGAGAGGAACATGATAAGATTTACATTTTCTTTTTTTTTTTTTTTGAAATGGAGTCTCAGTCTGTTTCCCAGGCTGGAGTGCAGTGGCACAATCTCAGCTCACTGCAACCTCTCCCCCTGGGTTCAAGCAATTCTCCTGCCTCAGCCTCCCGAGTAGCTGGGATTACAGACGCCTGCCACCACACCTGGCTAATTTTTGTATTTTTTTTTTAGTAGAGACGGGGTTTCACCATCTTGGCCAGGCTGGTCTTGAACTCCTGACCTCGTGATCCACCTGCCTCAGCCTCCCAGAGTGCTGGGATTACAGGCGTGAGCCACCGCGCCCGGCCAAGATTTACATTTTCAAAGGGCCACTCTGGCTGTCCTGTGGAGAACAGGTGACAGGGCACACTGGGGTGGAAGTAAGGAGAGGAACCAGAAGCCTCTGGCAATAATCCAAGCAAGAGATGCAGCCAACCTAGGGTGGCAATGGTAGAGATTTTGATTATGATTAGATCAAGAATGCATATTTTAAGGTGAAGCTGCAAGGACTTGCTGATGTCGGGTGTGAGGGTAAGAACAGAGTCAAGCATGATGCATGGATCTTTGGCTTAGGCTGTGTTAGGCTTGGGATGCTCTTAGATAGCCGAGCAGAGGTGTTGAGTCAGGAGCTGGATGTGTGAGTCAAGAGTTAGCCTGAGGACAAAACTCCAGGAGTCATCAGTATTTAGATGGCACTCACAGCGAGCAGCCCTGGCGGGCAATGTGGGTGGAGAAGAGCAGTGGTCCTGGGGCTGGAGCCCTTCAGCAAGCAGAGGCCAGGAGGAGGAGGAGGACCCAGCAGGGGAGACCCAGCTGAGCAGTAGTGGAGAGGGGGCAAGCCAAGGGAATGTGGCATCCCAGATGCCAAGAAGAACATGGCTAAGGGAGTGGCTAGCTCTCAGTGTTCCTGGGGTTGGCAAAGTGCAGGCCATCAGTGCTAGGGACATGGGTGGTGTAAGGGGAGTGGTGGGAGTCGGGGAATGAGAGGAAAATGAGGAGAGTGGGCCAATCGTGTTGTTTTTAACTTTCAGACTCTTCAGACTTACACTGCCCCTTAGAGATGAATCTCAACCATCTCTCCTTAACATTGCCAAAACTGGGACTCAAAGAGGAGGCAGAAGTTGCCCAAAGTCACAAGGCAAGCTCACAGCAGGGCTGTGGCCAAAATCTGGCCCCTGACACTCCCCGCTCTTCTGACTCCCACCCCTGAGTGAATGCCTGTGGTACCCACAGCCCTGGGGGGCTGCTGTGCAGAAAACCCTACCCTCAGTCCTTCTAGGACTTGCTATCTAACACACCATAGCCATGTTGTAAATTGATAGGTATGTGAGCTATTCACACTGTATGTATGGAATTTAGACTTTCATTTAAATTCAGGGTAAATTCATTTAAAGAAATTGACTATAAAAGCTGAGGCTAAGCCTCCCACCCACCACATCTGCGCTGTCTGCAGAGTCTTTATGTTCTGCCTGCATTTCCCTTCTTTGGTCATTCTATCCTGGAGGAAAGAAACCAGATAAATGGATTCACTCCTAGAGTAATAGGAAGGGTTAATAGTAATCGTAACTGGCAGGAGCCTTTCTCCATGGGGTGAACCAGCGTAGCCTCACCTTCAGAATTCCTGCTGAGGGACCATCCTGACCCTACCTGCCTTTCTTCTATTTTAATGTATACATTTATATTCACATGCATATGTCATTTTGCATGAATGGTATCATAACATATATATCATTTGTTTCTAGAAAAAGTCTTCTTTGTTGCTTGGCTCATCCCAATCCCTCCTTCCTCTCTCTATTGATGTCATTACAACTCCCGGAAACCCATGTGAGCAAGCTAGTATGTGTTCTTCCATATTTTTCTCCAAGCTCAAATAGTGGTCTGTAGACACCTATGTACATATACATCTTTATGTATACACATATATGTATACACATATGAATACAGCCGGGGCTCTTTCTGGAGCACATAAGAATCTGGAGGTTGCAAGTGAGAAGGATTTTCAGACCACCACTTAGAGGCTTGCACCCCAGCTGGAAGGGTAGAGGAGTGAAGGGCAGGGAAGCCGCAGATAGAAACACATAACTCAAAGGTCAAGCTCTCAACCCTGGGGATGCCGGGTGGGGACGCACTGTGCTGTCACAGCCTACTGCCCCAGAGCACCGAAGCAGCTCACCTGTAGGTATTCTCCTGGGTGCAGCATGACTCACAGGCAGAGCCACTGTCACCATCTGGGCTGCTGAGGATGAGATTCCCCAGAGCTGGGCCAGAAGCTGTCTGTTTCTGCTCGCAGCTAACCTCAGTATTCGAAGACTTCTCCTGCTGCCTTCCACGCCTCGCATGAATGTTTGTCATTTGAGAACCTAGAGCTTGTCTGGAAAGCAGTTCTGGGAAGTGCCATTCCAGGCTGTTCCCAAATTACGCAGAGGAGAATGAAGGGAGGGGAAAGGTTGAGCACAGGCTCTCCAGCACCATCCACCCCTTTTGTCAAATCCTCACCCATCCATATCCTTTGGCCCATATCTAACCAGCAAGCAACAGCAGTAACATCGTGCCCTGCTAATTTTACTCTTCTTCATTCCACTGGAAATGTGCATGCATCTCACCAACAAAGGGAGGCGCAATGTCCTCCAAGTCACCAAACCCATCTTGAGTTTTGTTCATTTGCCATCTAGCTCACTCACAACCCATTTGTGATAAACTATACCTTAAAGACTGAATTAAGAGTTTAATTTCTCCTCATCAATAGGTCTTATGGCATATGACAAGGAAGCAAGAGGGCACATAGGATTTCTATACTCCACTAGATAAATCACCAAACCGGAGAGAAATAGGCAGGCCATCATGATCTTGAACACTGCACCTTGCAGACTCCAGCTGACGTGTCTGTGACCCTTTTCCACTGCATCTATTGGGCACCCCTTGTCTGCAGCAAGCACCCAGACTTTCATATCCAAAGAGCTCAGCATTAGTTGCTGCTGGTGACATGTTCCTATGTACTTTCTTCAGATTTCTACTGGCAACAATCTTGCGATTCTTTGGATGTGTATGGTATATCCTCCCAGGCTGTCTTCGTAGTTAAGAATCTGATTCCAAAACAAGCTGGGTTTTAAGGTGACGTAGGCATCCCCCTGTAACTTGTCTGCTCAGGCAAGGTCATTAGCAGGTCTTCAGACAAGGAGAAGCTTCTCTCAGTCAAGTGAGCAGAGGCTGCTTTGTTGAGCCCAGGGCGGGTCAGTTGATGTTGATGTTGGATTTCAAGGCCCTCTGGTTTGTCAAAAACCACTTAAGTGTTCTCAGGATCCCATCCAGCTCCAAAGCCCCAGTCTTGTGATCACTGCCATACTATGTTCTTAGGAGGTCTAGCAAGGCTTTCAATTAAACTTGTGTAATTCATCAGTGTGCAGTGTCAGAAAGGTCTGGCTCTTTGGATCAATGCCTCCATGGCTATAAGAGCTAAGAGGTTCCTTAAAGGAACTGGGAGCTGTGACTCCACAGCTATACCTGGAGCTGAGAATTAAAGCTTCCCTTGTGTTCCTGTTGCTCTCTAGATAAGTCATGAAGGGTCAGCCCACCCTGCTGTCTTTGTGCTCTTTCTTTTCATCAGAGTTGTCAATCTATACCAGCTGTTGATTTGCCTGCACTGACAGAGACCTCATCTCATCTCTGTGCTCTGTTTTCCTGGAACCATTTCCAGTATGAAATTCTGTATCCATCAACATTTGCTTAAGGAGACAGAAGCTGTTCTAGGTATTCCAAGTAGGAAGGGGAACTAGAGGTTTACACAACCAGTGCAACTGCATGAAATCAGAGAAGCGTTGCTAACTACGGGAGGTTCAGCAGGGTTCCCTGGAGGTCATGGACACCTCATGAGTCCCAGGGAGCATCACACAGTCCATTTTCACACTGCTGATAAAGACATATCTGAGACTGGGTAATTTATAAAGAAAAAGAAGTTTAATGGACTCACAGTTCCACATGGCTGGGGAGGCCTCACAATCATGGTGGAAGGCAAAAGTCATGTCTTACATGGTGGCAGGCAAGAGAGAGAATGAGAACCAAGCAGAAGGGGCTTCCCCTGATAAAACCACCAAATCTCATGAGACTTATTCACTACCATGAGAACAGTATGGGGGAAACCACCCCCATGATTCAATTGTCTCCCACTGGCTCCTTCCTACAACGTACGGGAATTATGGGAGCTACAATTCAAGATGAGATTTGGGTGGGGACACAGCCAAACCATATCAGCATCTCTGCCACTACCCTTCTCAGTGGCCTGGATTTACAAAGCAGGTGCTTCACAGGAGCTTCCCTGGCAGCTGCAGCAAATCTCATGTCTGCCTCTGCCATGCATCTGTGCAACTGCATCCATAGAAAAGTGGCCTGGCTTCATCTTCCACCTTGCATGAATGCCTCTTGCTAGAGACTATCACTAGACTGCACCAGAAAGAGAGTTCTGGGAAAAGTCCTGCAAGCTTCTCTCCTGCAGTGCTGCAGGGATGGAGAAAGGCAGTGGTGGTGCAGAACTGACACTGACCTTGGACAGTAAGGCACAACATGGACCAGGCAAGGACGCTGTTGCTTTATTTTGCCAAACTGGGTTGCATTGAACACACTTTCCAGCATACTGCTTTTCTCACTCAACAATCCTTCACTGAAATCCCTCAAATCATATGTACATGCAACTTCCTTCTTTTTAATGCTGATTAATACTCCAGATGTGGCTTTCAGTAATTCAGCCAGCCAAGTAGATCATGAACACTTCCTTTTCCCTCCCTTCTCCCTCCAGTTGGTCACCAAGCACTGCAGATTCTGCCCTCATTACCTCTCCAACCCTCCACTTCTTCATCCTCATCATCCCTCATTGACATTGCTGTGGTATTGATATGGTTTTGCTATGTTCCCACCCAAATCTCACCTTGAATTGTAATAATTCCCATGGGTCAAGGGCAGGGCCAGGTGGAGATAATTGAATCATGAGGGCAGTTTTCCCCATACTGTTCTTGTGGTAGTGAATAAGTCTCATGAGATCTGATGGTTATATAAATGAGAGTTCCCCTACACGAGCTCTCTTGCCTGCTGCCATGTAAGACTTGACTTTGCTCCTCATTCACCTTCCACCATGATTGTGAGGCCTCCCCAGCATGTGTAACTGTGAGCCAATTAAATCTGTTTCCTCTACAAATTACCCAGTCTCTGGTATGTCTTTATTAGCAGGATGAGAACAGACTAATAAATTGGTAGTGGTAGAATGGGGTGGTGCTGTAAAGATACCTGAGAATGTGGAAGCAACTTTGGAACTGGGTAACAGGCAGAGGTTAGAACAGTTTGGAGGGCTTAGAAGAAGACAGGAAAATGTGGGAAAGTTTGGAACTTCCTAGAGACTTGCTGAATGGCTTTGACCAAAATGCTGATAATTATATGGACCATAAAGTTCAGGCTGAGGTGGTCTCAGATAGAGATGAAGAACTTGTTGCTAACTGGAGCGAAGGTGACTCTTGCTATGTTTTAGCAGAGACTGGTAGCTTTTTGCCCGTGCACTAGAGATTTGTGGAAGTTTGAACTTGAGAGAGATGATTTAGGGCATCTGGCAGACGAAATTTCTGAGTAGCAAAGCATTCAAGAGGTGACTTGGGTGCTCTTAAAAGCATGTTGTTTTGTGTATTCACAAAGATATGGTTTGGAATAGGAGCTTATGTTGAAAAGGGAAGCAGAGCATAACAGTTTGGAAAATTTGCAGTCTGATAATGCAGTAGAAAAGAAAAACCCATTATCTGGGGGGAAACTCAAGCCAGCTGCAGAAATTTCCGTAAGTAATGAGGCATCACATTTTAATTGCCAGGACAATGGGGAAAATGTCTCCAGGCATGTCAGTGGTCTTCACAGCAGCCTCTCCCATCACAGGAGGCCTGGAGGCCTAAGAGGAAAAAATGGTTTCATGGGCCAGGCCCAGGGCCTTGCTGCTTTGTGCAGTCTCAAATCCCAGCCATGGCTAAAAAGGGCCCATGTAGAGCTCAGGCCACTGCTTCAGAGGGTGCAAGTCCCAAGCCTTGGCAGCTTCCACATGGTGTTAAGCCTGCAGGTGCACAGAAGTCAAGAAGTGAGGTTTGGGAACCTCCACCTAGATTTCAGAGGATGTATGGAAATGCATGGGTGTCCATGCAAAAGTTTACTGCAGGAGCAGAACCCTCATGGAGAACCTCTGCTAGTGCAGTGTGGAAGGGAAATGTGGGATGGGAGCCCCTACACAGAGTCCCTACTGGGGCACTGCCCAGTGGAGCTGTGAGAAGAGGGCCACCATCCTCCAGACCCCAAAATGATAGATCCACCAACAGCTTGCACTGTGCACCTGGAAAAGCTGTAGACACTCAATGCCAGCCTGTGAAAGCAACTAGGAGGAGGGCTGTACCCTGCAAAGCCACAGGGTGGAGCTGCCCAAGACCATGGGAACCCACCTCTTGCATCAGCATAACCTGGAAGTGGCATGGAGTCAAAGGAGATCATTTTGGAGCTTTAAGATTTGACTGCCCTGCTGGATTTTGAACTTGCATGGGGCCTGTAGCCCCTTCCTTTTGGCCAAGTGTTTACCCATTGCATGTACCCCCATTGTATCTCGGAAGTAACCAACTTGCTATTGATTTTACAGGCTCGTAGGTGGAAGGGACTTGCCTTGCCTCGAGACTTTGGACTGTGGAGTTTTGAGTTAATGCTAAAATGAGTTAAGACTTTGGGGGACTGTTGGGAAGGGATGATAATTTTTGAAATGTGAGGACATGAAATTTGGGAGGGGCCGGGGGTGGAATTATATGGTTTGGCTGTGTCCTCACCCAAATCTCACCTTGAATTGTAATAATCCCCATGTGTCAAGGGCAGGGTCAGGTAGAGATAGTTGAATCATGGGGACAGTTTCCCCCATACTGTTCTCATGGTAGTAAATAAGTCTCACAAGATCTGATGGTTATATAAATGTGAGTTCTCCTGCACAAGCTCTTGCCTGCCACCATGTAAGACATGACTTTACTCCTCATTCACCTTCCACCATGATTGTCAGGCCTCCCCAGCCATGTGTAACTGTGAGTCAATTAAACCTCTTTCCTTTATAAATTAGACAGCCTTTGGTATGTCTTTACTAGCAGCATGAGAACAGACTAATACAGGTGTCCACCTAGCATTCATTTTGCACCAGTATTGCGCAAATGCAAATGCAGTCTCTGCTATGCAACCAGAGTAATTTTTCTTAAATGCAAATACTTTATTTTCTAAATTAAAAATCTCATCAAGTTTCACCCCTATTGAAAATGCCTCAGTGACTCATCTTTGCCTTTGAGGTCAAATCTAAACCCCACTGTACAATTCCTGCAGGGCATCTCTCTCCTGGCATCTCATCCTCCCTGCCGCCCTGCTACCATCATCCTAACCAGACCTCTCCTCCTGCTGCCCTCCACTTCATCCACACTTAATGACCTCAGTACCTTGAATGTACTTGCCCATTCTACTTTCAGGTTTATCCAGACGCAACTTTCTGTCCAGTAACACCCCTCTCCCTGCTCACCCTGCTGGATTCTTTGCCAAGACAACTTTTACTCTTCTTTTTGATCTCAGACTAAAATGACACTTCTCCCAGGGAGCCCCTTGGATCCCAAATTATAGTGGTTCTTTCCTAGATATCCTGGTGGAATCTGTACTTCTACATAGCACATAGTTTTCACTGCCATTGTTTGTTCTCTGTATTTTTCCCTACATTATTTAGGAATGCGTTGGGCTCCAAGTAATGGAAAACACAAAACAGTGGATTGTGTGGTACAGATATGCACACGTGCACTCGCACACATAATATATATAGTGTGTATGAGTGCACATATATACTATCTAGAGAGAGTATATATGTATTGAAACTGTGGATTAGGGGAGCTATTGTATGTGTGTGCATGTGTATACATGTGCATATATACATATATACATACACACATGCACATACATACAATAGCCCCCCTTATCCACGGTTTCACTTTTAAAGGTTTCAGTTTTACCTGTGGTCAATCACGATCTGAAAATACTAAATGGAAAATTCCAGAAATCATAAGTTTTAAATCATGCACCATTCTGAGTAGCATGATGAAATCTCACTCTGATGTGAATCATCCCTTTGTCCAGTGGGTCCAGGCTGAACATGTCACCCACCCGTTCATCACTAAGTGGCCATCTCGGTTATCAGATCAGCTATTCTGGCATCACAGTGCCTGTGTTCAAGTAACCCTTCTTTTACTTAATAGTGGCCCCAAAGTACAAGAACAGTGATACTGGCAATTTGGATAAGACAAAGAGAAGCCATAGTGTGCTTCCTTTAAGTGAAAAGGTGAAAGTTCCTGACTTAAAGAAAAAGATATTTTTTATTACAGTATTTGTTACAATATACTGCACCTGCACTGTGGGCCTGCTGCTTTTTCTGCCCAATCCCCTTACAAACTTCCTGCCTCATGTTTTTTCCTCAGATTTTTCCAGGACCTGACCTTCTTCAGATACAAACCTCTTGTATGTGATATGAGTTGCAAACATTTTCCCAAATCGACAACTGTCTTTTAACATTTTGTGCATATTTGATTCTCTTTGGGGCTTTTTCATTGTTAACGAAAAGAGTCAAACTCTGAAATATTTGGAGAGACATTTGGAGCCAAATATGAGTGACCATGGCCCATGACACAGGTCTCGGAGATCCTAATAACATGTGCCCAAGGTGGTTGGGGCACAGCTTGGTTTTACACATTTTAGGGAGACATGAGACATCAGTCAAATACATTTAAGATGTACACTGGGGCCAGGCACAGTGGCCCATGGCTGTAATCCCAGTGCTTTGGGAGGCCAAGGCAGCAGATCACCTGAGGTCAGGAGTTTGAGACCAGCCTGACCAACATGGGGAAACCCCACCTCTACTAAAAATACAAAAAGTAGCTGGGCGTAGTGGCAGGCGCCTGTAGTCCCAGCTACTTGGGAGGCTGAAGCAGGAGAATTGCTTGAACCTGGGAGGCAGAGATTGCAGTGAGCTGAAATTGCACCACGGCACTCCAGCCTGGGTGACAAAGTGAGACTCTGTCTCAAAAAAAAAAAAAGGACATTGGTTTGGTCTGGAAATGTGAAACAGTGCAAAGTGGGGGCTTCCAGATTATAGGTAGATTTAAAATTTTTCTAATTGGCAGTTGGTTGAAAGAGTTATTAATAGAAAGGAATGTCTGGTTTGTGATAAAGAGGTTGTTGAGACCAAAGTTTTATTATGCAGATGAAGCCTTCAGGTAGCAGGCTTCAGAGAGAATAGATTTTAAATGTTTCTTATCAGACTTAAGTCCAATTAGATGTTAAATGCTGGATGTTAAATGTGGATGTTAAATGCTGGTCAGCTTTTAAATGCTGGATATTAAATGTGGATATTTAAATGTTAAATGCTGGATGTTAAATGCTGGTCAGCTTTTCCTGCATTCCAAAAAAGAGGAGGGCATAATGAGGCCTGTCTGACTCCTACTTCCCACCTTGGCCTGAACCAGTCTTTCAGGTTAAATTTTAGGGTACCCTGGCCAAGGAGGGAGCCTATTTAGATGGTTGTCGGGGGGCCTTCAAATTTTATTTTTGGTTTACACTATTATGTTCCATTGTTGAGTCTGATCAGAGACTAGTCATTGAGGCAGTAGAGTTCATGCCAGTGTCTCAGAGTGCTCCTTCCTTCTCTTTGTACTTACTTTTCAGAGTTTCTCTGGTTATTCTTGCTTATTTTTTGATGTGAATTTAAAATCAGCTTGTCCGATTCCAAGGAAGGAAAACAAAACCTGCTTCTGTGTTGTTTTTTTTTTTTTTTACTGGAATCAAATCAAATGTATAAGTTAGAGGAATAAATTACAACATTAAGTCTCCTAAACTAGGAACATAGTATTGTTGATGGAAAAACCAAATTCTGTAAAATATATATATATTTTTTGAGACGGAGTCTTGCTCTGTCGCCCTTCTGAGCCAGTACGAATGACCATGACCCAGGGAACAGTCTTAAGAGATCCTGAGAACAAGCGCCCAAGGTGATCAGGTTACAGTTTTGTTTTATACATTTTAGGGAGACAGAAGTTACAAGCAAAGACATGGATCAATACATGTAAGGTATACATTGGTTCAGCTTAAAAAGGTGGGACGTCTCAAAGATGCTTAGAAAGGCAAGGAGTGGGGATGGTCACAGGTCATAGGTGGATTCAGAGAGATTTTCTAATTGGCAATTTGTTGAAAGAGTTCAGCTTTGCCTAAAGATTTGAAGTCAGTAGAAAGAAATGCTTGAGTTAAGATAAGGGGATTGTGGAAGCCGAGGCTCTTGTTTTGTAGAGGAAGTCTCCAGCTAGCAGCCTTCAGAGAGAATACATCGCAAATGTTTCAGACCTTACAACGTGTCAGACTCTTAGTTAATCTTTCCTGAATCCAGGAAAGTGCTAGCTGCGTTAATGGAGAGTCTCTACAGATGCAAATTTCCCCCACAAAGATAGCTTTGCAGAGCCATTTAAAAATATTTCAAAGAAATATATTTTGGAGTAAAATATATTTGATTTCCTTTAGAGTCTGCTATCTGTCATGTGATGCTTACCAGAGTCAGGTTGGAATTTGGTATCTCATTGCTACACAGTCTGTTTGGTGATCTCTATTTTATGATCTCTATTTTAATGTTAATGCTGGTCTGTTGTGTCTAAACTCCAAAAGAAAGGCGGTATTACAAGGTGTGTCTGACCTCCCTTCCAGCCATGTCCAGGAATTCAGTTTTTCAGGCATCTCTGAGGTCCTCTTGGCCCAGAGAGGGTTCATTTGGTTAGTTGGTGGGGATTAGGATTTTATTTTCAGTTTACGATATACACAGTTTAACTTTTATGCCCTTCAGGAATATTCTAAGTTTTCCACATTTATGTTGTTGTTGACAAAAAGATTCAAGCTCTGTAAGACATTTGAAGATATTTATTCTGAGCCAAATATGAGTGACCAATGGTCCATGACATAGCCCTCAGGAGATCCTGAGTGCATGTACCCAAGGTGGTCAGGGCACAGTGGGGTTTTATACACTTTAGGGAGACATGAGACATCAATCAATATGTGTAAGACGTACATTTGTTTTGTCTGGGAAGGTGGGACAACTTGACCTGGGGGCTTCCAGGTCATAGGTAGATAAGAGATAAAAGTTTGCATTCTTTTATGTCTTTGATCAGCCTTTCACTGAATACACAATTTACATGTGAGAGGCAGGTAGAGGAATAATCACTTATGCCTTAGTCTGACTCAGTAAATCTGAATTTTTACATAAACAATAGGGCAGAGGAAGCAACCAGATATGCATTTGTCTCAGGTGAGCAGAGAGATGACTTAGAGTTCTGTCTGTCCTTTGTCCCACACCTGTGGGATAAGCTATCAATTTACATTGCCAGGGTAAAATGCCACAGAACTGTTTTAGGGCTCTGAGTCCCTAAAGAAAGATCTTGAGGCCCATAAGGAATTTCCTGGTGAGCAAATTGTGAGGGAGGTATGTAGTGTTTTTTATCTTTTTAGCTATCTTATTTAGGAATAAAATGGGAGGCAGGTTTGCCTGACACCCTTTGGCTTAGTGATTTTGGGGTCTTGAGATTTATTTTTCTTTCACATTGTGTACATTTCTTTTAAATATATCCCTCAGTACTTTATCATTTTAGTTGCAATTGTGTATGGAATATTCTTCCATTATGTCTTCTAACATGTTTTTCTTCACAGATTAAGGCTATTTATTTATGTGTGTTCATTTCACATCCCGTGTATTCAGCACTAATGCCCTTCACGGACTATGTCCAGCTCTCTGCCTCCCGCTTGTGGGCACATGGGAGGATGTAGTTCCTGGGCCCCGTGTTTGGAGGGAGCCTGTGGCTAGTTCTTGCCATGGATTGTAACAGAGGTGAGATATCACCTCTGGACCAGAGTATTTGATTTTTGATGGGAGATGCTCCTGGCTTTTTATCCTTCTTCCACAGTCATAGGCTTATAGTGGCTGCTCTATAAGCCTGAATCCTGGAATGACAAGCTATGTCACAGAGTTCAGTCAACCCATGGTGGATGTGTGGAACAAGCAAAAAGTAAACCTGTGTTGTTATGACCTCTAGGATTTGGAGGCTGTTTGTTACCATGTTATAGTCACTCCTGCTGTTTATGGTACGCTCTAGGTAATTGTGGTGTCAGTGTAGTGTGTTTCATGGTAGTTTCCACTTTATAAAGTTTCTGCCTTTTAATTTCCTATGCAGATATTCATACCTCTTATATCTTCTGTTTTCATATGTACTTTGGATTTGTTTTAATCAGGTATGCAGATATGGAAATTATTGTTATAAAGGAAGAAGTTTGTTACTCACAATTCCCTGGAAGCAGGGTGTACAACATACCACACAGGGCTACATGGGGAAGCCCTGTTTCTGTATTTCTGTTTTAGGTTGGCTACTTGACTTATTTTTCATTTTTATCATTCCTACTGTGCTATCTGTAGTCTGTTTTCTCTTTTCTCCCTTATAATTTAACTTCATTTCTAAAACAGTTTGACTCCTTTTCCCCCCTGAGTTTAATCAGTTTCTGTTTCACAGTCAGGAGGCAGAGTGAGTAGGAGGAAAACCAGAGCAAGAGCCTTTGTTGCAGTTTCCATGGGAAGGATTGGGCAGGGCACGGCAAGCAGGCTAAGCTGGTTGAGGGTTGGCTAGTCTGAGTAATTCCAGCAGGCCCAAAGTGGAGGGGCTGTCCTGAGTTATCTGGTACCTGGCCCTGGGCTGATTAGAGGAGGGGAATATTGGCCTGCAGTGTAGGAAAGGCTGTGGTTGAGGGGTCTGGGCTTTGGATTAATGGGTTTATATATGAAAGGCAGGCTTGCAGAAAAGTAGTTTGTCATCTCTAGGAATTTGCTAGCCCAAGGAGATGCAGCTTCTCCCAGGTCACAAAGGCCCCAAGATGTCAAAGCGTCATAAAATACAAAGAATAAAAAACATGATTAATATACTTCATTGCCAATTGAACAGTTTTGCCTTATAAAGTGGTTTTCCTCATATTACTTAATGCTTTTTGGCCTGAATTCTACCTTGTTTGATACAAGATCATAATCTCAGTTTTGTTGTTACTGTTGTTTTGTCTTTGTCTTGTGTACCTGATAAACTATTATCTATCTGTTTTAGTTGTGACCTTTATAAATCACTTTGCTCTAGGTGTGTCTCTTATATACAGCAAATGATTCATCTTTCTTTTTAGAGATAATGTAAAAATCCTTTTCTTTAAATAGTTGCATTAAGCCTACTTAAATTTATTGCTCTCACAGATACGGTTGGTTTTAGTTCTGTCATAGTTTCTATTTTTCTGTGTAAATATTTTAAATGTCTTTCACTATGTTATCTTAGCTTTTTATTTTAGAATATTTTTTCTGATATTTTAAAAAACTATGTTAATGGTTACTTTTTTAACCACTAGTATAACAATACAATTATGTTTATAACTAGTGGTTATATAAGTTTGCCTTTATGTAATATCCTATATCCCTTTTTCTTTAGACAATATCAGTTTATTCCCTATATGCCTCAATAAAACAAGCTTCTATCTTCTTCCTTCATTCTCCCCTCTCTCTTCTACCATCTAATTTAACCAATAGTATATCTTTTGTCTGTTCTTATTGTTTGCCCTTCTACTATTAAATATGCTTACATATACATATTTGACCTGTCAACTGTAGTTTTGTTTTTTTTGTTGTTGTTATGTTTGAGACGGAGTCTTGCTCTGTCGCCCAGGCTGGCATGCAGTGGTGCAATCTCAGCTCACTGCAACCTCCACCTCCCAGGTTCAAGCAATGCTTGTACCTCAGCCTTCTGAGCAGCTGGGACTACAGGCGTGTCCCACCATGTCCAGGTAATTTTTGTATTTTTGGTAGAGACAGGGTTTCGCCATGTTGGCCAGGCTAGTCTCAAACTCCTGACCTCAAGTGATCTGCCTACTTTGGCCTCCCAAAGTACTGGGATTACAGGTGTGAAACACTGCACCTGGCCTGATCTGTCAACTGTAAACATTATCTTTGCAGTCTCATGTATAACAGCTGAGGCATTGCAAATTTATTCTGCTTTCTAAATTCTACCATTTTTGTTGATTGTGTCATTTTCATTTTGACAGAATATTGATATTCTTCTTCATCACTTGTATCTCTACCTTTGCTTTTCCTTAGATGTGCAGTTAAATAAACTTACTGCTGCCTGACTGCTCCTTTGCCAGACTCTTATTCATCTCTTGATTGGCTGGAGTTCATCCTCTATTAATTTTCTCAAAAAGTGTCCATTTGAGAAATGTTTTCTGAACGATTCATGTTTAAAATGGTTTGTCTACAGCCTTTATACAGAAAAGAGTAGACTGGATGGGCATAAAGCTTTCTTAGCTCATATTGCTTTCTTTCCTTCAGTATCTTGTAGATGTGGCCCTATTGTCTTTTGGCATTGACTGTTGCTGCCAAGAAGTATGTTGCTAACCTGATTTTCTTTCTTTTTTGCTTACATATTTAAAAAATTCTCTTTATCTTTAAAAGAGGATAATTTTAAAATATGTTGGTATTGGCTATACTAGAACAGTTTCCTTATATACAGTGTGCCCTTTAAATGTGTAAAATCAAATATTTCAAAAAGTTTGCTTTTTTAATTAAAGTCTTTAAATTCTTTTTTTTTCCTTTCCATTATTTCAGGTTTTTTATTTGGGGCTCAAATTATGAGTATGTTGGATTTTTTTACCTATACTCGGTATCTAACATTTTTCTTTAACCCTGTGTTTCTTTATTTCTGTTTTGTCTACTTTACTTTTCATTTTTATCATTCTTACTATGCTATCTGCAGTCTGTTTTCTCTTTTCTCCCTTATAATTTAACTTCATTCCTAAAACAGTTTGACTCCTTTTTCCCCTGAGTTTAGTCAGTTTCTGTTTCACCTCCTCCTGTGAGTTCATGTATATCTGATTTATAGTTTTTCTTCAGAGCTGTGATACTTTTGTACTAAATTAAAGCAGCTCATCCCTCTCTGAGTGCCAAAATACATATGTTAAGTTTAACTTGAAATCCACTGCCTCTTAAGACAATGAAAAAAAATCAAATGATTTAGGAGTTTAAGGCATAAACATTTTCAGCAGTAAACTGTACTAGAGGTTGTAGTTCTTACCATGAAATCTGTGTCTACTAGTAATCCAATAACTTGCTTTTTGGTGATAATCAGAAATTGAGGCATCCTGGAAGAAAAACTTCACAGGAAGCTTCCTCAGTCTTTGAATTATTTTGGTTAAGGTCTTCTTCCATACAGCTATACTGTCTTGCTGCTTGGAGGAACTATTCCTGGAAGAAGAAACAGAGTAAGCAAATACAGAAAGATAGGACAACAGGAATACAGTTTGAAGATCTGCAGGAGAAAATGAATATTTTCAGCTGTGTGTATTGCTATCCAAAATAAATTAGAATTCTGAACATATAGAATTAGATAAGGAGACTAGAAATTGGATAGTCAGCTAATATCTCCCATAGTCAAATATTTGGCTTTAAAACTTAGGATGTAAGTTGTAACTAGAATTAAGCTTATTCTCATAGAGATGGAATTAATCTTCAAAGGAGGGTATAAATTAAGAGAAAAGAAGAGCAAGAAGAAAAATTAGGGGAATCCATGTGTTTTAAGGGCAGGAAGAGGCAAAGGAAACAGTGAAGGGACCATAGAGTGTCCCAGGGTGCAGAAGAGGAAGTGTGAAAATATCCATGTTAGAATTAGGCTTCTACTGCCCTCCCATGGACTTTATGGCCTCAGTGTGTTTGGGAGATGGCATTAGTAACAGTTGAATGAGAAACTCACGGAGTATAGATAAGTCCGTGTATTTGAATCTCAGCTCCGTTGCTTACTAGCTGGCTTTTAACTCTGAGTGCTGGAAGTTAAACATAAAACAGAAACCTATAATTAATGAGAATAATGGTAACTACCATGTATTAGTGCTTTCCATAAAGGAAGAACTTTACAAACACTATCTCCTTTTCTCATTTAACCCTCATAAGAATTCTCATTAGATGGATTGTGTTATCCTAATTGTACAGGAAGGAATGCAAGGCCTTGGGTGATGAAATGATATATTCACCATCAGAGAATTAGTTAGAAGGTGGAACCAGGGCTCAAAACCAGGCCCTAGAACCTGTGTTCTTGACTGTTCTTCTGGGTTGCATTCCTTCATCAGGGACATGTAGCCTGTGGCTGCCCCAGTCTTCCAGCCTCAGGTTTCACCATGGGCCTCTGCGCCTTTCCTTCTCATCCTTACTTGATGTGACATCTGTTGGGGTTCCCAGTAACTTAAAATGGAAAAGATGAGAAGAGAGCTTATTTTTATTTGCTCCTTAAAATTAAGGCTAAGTTTTTAATTCTTTGATTTCTTTTTAAAATTTTTTAATTTTTAATTGTTATGGATACATAATAGTTGTATGTATTGATATATACATACATCAATATGTATATTGATGGGGCAGATGTGATATTTTGATACCAGCCTACAATGTATAATGATCAAATCTGGCTAATTGGGATATCCATCACCTCAAACATGCATCATTTCTTTTGTGTTGGGAACATTCCAAATCTACATTTCTAGTTATTTTGAAATATACATTAAGTTATTGTTAACTATAGTTGCCCAATCGTGCTATAGGATGATGCCTAACTGAATCGGGTGTAGTGTGTGATACTCCTTCCTGCCGTTACAAGCCCACTGACTCTCAGAGTCGGGAATCAGAGTGCCCACGCTGCCTCCAACTCCCCAGTGTAGCTGTGCCTAGTGCTGCGAAGTGCCAGTCCAGCACCCCGTGTCGGGGTGGGAGCCCTGCTGAGTGCGTACCCACGCTGGGCACACCTGCCCAGCCTGGCATCACACCTGGTGCAGGGCCTGAGCTCAGAAGCCTATCTCCCACCAAAGCTCACTAACAAGAGAATCCCTCCCAAGCTTCTGCTTCGCTCATATTAAGCTTAAAATAAAAAGTAAAACTCTGAGCAAAAGCCCAAAGAAACTTTGAGAATTATTTCAATTCATTTTTCTTTAATTGATGCTTTGTTCCCCTCAGAGAGTAAGCTCTACAACTTGATTTTCAAAGGGGGATGTGATGATCAGGGATGCAGTGTTTAGATGTGTGTGTGTGTGTGTGTGTGTGTGTGTGTGTGTGTGTGTGTGTATGAACCTAAAGGCTCTGAGACTGTATATAGTCACATATTTTAGATGGACGTCACTTATGGGTGTGAAATTCTGCTTTTAGAGTCATGCAGAGGGCCATTTTTCCCCTTTGAAAAACAAGAACTACTGGTAAAAATTCATTAGTTTATGTCCTAATGGGAAACCCTTCTTGTCACAGTTCTTCTCTATGATGAGACCGTTATTCATGCGTTCGTATTGTCACCTCTTGTCATTTCTTGTCCACAGGCAAAAACTGGGACCTGACAGCCGCTCTGAGCGACTATGAGCAGCTCCGCCAGGTGCACACAGCCAATCTGCCACATGTGTTCAATGAAGGGCGGGGTCCCAAGCAGCCAGAGCGAGAGCCACAGCCCGGGCACAAGGTGGAGCGACCCTGCCTGCAGAGGCAGGACGACATTGCCCAAGGTACCGCTGAGGGACTGAGCCTAGGCACAGCCGCCCAGGCCAGTGCACCGCAGCTTGCAGGCGGGTTGCGTGGTACAAAGAATGGTGGGGTCATCACCTCCCGGATGCAGACATATTGGCCTCTCAGTGCCTTCTTTCTCACACTATGCCGAAATGTCCTTTGTTGCTTCTATCCATGGTTCCAACCTCTACCTCAGAAAAGCAGAAAAATGAGTCTGATTTCCTAGGACCCCAAAAGCCCAATAAGTGAGTAAAAGCCAGCATTCCTCCTGGAGTCTTGGTTTTTTCAGACCAAACATCTCTAGTTCTTTCACATATTTCCAAAGTAACACAGTCTCCAAGTCTGTTCAGCATCACATTTCTTGTCCCATGCGCTCCATCTTCTCTATCCTTTTTCTTCATTATGAAAGTAAGATATGCTTATTATAACAAAGGAAACAATACAGAGATATATGAGGAAAACTTAAGAGCATTCGCCTCCACACCTCCCAGATCTCACCAGTGTAATGACGGCTGATAACATTCTGGTGGTCTCCTCCTGCTCCTCTTGCTATATTGTTCAAAATCAAACACATCAGAGTCAAATGCACAGCACACTGCAAAGTGCTTGTTTCACTGAGCAGGAGATGATGAACATAATCTCTCAATAGCTACATTTTATTCTATAATGTGTTAATTTTTAGATCACTGCTGTATTCATGGTGATTCTGTTTTTGCTTGGGTTTTTGTCGTTGTTATTATTTGTTAATTGCCACTGAAAGCAATGCTGAAAGAAACATCTTTATACCTCTAATCTTACATACTGGTGCTTTTGTTTCTATGGGTTTGCATTCCCAGAATGGATTTGCTGTGCCAACACATGTGTGTTTCTAGCTTAATAATTTTAGGGCTTCTTTCCTAATATATTGCTACTCACCATGTGTGAAACCGGGTGTTTCCCTTCAATCTTGCCAGCACTGGAAATTACAATGTATGGTGTGCTGGGCCATTCTTTCACTGCTGTAAAGAAATACCTAAGGTTGGGTAATTTATTTTAAAAAGAGGATTTCTTGGCTCGTGGTTCTGCAGGCTTTACAGGAAGTATGGTGCTGGCATCTGCTCAGCTTCTGGGGAGGCCTCAGGAAGCTTACAATCATGCAGAAGGCAAAGGGGGAACAGGCACTTCACATGGCCAGGGTAGGAGCAGGAGAGAGTGAGTTGGAAGGCAGAGGTGCTGCATACTTTTAAATGATCAGATCTCATGTGAACTCAGAATGAGAGCTCACTTATCACCAAGGGGTTGGCCCGAGCCATTCATGAGGGATCTGCCCCCGTGATCCAAACACCTCCCACTAGGCCTTACCTCCAAGATGGCGGATTGCATTTCAATATGAGATTTGGGTGGTGACAAATATCCAAACTATATCAATCCACTCCTGGGCCCTCCCAAATCTCATGTCCTTCTCATTGCAAAATACAATCATGCCTTCCCAACAGTCCCTCAAAGTCTTGACTTGTTCCAGCATTAACTCAAAAGTCCAAACTCTTGTCTGAGTCAAGGCAAGTCCCTTCCACCTGTGAGCCTGTAAAATCAAAAACAAGTTATTCACTCCCAAGATACAATCGGGTAAACATTCCCATTCCAAAAGGGAGACATTGGCCAAAAGAAAGGGGCTCCAGGCCTCACACAAGTTCAAAACCCAGCAGGACAATCATTAAACCTTAAAGTTCCAAAATAATCTCCTTTGACTCCATGTCTCACATCCAGGGCACACCAGTGCAAGAGGTGGACTCCCAAGACCTTGGGCAGCTCTGCCCCTGTGGCTTTCCAGAGTTCAGCCCCCATGGCTGCTCTCTGCTTTCAGCTTTTCCAGGTGCAGGGTGCAAGCCACTGGTAGATCTACCATTCTGGAGTCTGGAAGGTGGTGGCCCCCTTCTCACGGCTTTACTAGGCAGTGCCCCCATGAGGACTCTGTGTGGGGCCTCCAACCTCACATTTCCCCTTGGCACTGCCCTAGTAGACGTTGTGTGTGAGGGCTATGCCCCTGCTGCAGGCTTCTGCCTGGACACCCAGGCTTTTCCATACATCCTCTGAAATCTAGGCAGAGGTTGCCAAACCTCATTCACTCTTGCATTCTACATGTCTACAGGTTTAACACCATGTGAAAGTCACCAAGGCTTATGGCTTGCACCCTCTGAAGCAGCAGCCTGAACTGTATCTGGGACCTTTTGAGCCAAGGCTGGAGCTGGAGCAGCCAGGATGTGGGGAGCAGTGTCCCAAGGCTACACAAGGTAGCGGGGCCCTGGGCCTGGCCCATGAAACCATTCTTTCCAACTAGGCCTGTAGGCCTTTGATGGGAGGGGCTGCTGTGAAGGTCTCTGAAATGCCTTCAAGGCTTTTTCTCCATTGTCTTAGGTAATAGCACTCATTTAGCTTCCTTTTCGTCATGCAAATATCTCTAGCAAGTAGTTGCTCCTCAGGCTGCTTGAATTCTTCTGAAAAAGCTTTTTCTTTCTTTGCCACATGGCTAGGCTGCAAATTTTTCAAACTTTTACATTCTGCTTCCCTTTTACATTCTGCTTCCCTTAAATATAAGTTCCAACTCCTATCTTTGCTGCAGCATCTGAATGCAGACTGTTAGAAGCAGCCATGCCACCTCTTGAATACTTTGCTGCTTATAAATTTCTTCTACCACATACCCTAAATCATCAAGTTCAGACTTCCACAGATCCCTAGGGTATGAACAGAATGCAGCTGAGCTCTTTGCTAAGGCAAAACACGTGACCATTTGCTCCAGTCCCCAATAATTTCTTCATATCCATCTAAGACCTCCTCAGCCTTGACTCTGTTGTCCATTTCATTATCCGTATTTTGGTCATAACCATTTAACCAGTCCCTAAGAAGTTCCAAACTTTCCCTCACTTGCTGTCTTCTTCTGAATCCTCCAGACTTCCAACTTCTGCCCATTACCCAGTTCCAAAGTTGCTTTCACATTTTCAGGTACCCCCTTGGTACTGATTTTCTGTGTTAGCCCTTTCTTGCATTGCTATGAAGAAATATCTGAGGCTGGGTAATTTATAAAGAAAAGAGGTTTACTTGGCTCATGGTTCTGCAGGCTTTATAGGAAGCATGGTGCCGGCATCTGCTCAGCTTCTGGGGAGGCCTCAGGAAGCTTAAAATCATGGCAGGCCTCAGGAAGCTTAAAATCCCAAAGAGGGAACAGGCACTTTACATGGCCAGAGCTGGAGCAAGAGAGAGAGAGTGGTGGGTGGGAGGTGCCACACACTTTTAAATGACCAGATTGCGTGTGAACTGAGCAAGAGCTCACTTATCACCAAGGGGATAGTCCAAGACATTCATGAGGGATCTGCTTCTAATCCACACACCTCCCACCAGACCCCCCCTCCAAGATTGGGGATCACATTTCAACTTGAGATTTGGAGACAAATATTCAAACTACATCAAATGTGTTTATGTTGTTTTTCTACTCTGAAGAGTGGAAAATGGTGTCTTGTCTCATCTTGTCATTTGCTTCTTAGGCCATTGGATTTCCCCTTTGTAACGTGGCTGTTCGCATACTTTGTCCATTTTTCTATTGATTGGTTTGTCTTTTCTTATCAATTTGTTGCTCTCTTTGTAATAAAGACTAAAACATATATTTCCTCTATATGTATATGTGTTTTTCCCACATATCACTTGCCTTATGACTTTCTTTTCAGAATATTTTCCCATACACAATGTTTACATTATCTTGTTCTCATGGCTGATGAGCTTTCTCTCTCACTTTGGAAGGTTTCTTGGACTACAGAATTACTGAAATATATTCTTTTTTTTTTTTTTTTCTTTTGAGATGGAGTCTCACTCTGTCGCCCAGGCTGGAGTGCAGTGGCGCAATCTCGGCTCACTGCAAGCTCTGCCTCATGGGTTCACACCATTCTCCTGCTTCAGCCTCCCGAGTAACTGGGACACAGGCACCCGCCACCACGCCTAGCTAATTTTTTGTATTTTTAGTAGAGACAAGGTTTCACCGTGTTAGCCAGGATGGTCTCGATCTCCTGACCTTGTGATCCACCTACCTCGGCCTCCCAAAGTGCTGGGATTACAGGCGTGAGCCACCGTGCCCGGCCTGAAATATATTCTTATATTTAATTTAAATTTTGTTCTTTGAGTCTTTTCATCAATTTGAAATTTTTGTAAATAGCAAAGAATCTGGTTTTGCTTTCTCCTGGATTGAGAGAGAGTTATTCAAGTACATTTTCCCACTGAACTAAATGCCAGCTTTGCCTTATATTAAATTCTCAACATACCTGGACCTATTTCCATACCTTGTTCTGCCCACCCCTGTGGCTGCCCCCCTGTTACACTTGACTCAGTGGTTTCACAGGGTCTCACCCTCACCTTCTATTGCTATGCTTTTCCTTTTTTTGTGTGTGCTGTTTTTGAATATTTATTTTGCCATCTAAACCTTAAAATTATAATTCTGAGTGGAATTGGAATGGATTTTTATTTAATTTTAAAAATAATTTGCATTTATAATATTGTTCTTCTATCCAAGAACATTATGTATGCCTCTCCACATATTCAGATTCTGTTCAGATTTTAAGCATGGAAAAAAGAAACTCATTTTTTACTTATTTATCTTTTATCCAGTGAACTACATAAATTCTCTTATTAGTCATTTGCTTAATGACTAAGAGAATCACTTGGATATCTAAGTATACAATAGTATCATCTGAAATAATTGTAAGTTCTTCTTCATATTTATACAATTAATTCAGTTTTTTATTTTATTGAATTAGGTAGACTCTCCTGAACTGTTGCAAATGAATGCTGTCTTTGTTTCTATTAGCTCAGCCTATTATTCAAGCTATATTGAATCTATATCTTGGATTATTCTCAACTGTTTATTCTGTTGTTTAGAAAAGCCATAATTGAGTTAGAAATTTTAATACATATTATCTGTGTCTTCTCTGAGTTTCATCCTTTCTGCTGTATTTGTTTTGATGCTATCTTGTTAGGTATATGTATATTCATAATTTTTTAGATTATCTTCCTCGTGTGTTTTTTGACCAATATATAGGCTGTCTCTTTGTCAAGCCATTTGATATAATGGTTTTTATCTTGAAATCTGCTTTTGTTGATATTAAACAGCTACCCTGGCTTTCTGTTGGTTCATATTTGCCAGAAATATCATTTTTTCTGCTGATATAATTTCAACTTTTCCATATCCTTTCATGTTAAATGTGATTCTTGTAGACAATTTATTATTAGGTTTCATTTTATTATCCAATCCAAGAATCTCTGTCTTTTGAGTGGTTAATTCAATCCATTCTTCTGTCCTATCTTCTCTATCTAGTTAAATTTTTCTACTGGTTTGCAAGTTACACATTCTACTTTTACTCACATTGCAATTACTGCTATTCTATTAAAATCATTATTTTGGTTTTCTTCCTATTATTTTTAAAAACTTAACAACTATATTTTCCCCTGCAAAATACATGTATTAATATGATTTTATGTTGTTCTGTCCTGCCTCTACTTGCTCTCAATCTTATTTAGATACTTTTTGTTGCCTTTGCTTATTTAGATAACAATTAACTCCTTTATTTATTCACATGTATTCTTTTCTCTTTTGCTAAAAAAAAAAAACCTTCCTCAAAGACTACTTCCAAAAACAGTTTTTGCATGGTGAATCTCCTAAGGCCTTGAGTGCCTAAAAAGATTTACATGGTATACTTAAATTTTCATTTAGTAGATTAAAAACTCTAGATTGAAATTATTTTCTTTGAACACCTTCCAACCCTTCCTCCATCATGTTCTTGCACCTTGTTCTCATGTCTTCTAAGAGATTCACTTGACCTGATGTTTTCACATCCCTATTTATTCTGCACATGAATGCATTATTAGTCCCATTAACATTTTTTTTAATCCCAAGTTAATTCTTTGTCTTTATTATTGTTATTATTATTTTGCATTCTGATATTCTATTTATCTCTTTGCATGTATTTACTAGGCTCATTTTTTAATCTAGTCCTCCTGGCCAGTACTTTGTTGCCTTTCTTTAACAGTTTCCCTGAAGCTCCTGGGGCACGCAGTTATCATCCATCTTCACTGTGCTGGAGCACAGGCTCTGGTGGATGCTCCTCCAGATGAGAGTCGGGGAAGGGTACTCAAGCTGGAGAGCCTTAGATGTTGTCATTTGGGCTCTAGAAGTTCCCTGCCTGTTCCCCTCTGCATAGCTGGATTGTCTACTGAGGGCTGCTCCCAGCTCCTCTCTTCTAGAAAGTCCTTGTTTCCTGTAGGGACTGCCCTGCTCTGGTGTAACCGCCAAGCTCCCCAGTGTGTTAGGGAAAGGAGGGAAGCAGTGCTTATGGTGACTGGTGCCCCACCCAGCTGTGCTCCAGCACCACCTGACATTCTCCAGCTGGCACAGGGCTGGGGCTAGGGGATGATAGGGAAGGCAGGCCATGCTGGAGCCATGCTGGGGAGAGGAAAGGCAGGACCAAGACGCCCTACCCCAGGCCCTCTCTGTCGGCCTCACCCATTCCCACCTCCTGCCCCTGAGGATTTCTAGGTGTGTGTGAGGACAGGACACTGAGGCTATGCACTGTCTTGCCCCTCTTGCTGATTATTCTTAAATTCGGTTTCATTTCTGCCATTAGACCTGACTCCAGAGGAACCACCCCTTCCAGTCCTTGGCTCGGTCTTGTGCTCAGGGCCTTCCTTGACTACACCACACGGTTAAGGCTGCTGGTATCTTTCAGGCAGCAGCAATCCAGACAGATGGCCACATGGCAGTCCTGCTCTTTTGAGCTGGCAGCAAACAAACCAACCCATTATCTTATCCTCCTGGTACAGGGGCTAGAAGGACCCTTCTCTCTGCTACCAGAGAGATTGGCAGAATCAGGGCCTAGTAAGTGTAGCTGTTACATACTGTGATCTGACTTTTCTTAGATATCATTTAAGAAAAAAAAAATAGGACTCTATCCCAGCATAATCCTATTAATTGAGCCTTGCGAGCAATCATATCGATTCCTATTGAATTACAGAGTTTCTGAATTAAATTTATGTCTCCTTTAGTTGAGTTCTTCCTGAAACCATAGTGTGCCAAAATGGAAAATGGAACATTTCATATTCTAAATCAGGGCCCAGAAAAAGACCTGTGAGCCCAATCTGGGCTGTTTTTTAAGTAAAGTTTTATTGGAACACCCCCACGCTCACTCATGTATGTACTGTCTTCGACGGCTTTAGTGCTGCAAAGACAGAGGTGAGTAGTTGAGACTGCATGGCCCACAAAGCCTAAAATATTTCTGTCTCACCCTTTAGGAAAAGTTTTGTCCACCTGTTTTAAAATATACCCAGGATCGGTTTTAATCAGGTGTCATAAGACACGCAGACACAGAAATGACTGTCATGAAGGTGGAAGTTGTTTTTTTTTTTTAACTCACAGTTCCTTGGAAACAGGAGGCCCAGCACAGCATGCAGGGCCACACGGGGAGGCGCCGGTCATCTGGAGATAGGAGTGAGGGGAAGCATGGGCCAAAGCCTTTGAGGTGGTTTCTATGGGAAGGCAGGGCAGGGGGAGCAGCCCCCTACCCCAGCTAGTGTGCATAACGGCAGCCAGCTCAGAGGCACCAGGTACCAGGTACCAGGGCCTGTCTCCGGCTGCCTGGTCCCTGGCCTGAAGTGCTTAGGGCAAAGGAACGTTGCCTCCTGGAGAGTAAGAGCCAGCTGGAGAGGGTAGTCAGGAGTGTAGATTCTGGATTGGCTGCTCCGCATAGGAGAGGTGTGCTGCGGGGCAAGGCCTTTGCCATCTCTTAACATTGGCTCACCTGGGAGGGGCAGCCTCTCCCCAGTCAGGGAGGTCCCAGGTGCCAGAGCCACAAAAACAAAGAAAATAAGAAAACGCAGGGCCAGATGCAGTGACTCATTCCTGTAATCCTCGCTGAGCCCAAGTGTTCAAGACCAGACAGGGCAACATGGCAAGACCCCATCTCTGTAAAAATTAAAAATAAAAGGAAAATAAATGAAAAAAGAATATATAGTTAATACATCTCCCCTTTGTCAGTGGCAGGGAAATTCTGTACATTCTTGTACTATGTTTTGTTTTGTTTTCTAATCTTTCTGTATTTTTCTGAGACATAACTTTGATCATGGTAATTCCTGTAAAACATTTTATTTATACATCCAAAAGTAGAATCACTGAGTTCACGTTTAAAGAATCAGTGTGTGAATGTGTGTGTGTGTGTGTGACTCTGTGTGTGTGTGAGAGAGATGATATGTGTGCATTCCTGGGGTGTCACAGGAAATGTTAGAATTAGGAGCATATATTTCTCATTTTATATGATCTTCAACGCAATCTATTAATATTTTTAGTTCAAAAATACTTTTTTCCCTCAAACTCCAAATATTTCATGTTTAGAACTGCAGAACCACATCATGTTGTCCTAGGAATCACCGTGTTTCCAAGGCCATCGAAGTGTCTCATGTGGGTGCTGATTGATGGGCCCGGGAGGAGCATGGGTGCCCCTGGACAACAGGTGCCCACTGTTGAGAGCAGCCTTGAGATTGTCTGTCCCACCGATTGCAGGTGCACATAGCACCTCGATTCTCTAATGCCTGATGTCCCTCTCCATCAGATTCCGAAAAATGGGGCAGTTCCTTCTTTCCCAGATACAAAAATGGTAGTTTGTGGCAAGATGAGTGGCCTCAGCATGGCTTGCACGAGGCAGAAAGACACAAGCCTCCACTGCTCCTGCACTCAAGGACCTGAACCAGCGTGGGAAGCAATGGGCCGTCCCCCACCACCCAAGCTGGGCCCATGTGCTCCCTCCCTCTTCTTTCTAATGTCCTGTGTGGTTTAACTTCTCTTTTTACCTTTCTGCAAAATACAAAGAACTTAATCCTGTTGGTCTCTGAATGAAATTGAAGGTGAATCTAAACCACCCATTGCGAAATGTAGTCTGTCTCTGTGACTCTGTATTCATTTTAATGGGAAAAATACATGAACCTTCTGGAAATTAGCTTCGGATTTAAAACTAACTTGCCATAGGATCAAAAGCTTATGCTTTTTAGTCTGTTGTAACAAAACTCCATGAATGCCATTTCTGTCCAGTGCTCTTGCAAGTGGGGAAGGAAAATGCTGCTGTTCCGGGTGAAAGCTGGGGCTGGGTTTTCCGTGTGACCGTGGTGTGCTGGTCAGTGTGGACCTCAGAGGGGCATTGCAGGAGCACAGACCTCACCAGTGGGCAGGCTGAACTGGAGGACAGTGGGATTCCTTGGGACCTCAGGGAATAGCCTCAGGAATTTGCCACAGGGCTTAGACAATGCTTATTTATACTTAATTTAGGCAACACAGGCAGCAGGCTTTTGAATAAAACACCAGAGACCATGCTTTCCTGAGAAAAATGAAAGATCTACTGCCCTGCTAAAAAGACTTCTCCTTACTGAAAACACTATGAGAAAAGATAACCTATTCTTAACATATATTTAAGCATTCTTGTTTTATGTTCAATGTTAGTCATTAGAACACAGGGCTTATAAAAACAAGCGTGCTTTTGCAGCATCAAGAAGATACATCTACTTTCTAGGTAATCGACTTCCTAACATGGTAACATATTGTACCTTAGAGAAATCCTACACTGCGTTTCTCATTCCCTGGCTGAAAAGCCCAAGAAGAATAAAGCCAGAGGAGAGCATTATTTTTGAGAGTGCTGTGGCAAAAGAATATCCAGACAGAAGAGAAACACATGGACTGACTTAATATTGTGTGTCCTGGGAGGGCCATGTAGGAGGCATTTATCAGCGTAACTTTAGTAAAACAACCTGTCTTAAAACCTGAGCTGCTGTGGATGCCTGAATGATTGTTTCTTTGCATTAAGTGCATAAATGCATCGAGACAAAGAGCGGTCTCCCTTGTACCATTTAGTCCTGGGAGAGGACAACTCAGTGGAATTGAGGTAGATGTAACTTCAGACCCAAGAGCAAGCCTGGTGCTCTTTGACAGTGCTGATGTGCAGTTGTACTGTGGGCTTGCAGCTCCCCACTTACTAAGTGGTTTCATGACTCTTGTGAATAAGTGCCACATACCAGGTGGTGGTGATTAATCCAGCAGCAGGAAGGCCTGCAGGATAGAAAAGGCTTGTAGGATATAAGGGCTGTTGCAGAGAGAATATGGGTGTGCATGTGTATGTGTGTGCACACATGTATGTGTACGTGTGTATGCATATAGTCTGTGCATGTATGTACATGTATGTGCGCTGTGTGTCCTGTGTATTTGTGTGTGCAAATACATCTATATGTGTACACGTATATAGTATGTGTATAGTCTGTAGTGTATGTGCGTGGGCATGTATATATGTGTGTAGTATATGTGCCAACTGTTTCTATGTGTGTGTCTGCATGCATGTATGTGTATGCTATGTAGTGTGTGCACATGTATGTATACAAGTGGATGTGCAGTGTATATGTGTCTAGTGTGTGCATGCATATGATCCTGTGTATGCTTTCGTATTCATGTGTGAGCATTTATGTGTGTGCATGTGTGTGTATGCGTATGTGTGCAGTATGTGTATGCACATGTATATCTCTGCTTATAAGTGTGTGTGCACATGTATATGTATGTGCGCATGTGCCATGTAGTATATATGTGTGAACATGTATGGTGTGTTCATATGTGTGCACATATGTATTTTTGTGTGTTGTGTGGTATGTGCATGTGTGTGGTCTGTGTGCATGAATGTGTACCTGTGTGTGTGTATTGTGTGTGCATAGTATGTGTGTTTATGTACATAGAGCCACACCTACACCCACTCAGCCCTTGGGGCTATCTTTCCTTCTCCCCCTGCAGAAAAGCGGCTTTCCCGGGGGATTTCCCACGCCAGCTCAGCCATCGTCTCCCTGGCCCGGTCCCACGTGGCAAGTGAATGCAACAACGAGCAGTTCCCCCTGGAGATGCCAATCTACACATTCCAGTTGCCAGACCTGAGCGTGTACAGCGAGGATTTCAGGAGCTTCATCGAGCGGGACTTGATCGAGCAGGCAACAATGGTGGCTTTGGAGCAGGCAGGTGAGTTGCCCCTGCCAGCAGGCCCACCCTCTTTAGGCTTGGTGAATGGTGAGCTGGCCTAACCTACTCTATGAGCAAGAGAAGGGCACATGTTCTCAGACTCTGGGCAGTTTTCAGTTAGGATTCTAGATGCTGCACCGCACCTCCTGCTCTACGGGCCGACAGTGTTCTAGCCAGCATGGGCTGGATGGAGGGGCCGATAACTAGGTGGTGCTGAAATCTCTCGAGTTTTCCCCTTGCTCCTAAATCCCAGTCCTCCTTTAAGGAGAACTCTATGCTTCTTTGCCTTGCTTCTCTCTTTCCCCAGACAACTCCTCCGTGGGTGTTGAATGAAAGATAGGAAAGACCATGGGCTTTAGAGAAAACGGGAGACCCGCCACTTCCTGTGGACTTGGGCAAGTCAGGTGATCTCTCTCAGCCTCAGTTTCTCCATCTGCAAAGATGAGGAGACTGCTGACCCGGCAACGCTTTGGGGTACTAAGTGACATGTGCTTTCCATAGCTGTCCATTCCCTGCCTGCGCAGCCTCTTCCAGCTTCCAGGTTAAGGAAGCACAAAACCTGACCTCAGTCTCCTTCCTTCTCCTTAGTGTTTCCTCACCACCCTAACATCCCAATGAAGAAAGCGTTCAAGAAGCAAGACAAACTCTCTTCTTTGGAATGTTTAAGGAGAAAATAATGAGTCCAAAACAAATGTCTAAAACAGATTTAGGTTCTTCCTGAGACAAAGCAATGCCAGTTTCACTCATAATCATTCACATTATAAACATTGCAAAATCACATATCTGGGGGTTTCTCAGGCACGCATGTGGAAGATGTTATGGCTGTCTCCTCAGGCCCACCACGCCCCTCCCAGTGGGAGCCCCGCCTGCCTGCACGGGCTGACAGTGCACATGGAGCATGTCCTCAGCCAGTGGGAAGCCCTGCTCCTGCTGGGGTGGGGAAGCATCGCCTTCCAGTGCTGACCCAGCCTTCAGCCAGCTCTTCATGTCCACTGTGGAGTGGAGCCTCCACTTCCAAGGCTTGGTCCGTGGAGACGTCCCCAGATGTGTCATCCCAGGAGTTTAGGGCTGCAGCCAGCAATGCACTGTTAGGGAGTAGAGCTTTTCTCGGTGCTCGGCGAAGACCCAATAAAATTACCAAGCACTTTCTAGAGTTCCAGAAGAAGACAGGAGAGAAGTACCTGTAGGTTGGTATGATTCTGATATTGGTGGATGGACCAATCAGGACCCTGGTAGGAAAGAAAAGGCAGCACAAAACTGTGAGATAAAGGACTCCATAAAGGGACTGCTTTCCAAGGAGTGGGCAGGATTTAAGGACACTAGTGAAGGATACTACCGTTCCTGGGACTACCCTCAGGCCTGGCAAAAAGACAAGGGATGAGAGTGGCTGATGGAGATAGCCACGGGCAGTAGGTGTGGCATCCGGGAGAGAGAAGATGCTGGGGAAATAAATACTCTGACCACACTCTTCCTCCACCATCCAGGTTCTGACCAGTGCCTCTTAATGGCAGAAGGGCAGATTGCGGGGAGCTCACTGATGTGGTCCACGCAGGTCACCCTCTGCATACAGAGCAGCATGGAGAAGGATAGACGGTAGATCTGTGGGGCCAATGGGAAACATCCAGAAAGTCAATGTGCCGGGAAGTTTTACCAGACCTGGCTTCTGTGTACACGTGTACACCTGCTTTCATGCCATTGCTTGTCATTGTTTGCCCAGGGCTGTCGTCATCCACCACTTTCAAGAGGGAAGGCACAAGATGCGTTTAGACAAAGGACGAGATGTGCCTAGTGGGGCTTATTTGTGTTGGGCAGGCTTGCAGTCAGGTCGTAGCCACAGGACTCATAGAAGCCTCACCAATGGCATGCTTGACATTAGAACAGGCTCTACATTCCCAACAGCTGGATCTCATGTTGTGACTGTGGAGAAATTCTCATCTCAGCTGCTTCGCAGCCATCAAGAGCAATCCAATGACTGGCACCCACAGCCTTGCTCTGTCTTACCTCAGCAAGACTCAACAAACATAAAACAATTCAGCTAGATTAGCAATAATCTAAACCACTCACTGTGGGGGCTGGCTATTTTAAAGACGCTTCTATATGACTAATTCAGATAAGATATTTTCAATAGAAAAAGCTCACTATTCATAGAGAAGCGGAAATTAGTATTTGTTAAGAAAGAAACAAGTTTCATGGGTTACTCTCTGTTGAATGCTACGGCGGTGTAGACCTTTATACAGCTCAGCACTGACGATTGCTAATAGCTTGGGTGATCATAGCAGCTGCCTGAGTGCTGTGTTTCGTGTGAAGCACAGTCTCATGCAAGGTTGTAGGTAGACCCCACCATGTTACCTTCTCCTTGAGCCCTACCATGCTTAGCAAAAGCCTTCACTTCTTTTGAACGTCTTTTCTGTTATTTTTTTCCATATTTTGCATTTTAATTTTTATCACTTATATTTTACCTTCCAGACTAGCATTTTAAGATGGGACTCTGGCTTCATCCAGTCTTGAAAAATACCTTTTAAAAACCCAAACTTAGTGAGTTAAGATGTTAAATTATGAATAGCTCATTGTTTATGTTGGGCACCACGAAGAGAACCAACTGGAAGCAGAGATCAGTGAAGGCAGGAAGCTCAGGCTCCCACCCAGTGGTGGAGAAGCCATCTGGTCTACACTCGCAGGAGGCCTTGAGGAAGTGGGTCTCACTCTTCAGGGAGTGGTCAAAGGTGCTTGTGGTGCAATTCGCGCCTGAAGATCAGGGATCTGCCTGGGACAGGAGTCCTAGTAGCCAACATGTCTTCCTCGTCCCTCACGCTGAAAAATAATAAAAGTGGCCAAACGCGATGGCTCACGCCTATAATCCTAGCACTTTGGGAGGCCAAGGCAGGAGAATCACTTGAGCTCAGAAGTCCGAGACCAGCTTGAGCAACATAGTAAGACCCCATCTCTACAAATAATAAACAAATTAGCCAAGCATGGTGGTGCACGCCTGTGGTCCCAGCTACTCAGGAGGCTGAGGTGGGAGAATTGCTTGAGTCCGGGCAGTCAGGGCTGCAGTGAGCCATGATCACACCACTGCACTCCAGCCTGGGTAACAAAACCCTGTCTCAAAAAAAAAAAAAAGAAAAAGAACAGAGGTACGCAGACAACTGTGTGTGTGCTCCCTCAGAGGAGTGAAGCAGTCTCTGGGCTGGGTGATAGCATGAACCTGACCCCTGCCCACCATCCATCTGACTCCTCCGAACTCCTTTCCTCTGCTCTCAAGCGAGGTCTTAGACTAGGTCATTTCTCAGTGCCCTGCTATGCTCAGACTCACGTGAAGACCCTCAGCCGGCCAGTGCTAAAGGGTCTCCCACAGCCCATCTGGGTGAGGAGTTTGGTCACTGGAAAGCACTGGCAGCTCCTGTACCTTCCACCCCACAGCCAGGCTCTGCTCCCGTGGCCCCCACTGTCACAGTCCACTTTTCCATCATGAAGTGGCCATCCAAGAAAGCTGCTCAGTATTGCTGGGTACAAAGGGTAAATGCCTCTTCCTAATAGCTTAGTGCTTAGAATCTTTATGAATAAACTATTTATATGCAATATTATTTTACTGAATACATGAGAGATTGAAATACAGATGTCAAAAAATTATTTAGTAAAAAAAAAATCCATTTGTTTAAGGGACAGTTCTAGCTGTGCTTGGCAGGAAACATTATTTCTGTCATAAGACTTTGGGTGGAGGACTTCCTTTTCCCTTGGACAGAACATGAACCCAGGGCTCAGGTGGTTCTGAAAACTGGCAAACAGTGGCCTTCACTCAGTTAACATTGCCCACCATCCAGCTGTCCATCCTGGGGCCTGATTCCACTCTCCTGGGGCCCTGCGTGGTATCTGCCTGGCCTCCCGAGCCACATAGGCAGCCCCGTCTATTTTTGAGGCCTCTGTGTCAAGTGGGGTGCCAGTCTGAACTCCCATAAAACCCACAGATCTGGGAGACTGGTCTTCCCCAAGTCTTCAAACCCTGGAAAACACAACCCACTCCCACCTCATGACAGTCTCAGGGCAACAGAAGGGCCGGATCATCTGGGCCTAAAACCAGCTGACCTCCTGAGAGGAAGGGAAACACCTTTCGTTCTTTAATGACTAGCCTGCCATTGAGAAGGCAAGAAACCACTCCTTTTGCCATCAGCTGATCCTGCTGCATTTACACAGGAGATGGCTCGGAGACCGGGGTCTCTGGGTTGGGAAGTATCATCTGCTGCCTGTGGCAGCAGCTAACCACCATGTGGGTGAGATGGTGTGGTTCTTCAGTGTGTCTGGGGGCAGAGGGCAGAGGCATTTTTGTGTAATGCAGGAGTCACTGCATACATGGGAGATGGAAACGCATGTTGAAAAATCTCTAGGCACACCTTTGAGTTGTGCTCCAGGGGAGGATAATTGGATTGAGGGGAATCTGCCAGAGAATGGTAAGTTACAGAGGAGGCTTGTGGGCTTCTGAGTCAGCCCGACCCTGGCTTGAGGCCCGGATTGGCAGGGGGAGCTTGGCCACGTCACTTGGCCGGCTGGAGCCTCACTTCCTTCCCTCTGAAAGTCAGAGATGTGTAACGGCGGCCAAATGGAGACAGATTGACCCAGTGTCAGCCTGTGTTGAATGCCCACGAAATGCCCCATCCAGGTCTGGGGCTACCTCCACACTCCAGGCAGATGAAACCCCTGCCCTCAGGGAGGTGAAATTCCAGTGGAAGAAAGCCGATGAACAAGGGGAGCATGAAAATGAAGTGGGGCCTCAGAGGCTACTCTGGGGAGGTTAGGAAGGAGAGGGAATCCCGGGATGCCGCTGGAGGGCAGGGAGGGAGGCAGCAACAGACACCTGCGGGCCTGGCTTTCCTGGCAGAGGGAGTCTAACATCAAAGTCTTGGCATATTTAAGGAAGCCAGTGTCACCTGAGCTGGTGGAGCGAGGGTGAGAGGATTTGGAAAGGAGGGCAGGAGAATGGGAGCCGGGCGCTAGGGAGCCTCGTCCTTTAGGCTTCACTGAAGGTAGATAAGCAGCCCCTGGAGGGTTTTGAGCCGGGGGCTGACGCGTCTTGATTCACATCTGACAGATTCTGGCTGCTGGAGAATGGACTATGGGGTGGTAAGAGAAGAAGCTGGAAGAGCAGGGAGAGGCAGTTGCTCCAGACCAGGGCAGAGAGAGACGGCTGGCAGGGTCGTGGGGGTGGTAGTGCAGGTGAGGGGCAGTAGAGAGACACGGCTATGGGGTACGTTTTGAAGGCAGACCTACAGGCCTTGATGATGGAGGGCTGGGGCTCTGGCAGGCAGGGAAGAGTCCAGCATGGCCCTAAGAATGTTACCCTGAATATGGGGGTAGATAATGTTGCCTGAGGAGATGCAGACCCCTGGAGGAAGGGCAAGAAGAAGAGGCCAGCACTGTCAGGCAAAGCCCGAGACTGTAGTGAGACTTGTAAAGTTGCTGCCCAGATGAACATGAGGGTCTGGAGTCAGAGAGAGCCCTGCGTTGGGGATGCAGATGTGGAGTTAGTGCCCTAAAGTGAAACCCGTGGGATCCCGGAGTGAGCTCCTCGTAGGACCCTCCCACCATGCCCCCAACCTGGCTCCATGCAGTGGTGAGCATGAGTTGGACACACTTGTCTGGAGCATGGACAGAAAACAAGCTTTCCAAAGACTCAGGCTGGGGCCCTACAGTATTGAGGGCTGAGGAACAGAAGAAGGAGCCAGCAGAAGAGACTGGGAATGTGCGGGCCTGGGAATCAGGGCGAACCAGCGGTGGATAGTGACCCTGACGCCCAGGGTGGAAGGTGTTTCAAGAAGGGAGCAATCAGTGGTGCCAAATATGCCAGTAAGTCAGTGTGCACTAGAAACTGACCGCTGGGTTTGACTGTGAGGGCAAGGTTCTCGGGAAGCCATGCTGCACTGTGCTTGATACAGAGAAAGGTCAGGAAGTGGCTTCCATTCCCCTTCTCCTTATAGCTCTCACCATCGGCTGCTGTGAGTCATCTCTTTCCTCCAGCTACTTTTACACTCCCTTGCCTTCCATCTCGTGAGGCTTCCATTGGCCTCCTAGCTACCTGGGACCATTCCTTGCTTCCAAAGGCAGCTCCTCCCATGGCCAGTTGCCAAGTTTGCCTTCCCATCCTTGCTGTGCTTTGGAGCTTCCTCCACCCATCAGTCAGGCAGAGTCGCGGCTGCGACTCTGGGCAAGCCTGGAAATACCACGTTCCTTTGTGGGCCAGGTGCAGCGTTGGGCAACCCTGGGCATAGGGCCTGGGCCAGAGTGTGGGAGAGACAGAGGCCAGGGTTCACATCTCCTCAGCGTAGTGGTCACAGTGTGGTTCCTGTGCAGCCCCCTGAGGGGGCGTCAGGCTCTCCTCTGTGACGTCGTGATGAAGCAGCCCACCTTGTGGGGCTGTTGTGAAGATGAACTGAGGTCGTGTGTGCACAGGGCTGGATGCATACTCAGCATCAAGTAAATGGCCTCCTCTACTAATTTTTTATTTTCATAGAGTGGTATTTCCTATTTTTCTTTCTTCACACTTTTTGCTATAAAGAATTTAAATTGTGACCAAATACTAAGTTATCTTCTCCAGCATTACAATTATTCATTAGTAAACATTGAGCACCTGTGGTGTCTCAAATCCTATTGTCATAGCCCATTTGCATTGCTTTAAAGGGATACCTGAGACCAGGTAATTTATAAAGAAAAGAGGCTTATTTGGCTCACAGTTCTGCAGGCTGTACAAGAAGCATGGGGCCAGCATCTGCTTCTGGTGAAGGCTTCAGGAAGCTTCCAGTCCTGGCAGAAGGGGAAGGGGAAGCAGATGTATCATATGATGTGAAGGGGAGCAAGAGAGGAGGTGCCAGACTCTTTTTAACAATCATCTCATGGGAACCAATAGAACAAGAACTCACTCATTACTGCGAGGATGGCACCCTGCCATTCATGACGAATCCACCCCCATGACCCAAACACCTCCCACCAGGCCCCCCTCAACATTGGGGATCACATTTCAACATAGATTTGGAGGGGACAAACATCTCAAACTATATCAACTACCAGGATTATTGGGGACAACCAAGATGAGGAACACAAGGCCCCTGCCCCAGAGGAGCAAAGGACATGAAGGCAATACCGCAGTCCCATGGCAGGAGCTCTCACAGAAGCACGTGCAAAGCACAGTGATGCCCAGAGAGGGGACATCCGAGGGCCCAGGTGGGGAGGGAGCACTCCAGTGATATTAAAAGGAGTTACAGTGTCACATTTAGGGCAAGAATCCCCTCATCTTTCTGATAGAGAATTGTCACGTTTTGTTTTCTTTCATCAAAATGTCGTGGGGTGATGAGCAAAAAGACATCTTATTTTAAAGTGTGTGGTAACCACCTGCTCCAAAGCTGAAGTTAATTGGTCCCATTATCACGGATGAATCAGAGGACTATTGCTCAGAAAAGTCAGAATAAGTGACTAATAGCTCCCCACGTGTGAAACCACCTGCCTCTCTCAATGGTGTTCACCTGTGATTTTCTTATTTGCAGAACCTCAAGTTTTCAAGCTATTCACAATGCCAGTGCCCGTGTCTTGTTCCTGTTCTGTGGTTATGTCATGGGGAGTTGGGAATGACCACTCTGTCAAAGCCAGGAATAGAAACATGAAACCATGAAACTTTGCATGTTCCCAATCGCACTCCTTGTATGGAGCACACCTTTATCTCGGGCACCACATTCTAGGTTCTGCTGGATGTTAGAATAGCACTGGGCCATGATGGGGTCTCCGGAGGCTGGAAAGTGCTGGCATTTACCATGGCTGGGCCATCTTTTCAGGGCGGTCACGTCTGATGTACAGCCCTAGGAGTGCTCTCAACTGAGTAAGAGTCTTAACTTCTAGAAGCTGGCTTACATCAAACCACTAAGCCTTGCCCTCCATCCACACAGCTGCTCTAGCAGGCTGCATCCTGCCTACCTGCCCTCTCCCAGGTGTGCACAGTCTCAACAGCCTGGGCCACACTGTTATCTGCACAGGTTACAGGAGCTGTCTGCTTGCCCTTGAGCATTCAGGTGTTTCTCTGTGCATAGCTCCCGTTAGCAGCATGCACTTCAGGGACACGAGTAAACCTCCCAGACACCTGCTGAACACTCCCGGGATACGCCTCCCAGGATACACATGTGAAATGAATGGACAGAATTCCTATTTAAATATCCTTGGGCTAAAGGACGCTGTATGCATTTCTATTTCTGCCTAACAAATTACCACACATTTGGCAGCTTAAAACAGCACAAGTGTATCATCCCACAGCTTCCGGGGGCCAGCCGTCTGCTGTGCTTTAGCTGGGTCTGAGACTCTGCTCATAGTCTCTCAAGGCTGAAATTAAGGTGTCCCCTGGCTGTGTGCTCATCTAGGGGCAGATCCATAAGTTCCCTGCGGTTGGCAGAATTTAGTTCCTTGCAGCTGAATGACTGAGGTTCCATTTTCTTGCTAACTGTTGGTGCCTAGAGAGTACCCAAGAGACTCAGGAGTGATGCAGGTTCACTGTGCGCTGCTTCCTTGCCAAGTCTCATGCATGTGTACAGGTTGCACAAAGCAGGTGTCTTACAGACAGGCAGTGAGGGACAATAGCAGCCTAGGGTTCAGGGTAAGACAGTCACACAAGAGTTAGGACAGTGCCCAGGGTGCATGCTGTCTTGTGCTGCAGCTGAGGGACCCCAGAAAGCAGCCTGCTGTGGGTTTGATACCTGGGGGATACAGTCATTATTGGGCTAAAACATTGAAATACATCCTGTTCTCGGAGGGACCAGAACAGAGTCCAGACTGGTCCAGCTAGTTTCCCGTGATCTCAGGATACTGCATTCCCAGCACATTCTTTTTTTTTTTTTTTTCCTGGAGACAGGGTCTCCCTCTGTTGCCCAGGCTGGAGTGCAGTGGCACGATCTCGGCTCAGTGCAACCTCCACCTTCTGGGTTCAAGCGATTCTCCTGCCTCAGCCTCCCAAGTAGCCAGAACTACAGGTGCCCACCACCAAACCCAGCTAATTTTTGTATTTTAGTAGAGTATTTTGTATGTAGTAGCATGTTGCCTACAGTAATGCTTGAGAACTACAGGAAAGGGGAAAGAACGGGGTCAGTCCAAAGCCATCCAGGACCCCACACCACATCCTTGCCGTCTAGCTCTCTTCTTATGGCATGGCAGTGAAGTTGTTTACTGCTTTGGGTTGTTTACTGTTTGGCATGGCAGTTGTTTACTGCTTCAAGACCAGCCAGAGAATCTCTCCTCTCTCCCCCTTTCCCTCTTCCCTCTTCCGTATTCCCTTTATATTCTACCATCTGCCCTTTCTCTGTAAATCTCTCTGACTTTCCTTTTCTCTGACCACTAAACCCTCTTTTGGTCCTCAGATTAGGTCAGGCCAACCCAGGATAATCTCCCTTTTGATCAACTCAGAGTCAGTGAATAGTAAAGTAATTACATCTGCAAAATCCCCTCACTTTACCCCATATTATAACCTAATCACAGGAGTGACATCCCGTCGGAGTCACAGGTTCCACCTACACCCAAGGGAAAGGGATGACACAGGAGTACACCCCAGGAGGTGGGAATCTGAGGACCACTTTAGAATTCTGCCTGCCACAGATACAGTGTCATTACTTGCAGTATGATAATTCTTCTATGCTAAAAGATCCAGAATGAGAGATTAAATCATACTGAATATGTTGTGGTCAGGGGAATTTTTTTGATTTCCTGATGTGCCACTTTTAACCATTTCACTTGGATTGGTATGTTACAGCACACTGTGCCTAGAGGCAGGCATGCATTTGGACTGAATTCTACTTTTTTTTTTTTTTTTTTTTTTGAGACAAGGCCTCGCTCTGTCTCCCAGGCTGGAGTGCAGTGGCACGATGTCAGCTCACTCCAGCCTGTGTCTCCCGGGTTCAAGCGATTCTCCTGCCTTAGCCTCCCAAGTAGCTGGAATTATAGGCATGCACCACCATACCTGGCTAATTTTTATATTTTTGGTAGAGATGGGGTTTTGCCATGTTGGTCAGTCTGGTCTTGAACCCCTGGCCTCAAGTGATCCACCCACCTCAGCCTCCCAAAGTGCTGGGATTATAGGCATGAGCCACTGTGTCCAGCCAGAATTCTACTCTTGATGGCTTCAAATTTCAAACAGCTTGTCTCTGAGCCCTCCAAAGATATCATACCCTTTGATTGGGCTCTTTTGACAATCAGAACCATGGATGTGGTCATCTGGGATAGGATGGGGTGGGCACTATGGCAACTATGCTTTTGATAATAGCAGCCTTCACGTATTGGGGATCTCCTATGTGCTAGGTGTATTATACGCCATTTTAATTATGTCCAGATCTCACATCGGCTGCATGCAATTGCCAAGATGCTCTTCATTTTACAGAACAGGCAGAAGAGACTTGGGGAAGCCGAAGGGTTTGCCCATGGCTGCCTGGCTGTGAAATGTCCTCATCCTGCCCATGCCACGAGACCTCCTCAGTTCAGCTCAGAGCGTTGGGAACTGTCATCCTTTCCCTCAGGATACTTTCTGCCACGTGACCCATTCCAAATATGAATTGCATGATTTATTGGATTTTCTTAAAAGAATAAATCACCAATACCAGAGAAAATCTCCAAAGGAACACTCTTTGAGAGGCCAAGTAGAAAGCCAGCAGCCGAGTTACACAATTCTAGAGGGACACGTTGCTGAGGGCACCGCGCAGGAACATCTGACAGAGGCAAAGTGAAGGGGGGTGGCCCAGGGCGCCCACAGATGATGGGGGTGGCCCGGGAGGCCCACAAATCACGGCAGTCCCCAAGCTTTACATTTAACACTCCTCACACAGAGTGACTGATCCCCAAGTCCTGTCAGGAAGAAAATCAAATGAAGTTATCAAATTTTTAGGAGTATAGTACGTACAGAAGAACAGTTCACAAGCCCAGGAGACTTCAGACCAAGCGTGGCAAGAAGCCTACCTTGCGGCAGTTCCAGCACAGCTGAGAAAGCGTAAAGGAGGAAGCATTTTGACCATTTTTGTGACTGACTGTTACACATTAACCTTCTTTTTAGGGCAAACAGAGTTAGTTTAAGCTGATTTGTCTACAGCTGGTTCACTGAATCATGTGGACTAGCCAATGTTTTGTGTTTTGTTTATGATTAGAGCTAATATCTCGGGGAAATCAGGATGACTTAAGTTTTGGCTACATGGTTATAGGTGGTTGGCCTTGGGGTGTGTCTGAACTGGGGCCTCTATTTTTCTTTAACAGTCCTGTAAAATGCAGGGATACATAATGTTACTGATGAGCTATTACCCACCAAGACTGAAGTTTGGAAGCAAGTCATGTGATGAATCTGCTGTAACAGAGCTCGTAAGATCAAAAAATATTCATTAAGTCACTATTGCATTGTCATTATGTTCTCACTTTTATTTTTGTGAGGAAGAAATAGAAATCTGTTTGTTAATCTAGGTATTGGAAATGAAAAGCATGTGTTCAGGTGGGAGTTAAGGAAGGGTTAGAAAATAGAACCTTTAGATGTCTTAAGAAGTGGTAAAATAAAACTGGCAGTGTATCAGATCCATGAGAAGCCAGCCTGTTCAACAATTCTGGGTAAAAATAAGAAACATGTGATGTTAAAGCATATATTAATGACAATATGTAGTCACAGTTTTATGTTGTAGCCTTGTTTATAGACTCAGTCAGCATCTAAGGTACCCCTTAAATATTTCAGACATACTCTTTTGCATTTTATGGAAAAAATAAAATGAGGTGAAAATATTTGCAAATTGGGGTTTTCTGAAGACATTCCATCCAGCAGATTCACCACCTGAATCCTTTCTTTGCCTTCAAAATGTCATCTCAGGTTCAAGCAGCTTCCAGCTGTCTTTTCTCTTAGAGTCATCTCTGGAGCTAGACCCATTACCCTTTCATTGTTTTAATTCCTTATTGAAATGTACATGTGGGAAAGTGTGCAAATCATAAGTGTAGAACAGATCACATCCTATAACAAGGACTCAGACAAGAAACTCACATCAAGAAAAGTGACTTCTTATAGCATAGGTTTATTTTGCCTCTTTTTGAGCTTTATATAAATGGAATCATGAATGGGTTAAGTTCTGGATTCTTCTGCTTATCATTAAGCTTATGCAATTCATTCATAGAGTTGTGTAATTACCATATAGCTTATTTATTCTCATTGGTGTATTGCACTGCAATGTATATACATGTATTACAAATAACTTCTCCATTATGTTATTGATGGATTTTTTGGTGTCTTAGCTCAGGCTAACATAACAAAATACCATAGACCAAGTGATTTAAATGACAGAAATTTATTTTCTCACAGTTCTAGAGGCTAGAAGTCCCAGATCAAGGTGCTGGCCAATTCAGTTCCTGGTGAGGATTCTCTTTCTATCTTGTAAACGGCTGCCTTCTCACTGTATTCTCACATGGTCTTTCTTCAGTGCATGCCTTGGGGTGGGGGACAGTTTGAGAGTTGAAGCTCTCTAGAGTCTTTTATACAAACACTAATTCTGGGAGATCAGGGCCCCACCCTTATAACCTCATTTAATGAATTTAAATTACTTCCTTGAAGTCTTCGTCTTCATATATAGCCACACTGGTGATTAAGATTTCAATATGTGAATTTGGAGGGGACACATTCAGTCCATAACAAGCTGTTGCAACTTTGTCATTATTATAATAAAAGTGGGGTGCTATGAACATTCTTGTACAGGTTTCTGGTAAGCCATGAACACATTTCTAAAGATATATACAGTCATCCCTCAGTATCCATAGGGAATTTGTTCCAGGACCCTCCAGATACTGAAATTCTCAGATGTTCGAGTTCCTTGTAGAAAATGGTGTGCTATTTGCATATAACCTACTCACATTTTCCCATATATTTTAAATCATCTCTAGATTACCTGTAATACCTAACACAATGCCTACATCATTTCATCCATGTGGATTTGACATACTATTTGGCACACAGCAAATTCAAGATTTACTCTTTGGAACTTTATGGAATTTTTTTTTCTGGATTATTTCTATCAGCAGTTGGTTGAATTCGCAGATTCAGAACCCACAGATAACAGAGGGTCAATTGTACTTAGGAGTGATATTGCTGGATCATAGGATTTACATATGTTCAGCATTATAACAGTTGTCCAAATAGTTTTCCAGAGTGGATGTACCAGTTGCTCTTCCTCTGTTGAGAGTTCTGGTTGCTCCATGTTTTTTGTCTTTTTGTTTTAGTTACTGTGTTGGAAGTGTAGGAGTATCCACACAGTGGTTTTAATTTTTATTTTCTGATGACTAGTAAAATTAGGTACTTTTCATGTTATTGGCCATTTGCATATCCTCTTTTGTTGGGTGCCTTTTCAGGTTTTTTACCCATTTTTAAGATTGCCTTTTTGATTGACTTGTGGGAATTATTTATACATTCTAGATATGGGACCTTTGTCAGGTGTGTATTGCCAATATCTTCACCCACCCTACTGGTTCCCTTTTCACTCACTGACTGATACACTTTGATGAACAGAAGATCATGACTAAAATAGTTCAACTTACCTTTTTTTTCCCCTTACTTGAGAGCCTCTATTTCAGCTTAAGAAACCTTTGCCTACCCCAAGGTCCTGAAAATATTCTCCTGCCTTTCATACTTAAATCTATAATCCACCTAAAAGTGATTTTCATAAATGATGTGCTATGTAATGAAAGTCCATTTTCCCATATATTCATCAACCTGACATGGTACCATTTATTGAAATCATCTTTTCTTTATTATGCTGCAGTGTAACCTTGAGATACAGCAGGTGACTGTGTAGGTGTGGGTCTGATTCTGGGTCTGTTCTGTTCCATCAACAATTTTGATGTTATTCTTCTTTATCATTAAGTTTAAATCATTTTAAATACTTATTATAATTTTTCCTTTGACTCATAAATTACTTAGAAATATGTTGCTTAATCACTGTGGGGATATTTCTAGGAGTTTTTTTTTCTAGCTTAATTCTTCTGTGGTCAAAGAATGTATAATGAATGAATTCAGACATTTTAAATTTGTTGAGACTTGCTTTATGACCCAGCATATAATTAAGCTTAATAAATATTCTATGTGCACTTGAAAAAAATTTGAATTCTGTCCTTCTTAGGTATAGTACTTTTTATATATGTTAATTATATCAAGTTTGTTAATTTTGTCGCTCAGATCTTTTCTATTCTTCACTAAGTTTTTGTCCACTTATTCTACCAGCTATTGAACAGGGTGTGTTAAGATCTCCTACTATGATTGTGTTTCTCTGTTTCTTCCTTAGTTATCTTTTGCTTTATATATTTTGAAACTGTGTTAGTGGATGCATAGACACTTAGAATTATTACACCATCCTGGTGTAATAACAAAACTAAAGTTTTGTTAGATGCAGCCCTGATGGCAGTGAAGTCTCAGGTTTTCATTTGTCTGAAAATGGCATTATTTTACTTTCATATTTAACAGCTAGTTGTAGGCTTTACAGACCATGTAAGTTCTCTATCACATATTCATTCTCTCTTTCTCTTTCCCTTCCCTCTATACCTCTTATAGACCAAAGTTTACTGACTCCTGATCTATATTATTTTCTCCCTCTACTTTGGATTTAATCACTGTTCCTTTGTAACTTTTTAACATGGATGATTAATTCATTAATTCCTAGCCTTTCTTTTTAACTCTTGCAAGTATTTAAGGTTATTAATTTTTTTCTCCATACTATTTTAGCTATATCCCCAAAATTTTGGAATGTAATATTTTTGTTATTACATGGTTTCAAAATATTTTCTGATTTTCATTTTGGTTTATTATTTGACCCATGAATTATTGTAAGTGCTTCTTTGTTTGCAAGTATGTAAAAACTACTAAATATTTTTAGTTATTTTTATTATAGATTTCTTACTTCCATTGTGGACAAAAAGCATTGTCTGTATGATTTGAAATCTCTTGAGAACTTTGCTTCACGATTCAGAATATGATCAGTTTTTTTAAAATCATTCCATGTGTGCTTGAAAATAATGTTTAGTCTTCTGTTTTGGCTGCATTGTATTTGTCCATTTGGTCATTTATTATGTTTTTCACATCTTCTGTACATTTATTGGTTTATTTTTTACTTTTTCTCTCAATTACCGATAGAGATGTGTTAAAATCTTTCATCATGATTGAGTACTTGTCTATATCTCCTTTTATTCCTATGGATTTTTAATCCTGCATAAATATAATGCTATGTTATTGAATACAGCAATTAAACTGATTTCTTCCTCATGAATTGAGCAGTTGAACAGTGTAGAGGGTGCTTATTAAATTCTACTAATGCTTTTTGCCTTTTGATTTATTTTATCTGCTATTGATTCAGCTATGTTAGCTTTCCGTAAGTTAAAACATTCCTGATGTACCATTTGCCACCTTTCATACCTTTACCTATAGCACTTTTGTATTCCTCTGTTTTAGATTTATCTCTTGCAAGCTGCATGTAGTTAATTTATTCATAAAATCAGTTTCACAGCCTTTGTCTTTTAACAGGTGCATTTATTTTTAATGCAATTGCCATTTTCCCCCATTCAATGTGGTGTTTATTCTCTCCTTACACATCTTCTTTTAAATCAATTAAATATTGTTTAATCATGTCTTTTTAAAAATTCTACAAGTTTTGAAGTTATACCCTCTCTTTCCATTATTAAGAGTTTACCCCTAAAATATGCGTATGAATCACATCTCAAATTAATTAACATCTTAACCTACTTTACACCCAGGCAAGACAGGGACTTTGGAGTAGTTTAGTTTTATTCATCCTTATTCTCTCCTGTTTTGTAAGTTGTTGTCATTTATTTTAGTTGTATACTTTTAATCTCATCAGACATTAGTGTTTTATATAGTCAACATTCATTTTGATTTACCCATATGCTTACCTTTTTTGTTTCTCCTCATTTCTTCTTGCATGTCAGATCTTCCTTCTGTTTGAAGTTCATCCTTTACAGTTTCTTTAGGTGAGTGCTAATTTTACTCTCTCAGTTTTTGTTAGTCTTAAAATGTCTTTGTTTTGCCCTCATTTTTTGAAAACACTTTTCATGGGTCTAGTATTATAGATTGCCAGTTATTTTCATTCAGCACATTGAAGATTTTTTTTTTTTTGGCTTCTTCTTTCCATTGTTCCTTTGAAGAGGTAGGCTGTCAGTCTATCACTCCTTTGAAGATAATCTGGTTTTTTTCTTTCTCTAGGTGCTTTAACATCTTTTCTCCCTGTCTTTTATATTGTGCAGTTTCACTAGGATATGTTAAGGAAGACATTAATTTTATTGTTCTTAGAATGTCTTAGACTTTTAAAATCTGTGAGTTTATTTTTACATATTTTGGAAAATCCTCAGTCAGTATTCAATATTGCCTGATTCATGCCTTTCTGAATTTTGATTGGACAATGTTAGATCTTTTCAGTCTATTCTTATGTCTCATAAACTCTCTTGCATCTTTTCTCTTTCCCTCTTTGTTGCTTCTTACTTATCTTCAAATGTATTAACTTTTTCCTTCAACAGTGTCCAACCTGATATTAAACTGATTCTTACTTTTTTACTTTAATTTTTATATCTTTCATTTTAAGTTCTATATGTGTTTTCCAAATCTGCCTCTTATTCTTTGGTCATATTTTGTTTAATTCTTTTGTGTATTTTAAACATTTTTAACATGCTTGTTTACAGTCTCTAATCATTTTTAACCTCAAGTTTATAGGTATCTATAAACTGCTGATTTTGTGTGTATGACTCTTACTCACAGTGGCTTGTTTTCTGTTGTGTTTGTAGTTTTGGGTTGTGAGCAGGATGTTATATGTGGGACTCTTGTGTGGCCTGTGTTGAGAGTGTACTCCTCTTAGAGAGATTGTTTTTGTTTGTTTGTTTGTACCAGTTTCCCAAGAGGAATTACCTTTGGTACTTAGAACCAATTTTAGGTTAATTTCTTGGCTTACTGGTTCCAAGCCACAAATCAATTTAGGTCAAGTCTTCATGACAGTCAACATTTCCGGGGAAGTTTTTATTTTCCTCTGCTAAGCCTAGGCTAAAAGAGACAAATTTTCTTCCCAACTGCCTTTGCCAGAGCAAAATTATTTCTAATCTTTGCATTCAGGATATAGTTTTTGAGGATCCTAACTCTATATGGAAGGAAAAGGCCATCCCCAGTCCCAATTCCCCACATTTCAGGGTCTCCAGCCTTTTTTCGAGTTCTTATGAAGTGATTAAACAGTTAAATGTCTTCACTCGTTGGCAGTTGCTGGTTTGGTGCATACTAATTTCCATCCCATATTTATTTCCGGTTGTTGGAGATTTACTACACTTTCTTTCAAGCTTGGATATACATTTGAAAGGATTATTGAAAATAAGTATTTTTATTTTCTGACCTCTTTTCCTCTTTAAATCTGTGCCCTCCTGCTCATCTTAGGGAGAGGGATTTCTCTTTTCAAACGACCAGAGACAAAGCCTTCAGCCCCTACTTTATCTGCAGTGCTACACGCATTCACACAAGATCTTATTTTAAATTATTTTTTGCTAAGTATTACAGAGAAATCAGGAATAAATAAGCATAGAGTAACTAACAAAAGTAAAAATCAATGAGGGTTTGTAGGGATATAAGAAATCTTTTCATTGGTTTTTAAAAGTTGCTTTCTTTGGTTCATTAGGCTTAACACCTAAAGGCCAGGTCTTTCCTTACATTCCTCACATGGTTCCTTTTCCCGAAGATCTACTCAACTTTTTTCTTTAAATCTTTTTTATCCTAATACTACAATCTAACCAATGAATGTAGGCAAAAAAAAATTTAACATGCTGTATTTAGATGTCTACCCAATTCAAGAGTGTAATTTGCATTTCTGAGAACCTCTGGACAGTGCTTCTCAAGCAATCTGTGTTGAAGGACAACTCTTTTCTTTAGATTTCCAATTCACTGTCTCCCTATGCTTCTATAAAATTTAATAAAAATATTACAGCAAAGCGCATTGCTATAAAAGCTCCTAAACACTTCCTCCCATTTTCTGTACTTGCCTCATTGTGCACCAGCTGACCTCCCTTTAAGCAGCACCAGGCACTCTGTGTGCAAAAGCTTCCCTTTATTTGCAGTTCATAGTCTTTCTTGCATGAATGTCAGAGCAGTTGTGCTTACTCTAAAAAGGACTTTGGTGTATAAAGGTACCTTTTAAGCCAAAGCATTTTGGTTCACTCATTCATTCATTCATTAGTATATGCATAAATATACTCCTTTATTTAACTCAGGATTTTGGACCTGTATATGCATAATACATATATGGGGCTTTCTATATGCCACGCCCTATCTTAAGTACTTTCCCAATATTAAATAATATAATGTTCATAAAAACTCTGTTAGATCAGGACTATTATTATCTCCATTTTTAAGAATTGAACACTGAAACAGAGTGGTTAAGTAAGTTGCCCAACACCACACTGCTAAGAAATAGTGGAACTGAGATTTGAACCCAGGAAGTCTAACTCCAGCTTCTGTGCCTAACCAGTCTACTGGCTGCCTCTCTGATGACTACCTTAGACACTCTAGTCCAGATTCTGCAAGGGTAGGTGTTCCAAAGCCCACTATTTCATCCTCATTTTCAACTTGAATCAGTTGGTCTTTATTGCACAGACCTCTGAATTGAAAAGGGAAATCAGGTCTTTCACCTCCTTTGTGGGAAGAGTGATGATTCGTTAGCGTGTCTGCCATGGAAAGTGTGGTGATTTTTCAATGCTGCTTGCTATGGTGTAGAGGGGATTGACAGAAGACACTTCAGAGAAGTCACCTATTAGCTTCAGGGCTCTGTGCCTTCAAAAAAATTGAAAATTATAACCAAACTAAAAATTTCAACTCAATCTATTGAAACAGCGGAAAAATTTAGTCAAACTAGCATTAGTTTGCATTAGTTAGATTCGCCCAAAATATTTTTAACTGAATTCAACCCATTTTTAAAACTTAATCGAGACAAATGAGTTAATTTACATAGAAATTGTCTTTGGCACCAGAACAGAATGTCTCCATTGTAAGACTATAGAGTAAACCCACATGCCATTTCCTTCGTCTTGAACATCTTCACATCTACAGGAAAATTGGAAGATGAGTATTTATATATCTTGCACCAAAAATCACCAGTTTTCGGGACTTTGTCACATTTGCTTTATTTCTCTTTATGTGTATGGAAGTACATACACTTTTTCTGAATCATTTGAATGTGTATTGTGGATACTTCACTTCTTCTGAAAATAAAGACATTCTCCTATATGACTTAACAGCATTAGAAAATTAGCACTAACTTAGTAATGTCAACTAGTAGAGCCCATACTCAGATTTTCCCAATTGGCCCCAAAGTCATTTTTGTAATTTATTTTCATTCCAAAAAACCCAACTTTATGCGTTACATTTGGTTGTTATGGCTCTTTATGCACTTTTTGAAAAACATTCTCTCTTCTTTTGTTTTTCATGAAAATGGATATTTTAAGATTCCCAGCCAGTTCACGTACAATGGTCATATCTCATTGTTGAATGCTCCAGTGGGGTTAATTCCTCACCCTTCTCCCAAGTGTAGACCTCGGGGTCATATGACCCTGGGTTACTCTCCTTATATCTGTAATAAAGGCTGGAACAAGCAGAGGCCCTGCTGATCTGCACAGTCTGTAGGGATAGGAAGGGGAAAGTCCTGCTATGCCTAGACACTGGCAGTGAGCCAGGTTGGGGAGAGAGAAAGCTCAAGGGAAAGGAATTGGGGTGTGGGGAGGAAGGAATATGGGAGGAATGGGATAACATGGATTTGAGGCACTTGCTCATTATATGGACCCATTGGATAGCCACTCCCCACCTAGGAATAACAAGTCAGAAGTCTTAAAGAAGAATCCTCAGTCTCTACTGCAGGGGAGAGGCCAAGCCAGCGCCTCCCCAGAACCGGTGGCAGAGGAATAAACATTGTGTACAGCACACATTCGTCAGCATTTAATAGTATCATTTATCTGAAGATTTGAATATATAATGTATTTTTAAATACTGTCTTCATGTGATATAATGAAAAAAATTGCCAAATTCATGTTGGTGTTACAGCGAGGGAGGAAGGAATGAGAGTGAAATGGGGGAGGCAAATAGAGGGAACTTCAGCTTGATCTTTACTCGTTTTTCTTTTCTTTTATGTTGAAAGGAACCTGCTGGTGCAAATATGGCAGAGGGGTGACATTCATTTGGTTTTGGGTGATGGGTGTGTTTCTTTTGGCACTTTACAAAATTTGAGCTCCAGTTTTGCTCGTTACTCAGTAATACGGCTTTTGAAATCATATAGGTCAGAGAAGTTAAAATTGGCTTGCCACAAACTCAACCATAACAAACAAAATTAGACTGGCCTTTTTTGTGATCTGATTTTGTCCTGGATGTGTGAGGGCTCCTGTTAAGGTTCAGCGGATCGTGGGCAAGTTTACTTACTCCCTGTGAGCCTCAGTTTCCTTCTCTGTAAAATGGGAATAACATCCCCTGACACAGAGCTGGTTGATTTATTGAAGGTCCTGCAGTGTGCAGGAGAACACACTAACCCAGCCAGCAGGAGCTTAAACTGTGAGGTCATCATTATCCCACACAACTCAGAGTCTGAAAACAGGGATGTTCATGGCAGGGCTGGCAGCTGCACAGTGTTATGGAGGACCCAGGCACACACAGCACCCTGCTCTTCTCTCCCCAGCGGGTCAGTGCTAGCTCCAGCTGGGGATGCAGTGTAGCTGTGGCCGCATCAGGCCACACATCCTCACACTGCATCATTCAGGGCAGCAAGAGAGAGCCCCTGATTGTGGCCCTTGTGAAGGAGGAGCAAGCCCCAGCAGGTCTCCTGTTACATCTTGTGAGCCAGGCGACAGCAGTCCATGGCAAGGGGAGTGGAATTGCACAGATCGTCTTGGACGTATGAACATTTGCACGTTGCCCCATTGGGCAGGCAAGGAGGCTTGCCTGAAAAGCCCCAGACACAAGCAGGGCGATGTCAGCAAGGATGGGAGGGAAACGCTGTGGGGCGGGCAAGACAACGAGGTCTGCCGCAGAAATGCAGACCACCTGCCTCATTAGCATATTCCCTGTCCCTCCTCTCCCTGATTGTCTACTCATGTTCCCTATACTCCCTGATGGTTGCCCAGAGCACTAGCAGCTGAGATCAATGCAGAGGATGAACAAGGCTGCCCACTTTGGTGTCAAATGTGTCGGATTTCCAGGTGTTACAGCCATTTTGTTGAGTTTTATGCCTTTGTAAGCAAAGATCCTGCCATTTTATTTTACTCTGTGGCAACCCAGTTTTACTGTATCCCAGCCTGGTTGTTATAAACACTTTTTAAAAGTCAAGTGAGACAGGTTGCTATTTCACAGCCTAGAGACAAAGAAGTGACTAAGTAACTGCGTGTTTTTTCCAATGACGTCCACAACGGTCCATCCAGTGGTAGTGTCAGTTAAAGCCCTTACTTGCATTTCTCATTTAGCTTTAATAAGGTGACTTGTAGGTGGTAAGAATATACCAATTTGTTAGTGTAAGCATTAACATCTTCATATAATAAATAGATGTTCGTCTACTTAACTTTGTAGTGTTAATTTTAATACATGCTTTTATTTAGAATTAAGGGCGCAGTTATTTTTTATCAGTAATGCCACTTATTACAATGGAATCACTGAATCTTAACCAAAAAGCGCTGAAGAGTGGATAAGGATTCAGTTTAAACAAAGAACCAAGAAGTTTTTTTATATTAAACTTTGTTAATATGGCAACACATTAGGCAATAACTGTCTGACTCTAAAATAAATATACTCCTGAGGGCCTTAATTTTCAAGCTTACTCGCAGTCTTTATCCTTCATATTTCATTATTTCTATTCTGATAGAAACAACACCTTTTATTAAAATTAGATTTTTTTATTTGTACAAATTTATGGGGTATATCTGAAATTTCGTTACATGTATATAATGTGTAGTGATTGAGTCAGAGTGTTCATCACCCGAGTACAATACATTTTTGTTAAGTAGAATCACCCTATTCTGCTATCCAACATTGAATGTATTCCATCTTACTGTATGTGTGTACCCTTTAACCCACTTCTCTTCATCGTCCCTCACCACTCACCCTTCCCAGTCTCTGGTATCTGTCTTTGCACTCTCTACCTCTATGTGATCACATTTCTAACTCCCACATATAATTCAGAACATACAATATTTGTGTTTTTGTGCATGATTTATTTCACTTAGGATAATGACCTCCAGTTTCATCCATGTTGCTGCAAATGAATGACATCATTCTTGTTAATAGCTGAATAGTATTCTCCTGTGTATTTACACGTTTTCTTTAGCCATTGACAGATGGAATGTAGAAATGTAAAACATGTTCTGCTTCTTCAGTTGTTCAAATCCTATTAATATTTCTCTCTTTTTTAAAGAATTTTTGATTAAAATGCTTTTATAATTTCTTGGAAATATCTATTATAAACATTCTCATTTGATTGAAGTTCCCAAAGTGTTGAAGGCCCTAGGGAGGTGCATGTTATATTTCATCCTCCAAATAAAAACATATATATGTCACTAGAAGTTTCACATAACATTAGAAGCTTGATACAACCACTCATAAGCTTGAAGCAATTTTTAAACAATTTTAGTATTATCCAAGAAGTGACATGTAAGATGACATTTGTGTCACCTGCCTAACATGTAAATGAGCCAGGCTATTTATCCTTTCCATAGACACATTCTTTTGAAAAGCAGCCATGAGTGCAGATGCACCTGTCATCAGGTAGGATAGAGTCTCCTGTAGCCATCAGCCTGGAGATTACCTTTGCCTCGCTTCTGTGCTATTCACCCATTTCCCTCCTGTTTCCTGTATTTCTCTGGTTTTGGTTTCCACCCTCATTTTGTGGAGTACATCCTCCTGAAGCTTCCTGAGAAAGAGTGAATGAAGATGTCTTGACATGAGTTCACTAGAAAACAGAACCCGGCCAGGCGCGGTGGCTCACACCTGTAATCCCAGCACTTTGGGAGACTGAGGTGGGCGGATCACGAGGTCAGGAGATTGAGACCATCCTGGCTAACACGGTGAAACCCCGTCTCTACTAAAAAAAAATACAAAAAATTAGCCAGGCGTGGTGGTGGGCACCTGTAGTCCCAGCTACTCGGGAGGCTGAAGCAGGAGAATGGCATGAACCCAGGAGGTGGAGGTTGCAGTGAGCCAAGATCGCGCCACTGCACTCCAGCGTGGGTGACAGAGCGAGACTCTGTCTCAAAAAAAAAAAACAAAAAAACAAAAACAGAACCCAAGGTAACTCCCAATGGCTATTTATTTCAGAGACACAGTCCCAGATGTGTTAGCAACTAGTTTTATTGAGAAATAAGGCTGCTCTGAATTTCTTATATGAGTCTTATGTTTTCATTTCTCTTGGGTAAATAAATATCCACGAGTGGAATTGCTGGGTCATATGGTAAAGGTAGGTAATAGTCCATTTCACACTGCCATAAAGATACTACCTCAGACTGGGTAATTTATAAACAAAAGGGGTTTAATTGACTCACAGTTCAGCATGACTGGGGAGGCTTCAGGAAACTTACAATCATGGCAGAAGGGGAAGGGGAAGTAGGCACCTTCTTCCCAAGGTGGCAGGAGAGAGACAGCACAGGGAAAACTGCCACTTTTAAAACCATCAGATCTCATGAGAACTCACTCACTATCATGAGAACAGCATGGGGGAAACCGCCTCCATGATCTAATCACCTACCACCAGGTCCTTCCCTTGACACCTGGGCATTACAATTCAAGATGAGATTTGGGTGAGGACACAGAGCCAAACCGATATCAGAGTATGTTGAACTGTATTAGAAATTGCCAAAAGTTTTTCTAAAATAATTGTGCCTTTTTACAATCCCAACAGCAAAGTATGAAAACTCCAGTTGCTCCATGGCCCCTTAGACATCTGTGCTAGTATGCAAAATACAATTGACTCTTGAACAGCACAGGTTTGAACTGCACAGGTCCACTTCCACTTATATGTGGATTTTTTTCAACCAAGTGAGGATCAAAATTACAGTATTCACAGGATGCAAAATCCATGTATATGGAGGGCCAACTTCTTAGACATACAGGTTCCACAGAGCCAACTATCAGACTTCAGTATACACAGATTTGGGTGTATGTCGGCGGGGTCCCAGAACCAATCCTGTGCAGATACTTGGGGATGACTGTACCATTGATTTGTGTATATTGATCTTGTATCCTGTGACCTTAAAAAATTGCTTATTAGTTATGGTTTTTTGTAGCTTCCTTATGATTTTCTGTGTGAACTATCATGTTCTCTGCTAAGAAGAATAGTGTTATCTCTTCCTTTCTGATTTGCGAATACAGATTTTATTTCTTTCTCTTGACTTATTTCACTGGCTAGGACTTCTCATACTATGTTGAATAGCAGTGGAGAGAGGGCGCATCTTTGTCTTTTTCCTAGTCTTAGAGGTAAAGCATTCAGTCTTTCACCATTAGGTATGATGTTAGCTGTATGTTTGTGTAGATTTTTTAAATCAAGTTATGGAGATCCCCCTATTCCTAGTTTTATGGGAATTTTTAATTATGAGTATTGAATTTTGTCAAATGCTTTTTCTGTATTCATGATATGATTATGTGATTTTTCTTCTGTAGCCCATTAATATGGTGAATTATATTGATTGATTTTCAAATATTGAGCCATCCTTGCATCCCTTGGTCATGGTATATAGTTCTTTGTATATGTTACTGTGTTCTGCTTGTTTGTATTTTCTTATGAATTTTGCATCATATTCATGAGAGATGTTACTCTGCACTTTTCTCTCTTTGTACTTTTTTTGATTTTGGTATCAGGGTAATGTTGGCTATTTTCTGGAGGAGCTTGTGTAATATTGGTTGTTGTTAGGTATACCTCTTGGTATAACCTTTTTGGGAATTGTTCTAGTTATTACATTATATACACATACTTTATCAAAGTCTATTGGTGTTGACATTTTACTACTATTGGTGAAGCATATAAACCTTACCTGCCTTTTTGCTTCTTTATTCTCTACCATTTATAATAAAATTGTTTTAAATATTTATTCAACATACATTGAAACATATAAACAGATAGGCAATGTCATAATTTTTGCTTTAACCATCAGACATAATTTAGAAAACTCAAGAGAAGAAGGAAAGTCTTATTATGTTTGCCCATATTTTTGTTCTTTCCATGTTCTTCCTTCTTTATATGCCAAAATGCCTTCTTTTATCGTTTCCTTTCTGCCTAGAGAACTTCCTTTAGCCATTTCTTTAAGGTAGGCTTGCTAGGAACAAAATCTCCTTGCTTATTACTGAAGAATATTTTTGCTAGCTTTAAAATTCTGGGCTGACAGTTATTTTCTTTCAGCACTTAAAAAATATTATCTTGGCTGGGCGTGGTGGCTCATGCCTGTAATTCCAGCACTTTGAGAGGCCAACGCAGGCAGATCACTTGAGGTCAGGAGTTCGAGACTAGCCTGGCCAACATGGTAAAACTCTATCTCTACTAAAAATACCAAAAATTAGCCAAGTTTGGTGGTGCATGTCTGTGTCCCAGCTACTTAGGAGGTTGAGGCAGGAAAATCACTTGAACCTAAGAGGCAGAGGTTGCAGTGAGCTGAAATTGCACCACTGCACTCCAGCCTGGGTGACAGAGCAAGACTCTGTCTCAAAAAAAAAAAAAAAAAAATTTATCCTGCTTCCTTCTGGCCTACACGGTAGCCAATGAGAAATGCACTGTCTTTAGAATTGTTTTTCCCATATAAGTAAGGCGTTGTTTCTCCTTGGCAGCTTTTAAGGTTTCTTTGTCTTTAGTTTTTAGAAGTTTGACTATGATGTATTTTGGCATGAGTTTCTATGGGTTTTTTTTCTGTTTAGGGTTTGCTCAGCTTCTTGAATCTGTATGTTTGTTTGTTCATTTGCAAAAATTGGGAACCTTTTAGTGATTTAGTGATTATTTCTTTGAACACTTTTTTTTTTTTTTTTTTTTTGATACGGAGTCTCGCTCTTTCACCCAGGCCTAAGTGCAGTGGCGCGATTTCGGCTCCCTACAAGCTCCACCTCCCAGGTTCACGCCATTCTCCTGCCTCAGCCCCCCGAGTAGCTGGGACTACAGGCGCCCGCCACCACGCCCAGCTAATTTTTTGTATTTTTGGTAGAGACGGGGTTTCACCTTTCACCGTGTTAGCCAGAATGGTCTCAATCTCCTGACCTCGTGATCCGCCCGCCTCAGCCTCCCAAAGTGCTGGGATTACAGGCGTGAGCCACCGCGCCTGGCCTCTTCGAATACTTTTTTAGCTCTACCTTATTTCGCCTCTTCTACGGACTCCAGACTTTTGTCGCAGTCCCACATGTTCCTGAGTTGTGTTCTGTATATGTGTTTTTTTTTTTAAGTTTAATTTTTCTCTGTTGTTCAAATTGGGTGATTTCTATGTTATACCTTTACATTACACTGATTCTTTTTCTCTTCTCTCCAATCTGCTTTTCAGCACATCCATTGAGTTTTTAAAATCAGAGTTGTATTTTTCAGTCCCTATTATATCTGCCCATATTTTTGTTCTTTATTTGGCTCTGTTTTGTATCTTCTATTGTTTTGGTAAGACTTTCTATTTCTTTACTACATTTTCTAATTTTTCATTTGTCTTAGGTATGTTTGTAATTGCTTGTTGAAGTATTCTTAGGATGACTACTTTTAAATCCCAGTCAGATAACTCTAACATCTGTCATCTCAGTTTTCATATCTTTTCTTGTTCTGTTTGAAATCTTCCTGGTTCTTGGTATAAGTGATTTTTTTTGTTTGTTTAAAAGGGTATATATTTGGTATTAAGTTATAGGACTCTGGGTCTTACTTAAATCTTGTGTTTTAGCGGACCTCCTGACACCACTCTGGTAGGTTCAGGGGGCCATTGCCTGACAACTGCCAGAGGGTAATTGAAGTACAGGTTCCCCCTCTGCCCCTGTTGATACCTGGGGAATGGGCTTGGTACTTCTTGGCAGGGGTACTTCCTAGCTGAGAGGAGGCAGAGATTCTCATTACAGCCAGATGAGTGTGAAAGTTCAGGCTCCCTGTGTGTCCTCTGAAGATAGAGGGCAAGGTGCTTATTACCACCCAGTGGGGTTGAGGTCTTGGCTTTGTACTCAGCCTTCTCTGACACTCCCCAGGTGATGGAGCAGGCAGTGATGAGCACCTTGTTACAGCCTGGTGAGGGTGGAAGTCTAGGCTTCTCACTAGAACTTTGCTGGCAGGGGTGGTGGTCGGGTTATAATTTTTTCTGTGATGTTTGGCTGGAATAGAAGAGGAAATGTCTAAGCAGCTACTGTTTTGCTAAGCTACCCCTTTCCTGGTATTCTGTCTAGAGAGAGCATGCTTTTTCTTTTCTATCTTTTTTTTTTTTTTTTTTTTTGTGGCCTACTCTCATTGGTTCGTTTTTACAGTATCTAATCTGGGATATGTGAGGCAAAAAGAAACTCCAGGGAACCCACCATTATGTCGTTCCTCAAGTCTCAAGATCCCTAGTTAGTCTGCCACTTCTTCTCCACTTTTCAGAGTCTTCTAATATGATTTTATACATAATTTCCAGGGCTTTTCGTTGTACTTAGTAAGAGAAATAGGAAAAAGTACATCTGATCTATCTTCCCTGAAGTGGAAGTCTCTAAATGTAAATATTCATGAAATTTAACATAACTACACCTATGTAACTATAATGGTTTTGATGAATCAAATGAAATATGAACTATACTTTCAAAGGTATGTGTGCCTCAAAAAAGCAAGACGGTGAAAGGAAAAAATAGCTTTCAGGAGGGAAAGCTGTGTTCAAGGAAATTACAAAGAAATGTTTTATCTTGTGTAAAATACGTTTCCAGATTCAAGGAGAGAAGGTGCTGGCCTTGAGTTTCTTAATGCTCATGCTAATTGATGGGAGGATTTGGCCACTTCTTGTCCTCAAAGGGAAAAGAAATCTATATTTTATTTGAGGAGAGAAGTAGCCATAATGTTCCCCCTTTCTATTGAAACCTGTGGAAAATCTGTCCCTGATGTTTATGCCTCCTTAGCAAACACCCCCAGTGGCCCCTTCCTTTTCTGGGATCCTGTTCTAAAGTGAGCTTCTTTTCCAGGTCGCCTGAACTGGTGGTCCACTGTGTGCACGAGCTGTAAACGGCTTCTTCCTCTGGCCACAACAGGGGATGGGAACTGCCTTTTACATGCTGCTTCACTGGGTAAGCTCCACAGCACAGACAGAGGGTGGCCAGGCTCCAGGCCTGCGTAAGGAAAGACATATGCTATTGAAGGAAACACTATTGAAGGAAAAGCATACACTAAATAGAGTCACCCATGTCACTGTCATGAGAAAGTCCCCAGGAGACAGAGCCAACAATCCTGGCCCTTCTTGTCAAGTAGCACTTGCTGGAGAGACAGAACACACATAAGAAAAGACCTGGCGTGATAGAAGGAGGCCTTGAGCATAGCTGCAGGGATGGGACTTAGAGACCGTCGCCTGGTACAAATAAAAAGGACTTCCTGGGAGGAGGTGGGATCTTTACTGAAACTTGAAGAACTTGAGAGACTAGAAGAGGGCATTGCAGGCAGGGAGACCCCGCAGATAAAGCATAAAGGCAGGAATGGACAGGGTGTTTGGAGGTAGGGGTGAACGAGGTAAAGCTGGAGTAGGAAGTTTTGGGAGCAGTGCATGAGGTTGGGTAAATGAGGGTCCACTATGTTGACAGCAGTCAACAGTTGGCATGGACTAATGGAAACAGACGTAGGTACTGCTCAGATAAATCACAGGGGAGTCAGCATAGTCAGAATATACCACAGAGAGATCAGCACACTTGTCCAATAGAGACGTGAGCTTCCCGATCACACAAAGCCACACAACACAGAAATATTTGGATAATTGAGGATCATCATCGACTTTCTGGAACCTCAGTTATCCCTTTAGGCCCAGCGTTATATGCACAAGGCTGAATCCATTTTGATAGGTGAGTCTGGGTTTGCACCAGGGACCATCAGGGCCGGTTGGTTCTTACCCGCCCTGGAGGATAGCGCCTCTCCAAAACCCACAACCCTCACACAGGAATGCAGTCCTTGTTTGTCAAACTTGCATCCCCAACAAACATGGCTTTAACTGGGTGCCATGACCTACATCAAGGGCCAGCCCCCAGACCTCTCTCTCTTTGGACCTGCGGTGAGGCCTATTCAGCAAGAGGTAGGTGAGATAAGACTGTAAAGGGCTTCAAGGGAAATACATCAGGGTCTTGAAGGGTTCCAGAGGAGGATGGAGAACAAGGGAAACATTCCCCAGGCTTGACCTGCAGTGAGGAAAGGCAAGGCAGCCACTTACCTGCTTCATCTCCATGTCATTGGAGCACATTCTGCTTGTTGGCATTGCAAAAGTACTCCACATTCACCATGGTGAGAAAATGAAAATCAGCGACCCCCACCCAGCGGCGGCCACTCTTAACAGTTTGGTATTGTCATCATCTTCCGGTCTTTTGTCTGTTCTTCAGGTGAAATGATGATCTTGCTGTGTTCACAGTCTTGAATCCAACATTTTCCCTTACAATCTGAGAATTTTCCCTGCTGTTATCCTTCAAACACATGATTTTAAGTAGTTGGGTCTTATTTTATCATAGTGGATAACATTAACTATTCCCCTGTTATTGAGCATATTTTGCCTTGTTCTTTCTAAAACCTGGAGAAAGAATCTAAAAGAATAAATCTCTCATCTGTGTCAAACAGCAGCCTCATTGTGAAGTCTGGGGCATGGAAATGTTTTTGTCCCTCAGCAACTGCAGCATGTAGAGTCATTGTCCCCATCAGCACAACAGCGGGGCAAGGCCACACCCCACAGCATTTTCCCTGTGAGCACAGTGGGCCTCCCAGGCCTGCCTGGGAAGAGAGAGCCTCCCTCAGGCTGGTCATTTCCATCTGCAAGAGAGCCTGGGCCATGACTGACCAGGGCTGTGAGACCCCCCTCCAAGAATCCCCTGTACAACAATAAGCCCAGAGCTCATAGCAATCTGTCCTCTTATCCCAGCACTTTGTTTCATTTTGTGCCCATATAGCTAAACTCCGCAGGACTGGGGCTACCCAAAGCTGCCACATGACATTCACCAGCAGTCCTTGTGGAACCCCTGTTGGCCTGGCCTGACGTTGAGCTAGGATTGTGGGGCACATATAGAAATGACAGTCATCTTGGAGTCAGGCCTGTAGGCAGATATATGCAGGACAAGGAGGCCATCTCTGCAAGAGAGACCTGCCCAAGGAGCTGTGGGAGAGTCCCAGGAGGCAGCTGAAAGAGGTCTGAGGATGAGCGAGGAGTGACAGTGGTCATTCCCCCTCCCCTGCCATCCTATAGAAAAAGGCGAAGCCTTGCTGGCTAGAAGCCTGTGGCAGGCCTGGGCTATTGCATATCCAAAGATGCCCAGCCAGTTGAGCCTTTGAAAACATCAGTTCACATTACTCTCCTTCTGTAGACTCTCCAGAGGCTCACAGTTCCCTCGAGAGCCCCCTTTTCACTCTCCCTCTCTCCTCGATCCCACTTTAGCCACCTTTCCCTCTTGCCTTTTCTCAAGTACTGCCCCCTCTGGGTCTGTCCCTGGCCTTTCCCTGTGCTGGGACAGCAACTTGGCTCCTTCCTCCACCCATTTGAGCCTTTGCTCCTATGTCTCCATTCACGCCACAGCAGATCTGCCTGCCTCACCTCTCCTCGTGGGGCTGCCACCCTCAACATCGTACACTCTGTGCCAGCCTCGTGGCTATCCTCACTTCCCACTTCCCCACAACATGTGCTCCATGAGATTTTAGGAACTTCATGTGTCCCGGCCACTGCCACATATATTCCCAGCACCTAGAATGAGTGAGTGGGTGCGTGGGTGGGTGGATGGCTGGATGGACGGATGGATGGATGGATTCCCCTGTGTTTTCCCTTGTAGCCAGAGCTGCCCTTCTCTTGAGCACTTCTCCCATGAGTTGGGGTTCTTGATCACATCTAAGCTGCCCAGAGCACATTCTCAGAGATGGCTGGTTTCTCTCTATATCCTCTCAGCACCTGGCACAGGGTGAGACCCTCTCACTAGGAAGCAGGCGCTCTCTCCTGGGCCAGGTGTGTGCAGTGGTGTCACTGGCGCTCTGCTTCTCAGGAAGCTGAGATGCCTCAGGGCTGGAGAGGAGGGAAATGGCAGACCCTGGAGAAGCCAGGATGCTAATGGCCTCCCTCACCTGGAGCCCTCCATAAGGACACTGGACAGCCTGTCCCTGTCCCCTAGTCAGTCCCCCACCCAAATGTAAGACTTGAATAATGACCATTAGGTCCTCAAAGCAAACCAGCAACATTGAGAATGGGTTGCCAAGGGCACCAGAGAGGAAAAGCACTTGATTTTCACCCACTATTGTTTTGCTAAGAACAGGATGTGCTGCTTCATTCACCTAGTTGCCTTAATGGGAAGCCTCAGGAAGAAGGCTGGAGGGGAATTAACAGAACCGCTGAGTAAGGAGGCTGTTCTGCGTGCAGACAGGAGGCTCTCCCAGTGGGTCGTGGTAGTTTGCATCACCTCTGGCTTGTCTTTTCTCATGTCCTTTCTCTCCTCTGTTCTCCCTGGCCTCCTGGCTCCAGGAATGTGGGGGTTTCACGACCGGGACCTGGTGTTACGGAAAGCTCTCTATACCATGATGAGGACGGGAGCTGAGAGGGAAGCCCTGAAGCGGAGGTGGAGGTGGCAGCAGACGCAGCAGAATAAGGAGGTTGGTATCCACTGGCATGGCCAGAGCCCGGGACCCAGGCCAGATGCAGCCTCGGGCCGTGGTCGAGTCCACAGCATGGCCTCCAGGCCCCAGACAGTCTTATGAGGGGAAGGCAGAAACAGCCCCTGGGATCAGGAAAGTCTCCTGCTTTTAAGCCCACAGAGGAGGAGCCTGTTAAAATAGCAGAGTCCCGGCAGACAGCAACTATGCGTCCACTTGTGCTTCCTTAAGGCATAATCATGAAAGCTGCCTACCTTCATTCCCAAAAGCATCCTGGCTTGGATGATGAATTATATATATGACTGCCTGCTGTCAGGTGCAGCCCATGGCCCCAGCCCCTGTGTGTGAGCTCAGTCCAAAGGGATTCCCGATTGTCCCCAACCATGGTAAACATGAGGACCTTGCTCTCCTAGAAGAATCTGAACGGCCAGCCCCAGTTAGGTGCAGGCACAGGTTAATGCTCGGTCATCCCCAGCCCCTGAGAATGACCCTTGTTGGTGGGCAGATTCCCAGCAGCTCTGGAATTAGAGCTTGGGGCTTCTGAAAATATATTGTGCATAGCAAAGGTGGCCAAGAGGGTGCAGTTGGTATAGTTGGTAGCTACCTACAGATGTGCCTGGCCTGGGTCCCGGTGAGGCTGGTCCAGATTGGGAGGGTGAGGAGAGGAGGGCAGCGCAGCTGTGGCCCACCCCCCTTCTGAGCCGGCTCCCCTCTGCCAGTCAGGGCTGGTGTACACAGAGGAGGAGTGGGAGCGGGAGTGGACGGAGCTGCTGAAGCTGGCCTCCAGCGAGCCGCGCACACACTTCAGCAAGAATGGCGGCACGGGCGGGGGGTAAGTGCTGCCCCTGCTCTCCCCAGAAGTCACCTCCAGCTCCAGGCCACCCAGGGCTACACACAGCATGGGGGGATGGCACGGGGGGGAATGTGGGACTCTTGTGCTGTGGAAGACAGAAAGATTCCAGCTTTCCAGCATTAGCTTCAAGACAAGGACGCACGGGAGGACCGTGGGTGATGGCTGGCCCCGCCAGGTGCTAGTGGAAGGGTATGCAGCCCCCACATGCACTATGCAGGCAGAGGTGAGCTCACATGAGCTGCCTCCAGGCCACTTTCCTTGAACTTTATTGTGCAGAACAGTTGGGGTGTGCGCCTTCAGGGCACAGCAGGCCTCTGGAGGTCACACGTGATGGTGAGCATTCCCACACATTGCCATCGCACGAACCTGGCTCTGAAGTTTGGGTTTTCTCCCCCAACTAATTAATTTGTGGCTTCAAGAAGTTGCCCTGAAAGCAGAAGCTCATTAAGCTAGCCTGGTGTTTCCCAGATGGGCTCCATGGATATTATATGTGTTCCCAGCAAAAAGACTTCACATCTGTGCATGTTTAGGAATAGCTTGTTCCTACAGAAACACCTTGGATGTTCTAGTATGGAATGAAGACCGTGGCCAGACCAGTGGGGCAGCCATAGAGCCTTGGCCGCGGCTTATTCTTCAGTTCATATTCTCTGGAACCTGAAAGCAAAGGTGTTGCTCCTAGAGAAGGTCTCAGCCAAACATGAGAAAGTGTGAGCAGTAACACCAGGGAGACCCATGGAAGGAGGATTGCATGCAGCTCCAGGCTGCCCTCAGGCTCATGGGCCCTGCAGCGGGCAACTGGGTCCTCACCCACCCACCAAGGCAGGGCCTAGTGCCTCATGGGCCAGCTCTCCCTGGAGGCCCCGGCTGGAAAAGAGGCTCCCACAGAGCTGCAGCTGCAGCAGTGGCGTCCAAGACCATGTTTGAAGATGAAATCATTAGAAACCCACATACGCTGGCACACCCTTCCTCCAGGGCTGTCTTGTCACTGTGTTTTAAGGCTATGTTATGTCCATACCAACAGTCTATCTTGGCAGGACATTTGAGGACAAGCATTCTGAAGACTCAGTCGACTGTGGAAAACTGCTCTCTTCCTCTGCACGCCTCCCGAGTCCTGCCTGTGATGGGTCTTAAGTGTTCCTCGACATCGTTTTCACAGTTGCCTCTCTCCCTCCTGCCACAGGGAGGACGCCTGATAGGTGCTGGCAGACTGGATCCAGGCCAGGTGTCTCTGCCAGGGACAGGGAGGAGTGGGGAAAGACAGCAGCAATGATGACTTTGATAGTGGGTGAAAATCAATCACAGGTGACCATCACATACACATCTCCTGAGTACCCCCATCCAGGAGGAGCTTCGCCCAAGGTCTCATGGCTAGTCAGCCCATCTGACTCCTAAGGCCACAGTCTGGTACCCTGCTGCCTGCTCCCTGGGGCCCGAGGGATTCAGATGCTAATGGGGACACAGGGGCCACTTGGTGTCTGTCCCTATCTCCCACAGAGTCTGAGTGATCAACCTTAATCTAACAAAAGGATTAGGTCCCTTTAGGAATATCCAAAATGGCCCAGACATTGTCCCATTTATGTAGGATAGCCTGGTCCCCTGCCCCTGGGAGCCATAGTTCTGGCTGCCACATCACAAAAGAGAAGGAAGAACCCGGGGAATGGCCAGAGAGGGGAAACTAAACAACCAAGGGTGGATGGGAGTGACCCCATCAGGAAAGAATGGAGAGATGAGGCAGGAAGGTATGGGTGGTGTTGGGGGAACGGAAGGAGGGAGGCGAGCACAGGTGGGGTGGGGTGGGGTCGGGGAGACCATAAGAGGGCCCTGTGCTAGGCACTCTCTCCCCTCCTTTCAAACTCTGCCTCACAAGCCTCCAGTACCCCTTCCACAGATTCAAAAACTGAGCCTCAATGGGATTAGGTAACTGTTCCAAGACCCCACAAAAATGATAAATGGAAGGAGCCAAAAAGTCAAAATTTGGTCTGATCATTAAGTCTCCTCTTTTGACCAGGCTCTACAGCCTAACAAAATCCCTCAAATACAGCAGTCTGTAGAAAGGACACAGCCACCTGGTCCCCACAGATGCCACTGATGCTCAGGTCAGAATCCTGTGCCAGTGATGCAGGAGGCATTTCTAGGGTTTCAGCAACAGGTGTTTCCAGTGGAGAAAGAAAAAGGGAAAAAAAAAAACAAAAAACTCAGAAGAGGACAGAACATATGCAATAGGAATCTACCAAACAGAGTTGCTTCTGTAGCCAGATGCCTCCTTGGGTTACCTGGAACCTTTGCATGGCCAGTCAAGGAGGGAGGCCTTTGGAACCAGGCATAAAACATTTTCCTGGGAATGGGGAGTTTTGGCTGAGTCCCATGGACTGGGGTAACGGACAGAGAGCGCCTCAGCAAGGCACCCGTGCAGCTGTGCAGGACTCGCCAACAGGGTGCTCCAGAGCTCACCTGCTCCAAGAATTCACTTGGGGTTCAGAGTCCACAAGAGAGGCCTTTGTGCACAAGCACAGTTGCTCTGCCTTTTGCCTGTGTCTTCTCTCCCCATGTTGAGCTGAGAGGTGTAGGGCATCATCTCTGGGGCTTGAGGGCTGCAGGGTTGAGTTTCTGACACCTGACTGAAGGGCCTGAAGGCAGAAACTGGCGAGCTCAGGGTTCACAGGGCTGTGGTGGGCTGTACAGGCCAGGACATGGGGCCGTAGGGGATGTAAGGCCAGGATGCTGCGAGCTGCCCGAGGTCCAGGCATGGATTCAGGGAGGAGGCCCCAAGCGGGCTGGCTTCAGGACTCATCTATGGTGGGGACCACACAGAAGACCAGCCCCTGAGGCCAGGGCTGAGGGTGGACACGAGTAGTCAGTGAGAGGAGCCACCACTGCAGCCCAGGGACCTAAGGACACAGCCCCTCAACTGGCAGAGAGCTCTGAAGACCCAAAAAAAGCACTTCCTCAGACAGCAGGTCAGCACTGGGACCTCCAGCGAGCCCAGCGGGCCCTGAAGGAAGACAGCAAGAAATACTTTGCCACCCTCCTGCCCCTCCTCCCTGCCTGTGCCGGCCCCACAGGGGACACAGACAGCAGCCAGAGAAGGGGAGGAGGCAAAAGGTGAAACAGAGAAGCCAGCTGGAAGCTAACCCAGTCTTTCAGGAGGCTCAAGCTTGGGGCTGATAGCCCCCTGCACAGGAAAGTAACCAGAAGAACCACACAAAATTTCCAGGGTGCCACCCGGGAATAGGAAAGAGCAAGTCAAGGGAGAGTTTGCAGGCATGATGGCGAGAAGAACTAAGGTGGCTTTATTCATCCCAGCCTGGGTTTCCCAGAACCTGTTCCCCACGGATGAGGGTAAAGGGTGCAGTGCGGGCCCTGCATCCTGCTCTGGGAGCCCCTGGTATGGAGACAGATGGGGCAGCCCCTGTACTATTGGTCCTTGACACAGATGATGGCCTGGAGTCATTTTAAACTTGTTACTTTCCCAGAAAGCAACTATGTCACGTATCTGAAGAGGTCAGCAGGGACCAGAGACCAGGTGTGGGTGTGAGCTAGACCTGCTTCCTCTCACTGTGCCTCCCAGGAGGACTCACAGTGGCCAGGCCCCGGCCACGTGGAAGAACCAGGCCTTCCCTAGGGCTTGGGGAGGGATTAGTGAGGTCAGATGGGAATGTGAACAGTGTCATCTACTGAGCCCATGTTATGTGTCAGGCAGGCCTATGAGCTGTCATTATCATCACCAATCACAGAGAAGGAGGCTGAGATTCAGAGAATTAGATAATGTATTAGGGTTCTCCAGAGAAACAGAACCAATAAAAGACATACATATAAAGAGATCTAATGTAGGTATTGGCTCACGTGATTATGGTGTCTGAGAATTCCCACGATCTGGCATGTGCCAGCTGGAGACCCAGGAAAGCCAGTGGTGTAACACGAAGGCCCAAGAGCTGGAGAACTGATGGTGTGGATCCAGTCTGAATCTGAAGGCCTGAGAACCAGGAGTGCTGAGGGCAGAAAGTCCATGTCCCAGCTCAAACAGGTTTGGTTATTCCGCCCTCCGCCACTGTTTTGTTCCCATGATGAATAGATCAGATGAGCCCCACCCATATTGGTGAAAGCCCTCTGCTTTCTGCTCTCCAGCAATTGAAATGCTAATCTCACCCAAAATGCCCTCACAGACACATGCAGAAATAACGTTTAACCAGCTATCTAACCATCACAGGTTAGCTTCCAATGTCCCACAGCCTGAAAGACACAAAGCCAGAACCTGAACTTAGAACTGACCAAAGAAACCTAAGCCCACACTCTTGACAAATGCAGACCAGGCATGAGGAGTAGGAATCAACAACTTATCTTGACTATGGTGAAAATAATCATTTTTGTTCTTTAAACTTTTAAAAGAACTACTTATTTGTTTTCTGTTTGATGAGAAGGGCTAAGTGGAAGCTGAGAGGCCAGTCCGACAGACAAAGAGGAGAAGAGAGCAGAGCAAGAGGGACCGTTTGGGGGACCCTCTGGCAGCCCCCGGGGGCATCTTCTGTCTAGGTCCTTACTTTTCTCACATGCTAACCTCTCTGCTTTCTCTTTGTAGTTGAGTTTCTGAAATTTCACTGACAATGTGTTTGCTGCATTTCTTTTTATTAGCTTTTTTCGGAAGTAGCTAGAATCCCAAGTGATTTCCTAGCACACAGTCTGAGAGTTGTCAATTTCAGTCAGTCTTTTGAGGAAAAGCAAGAGGCATTTTATTCCTGGGAGATGCCCACACCACAGCCTGGTGCTCCCGGGCCATGGGCTGGCCTTGTGAAGGAAAGGAGGCATTCTTATGTGTATTCCTGAAGGTGCCATGACTTCCACCAGCAGACCAAGCAGAAAGAGCATCTGCTAACGTAAGGTGTCCTCACTTTGCAGATGTGGGACCCGGCTCAAATTTTTAAAGACATTTCTAATTGAAAATAAGACCAAAGTTGACTATCTAGGGATGGTTCTCAAGTAGGAGCCTTCTCTGATCTTCCTGTCTAAAGAATCCACCTTTTATCACTCTACTGAGAGTTTTTTATTATTTTATTATTTATTTAAATATGTTTAGGGGATACAAGTGCAGGTTTCTTACATGCAAATATTGCATTGTGGTAAAGTCTGGGATTTTAGCGTACCCATTACCCAAGTAGTGAACATTGTAATTTTTCAGTCCTCACCCCCGCGAACCCTCCGGCCTGTCATAGCTTCCAGTGTCTGTTATTCCATTCTGCCTGTCCATATGTACGCGTTGTTTAGCCCCCAGCTATAAGTGAGAACATGCAGTATTTGACTTTCTGTTTCTGAGTTATATCACTGAGGATAATCGCTTCCATATCCATCCATGTTGCTGCAAAAGACAGGATTCCATTCTTTTTTATGGCTGAGTCATATTCCATGGTATATATATACATTTTCTTTATCTAATCCTACGTTGATGGACACTTAGGTGGTTTCTATCTTTTTGCCATTGTGAATAGTGTTAGAGTAAACATGCAGGTATCTTTTTGATAGAATGATTCATTTCCCTTTGGGTATATACCTAGTAGTGGGATTGCTGGATTGAGTGGTAGTTCTATTTTTAGTTCTTTGAGAAATCTCCACACTGTTTTCCATAAAGGTTGTATGAATTTACATTCCTACCAACAGCATGTGTTCCCTTTTCATTATATCCTCACCAACATCTATTTTTGTTTTTGTTACATTTGCTTTTGAAGACTTGGTCATAAATTATTTGCATAGGCCAATGTCCAAAAGAGTTTTACATAGGTTTCCTTGTAGAATGTTTATAGTTTCAGGTCTTACATTTAGGTCTTTAATCCATTTTGAGTTAATTTTTATATATGGTGAGAAGTGTGGGTCCAATCTCATTCTTCTGCATATCGCTATGCAATTTTCCCAACACTAAATAGTGAATGACGCAAAATGAATAGTGTCATTTCCCCAGTGTATATTTTTGTTGGTGTTGTTGAAGATCAGTTGGTTATAAGTATGTGGCTTCATTTATAGGTTATGTATTCTGTTCCATTGATCTATGTGTCTGTTTTTGTACCAATACCATACTGTTTTGTTTACTATAACCTTGTAGTACAATTTGAAATTAGATGATGTTATCCTTCAGCTTTGTTCTTTTTGCTTAGGATTCCGTTGGCTAGACAGGCTCCTTTTTAGTTCCATATGAAATTTATTGTTTTTTATAATCCTGTGAAAAATGACATTGGTAACTTGATAGGGATTGTATTGAATCTGTAGATTACTGTAGCAATATAGTCATTTTAATGATGTTGATTCTTGGAATCCATGAGCATGGGATGTTTTTCCATTCATTTGTGTCATTGACAATTTTTTTCTTCAGCATTTTGTAGTCCTCCTTATAGAGATCTTTCACATCCCTGGTTAAATATATTCCTCGATATTTTTGTAGCTAATTTAAATGGGATTGCCTTCTTGATTTAGTCCTCAGCTAGATTGTTACTGGTATATAGAAATGCTACTGCTTTCATTATGTTAATGTTGTATCCTGAAACTTTACTAAATTTGTGTATCAAATATAACAGGTTTTTGGTAGAGTCTTTATGGTTTTCTAATTATAAAATCATATCACTAGCAAACAGGGATGATCTGACTCCTTCTTTTCCAATTTGGATGCCTTTTGTTTTTTTCTCTTGCCTGACTGCGCTGTGGGTACTTCCAGTACTATGTTGAATAACAGTGGTAAAAGTGGGCATCCTCATCTTGTTCCAGTCCTTAGAGGAAAAGCTTTCAACTTTTCCCCATTAAGTATGCTGTTAGCTGTGGGTTTGTCATAGAAGACCTTTATTATGTTGAGGTATGTTCTTTCTATGCCTAGTTTGTTGAGGATTTTCATCATGAAGTGATGCTGAATTGTATTGAATGCAGAAATCCTTGACAAAATACTAGCAAATCAAATCTAACAGGACATCGAAAAGATAATACACCATAATCAGGTGGGATTTATCCCAGGAATGCAAGGATGATTCAACATACACAAATCAATGAATGTGATATATCACGTAAACAGAATTAAGAACAAAAACCATATGATCATCTTGATAGATGCAGAAAAATAACTGATAATTTCTTATTTGATCATGTGTTAGTATCTCTCCCTACCTAAACCTGCATTCATGGGCACACATGGGCAAGTGTGAGTGCGCGTGCGTGCACACACACACACACACACACACACAGCACAGTGCTAGACCTGTAGTGGATAATCAGTAACTATTTGTCACATGACTGACCTCAGCTTATTGATCCTAAGCAATAAGTCTTGTTCCTCAAGCCACACTGGCCACTGCTAGAAGGTCTTTCAGAGCCTAAGATCCATTCAGTCCCTTCGAAGCACTGGGAGGCCCCCGTCCTTCCATCTCAGCTTCCCAGGCCATAGCTCTTAGCAGAGTCCCTGCTAGCCTGTACTGTGCCTTTGGAGAGTCTTTTGTAAAAGGTGCCTGTCTGGGCAGGCACAGTCCTTGACCAGGGGCAAAGGCCCACAGCAGGACATAGGCTGGGTTCAGCCCCTTGAGCCTCCTCAGACTGGCTCTGCTGTGCAGGGCCCTACCTGAGAGAGGGGTTGAGGCACACCTCTCAGAAATGCTGCCCATGAGATCTGTGCATGAGGAGAACCTTGCACCTGTGAAAAGGAGTAAGGACCATCCCCACCTACTGTGCTGTGGGTGTCTCAGGATGCATCAGGAGGAGGAAAAGGCAGTGGTTGGACTAGTGAGTATAAACATGCTACCTAGAGGTGGGAGGATGTGTGCATACAGTTTATGCGCATTTACTCACATTCATACGTGTGTGCACACAGATGTGCACTTACTTTTTTTTTTTAATCAGATGGAGTCTCGCTCTGTCACCCAGGCTAGAATGCAGTGGTGCGATCTCGGCTCACTGCAACCTCCACCTCCTGGGTTCAAGCGATGATCCTGCCTCAGCCTCCCGAGTAGCTGGGACTACAGGCACAAGCCACCAATGCCTGGCTAATTTTTGTATTTTTAGTAGAGACAGGGTTTCACCATGTTGGCCAGGATGGTCTCGATCTCCTGACCTCATGATCCACCCGCCTCGGCCTCCCAAAGTGCTGGGATTACAGGTGTGAACCACCACACCTGGCCTTGCACTTACTTTTTTTATGGAAGGGTACACCAAAAACCAACACCTATGTCCCCATAGGTGAGGTGACTACAATTTATCATCCAAACTGGTTCATTTGGGGGAAGGAAAGTGGGCACTAACCACTTGGGATGTGTGAACAGGACTTTCCCAAGCAAAACAGGAGGTGTGGACACCCCATCTGGAGGAGGGGATATGGGGAGGGACCTGGGAGGCTTCATCCAGGCTCTCCGTCTGGGTGGCTGGGTGACTGCCCTTTAACAAGACCTGCCGGCCCCAGACTGGCTTCCTTATCTATGACACGCGCTCTTGCCGAGGATGGTCTCCAAGGATGGTGGCTACAGCTTAAGCCAGGGTGCCCCCAAACTGTTCCCTGGGGCCTGAGATACCATCTGGACCTTGCTCCATGACCTTTGCTTCTTGGTCCTGCCAGGAGGGACTCCTCAGCCTCTGCCCACCCCCATCTTTCTCAGGGTGTTTTCATTGGGTAGACGGTATATCCCTAACCCTGGAAATTCTCCCTCCTCAAGTACCCACTGGAGAAGCAGATGTAGGTGCCCTGGAGAACTCAGTGTGTGGGGCCCAAAGCATGTTAGGAAGTTCTCAGGACATGCACATCTTGGAGGATGAAGTCATTATATTGCATGTCAGTCTTCTTTGCAGTAAGCACTGATTTTTAAGCATTTTAGGAATTGTTATGTCTTTGCCCAGTGGCCAGATTCTCCCCACAATCCCAGATCTCGCATTTGCTCAGCAAACTCACAAGAAGAAGACATGAAGTCTCAGGGCTAAAAGTGGGAGTGAATTTTCAGAATTGGTTTTTCTGAAACTGATTTCTACCAATGGGCTCTGGTCACAGAGTGCAGGTCACAGTTCCAAACTCTCGTCCCAGATAAGATCTTGTTTGCCCTTCATTTTAGAGCCCCCAGCTAAATTGGAGTTCCAGTACCAGAGCAGCTAGAAAACCTGCAATAAGGAGAAATGAAAAGGGACCTGGACATAGGCGTTTACAGTGTGCCTTTCATGGGATACTTCTCTTACCTGGCAGGTGTCCTAATGCCTGGTTGCCTAACCCATGACCCATGTCCCTCACATGGGAAGCTTGTTTGTACTGGCAGATGGCTTTGTGGCTCCTGTCTGGCCTGTGTCTAGTTTTTTCTTACCTGACCATCGCTCTGTGGCTGGGACCAGCCTTGTGTTCTCCTTGGCGTCTGGTGAAAACATGGCCTGGGGTAGCCTCTGCTTCTTCCAAAGGAAGGTGCAAATTCAATCCACCGCCACAATGGGAAGCAAGTTCAAAGGTTTTTACTTATAGATCCTGGGCATGGAGGCCATCATGAGTTGGGAGGGCAGTGCTCCATCCCAGGGTCACATTGAGGCAGGGATTAAGATTCAGGCAGAGAGATCCAACTAGAAATATATATAGGGGAATAGGATGTGGGTCACTTTAAGTTCATGGGCAAATGTCTGAATGGTCCATTTAAAGGAAGTGGTGGGAAAGTGGAAAGCCCAGTCTGCTAGGCAGAGAGTCGCCTCTAAGTTCTTATCTCTGGCCACCAGCTTGGGTCTTTGGGTGTGGTGTTCTACTTCTAATGCCCAGGCAGCAACCTCTGCTGTTTTGTTTCTGTTATACCCTCTACACCCTCAGGTGCTCTCTGGCTGCCTTCAACACTGAGGCTCCTGGTATAGAACCAGGACCCTCCCTAAGTCTTGGACAAGGAGCCAGAAGCAAGTAGGGAACATCATTATGATTTTTAGGCTGCCCCCCGCTGGAGCTGGGATCCTCTCCGCCACCCCCTGGGTCACTGAGCAGGTTTCAGTTGCTCACATGGCTCCCATGCTCAACACCAAAACTGGAATGGAGAAAGGCTGCTCTGCTCCAGCTGTCCTCCATCACCTCTCAACTGGGCCCGCCATCCTATCATTGCTGCTGAAATAAAATGGCCCTGCCTTAAGTTAGCCATGAAAAGAATGCCATGCCAGTACAATGGTGCCTAATACTTAACCTTTGCACCGTTGTTACCTTGGAGGCCCTCTTGCATAGCTACTCAAATACCAGAGTGTTCTGCCAGGAGGCTCCATGCTGGGCATGGTCCAACTCCATGCCTTTGCCCTAGCACAGAACTTGAAGGACGGGTAGATGAATGGACAGACAAGTAGGTGCTTGGGCAGATAGATGGTTGAATGGAAGAATTGAAGGATGAGTACATGGATGGATGCGTGCGTAGGTGGGTGGGTGGATGGATGGATGGATGGATGGATAGAGGTACATGTGGGTGGATGGACAGGTGGATGGGTGGGTGGGTGGACAGGTGTATGGGTGGGTGGATGGCATGGATGGATGAATGGATGGACAGATGGATGGATGGATGGATAGATGGACATGTGGGTGGATGGACAGGTGGATGGGTGGTTGGGTGGACAGTTGTGTGGGTGGGTGGGTGGATGGCATGAATGGATGGACAGATGGATGCACAGACAGCAGATGGATGGATGGATGGATGGACAAGTGGATGGGTGGATCAATAGATGGATGGATGAAGAGAGAGAGGGAGGGAAGGAAGAGAGATGGGTGGGTGGGTGGGTAGATGGATAGATGGATGAATGGATGGATAGATAGATAGGAAGAAGGATGGATAGGTTGGTAGATGTTACATGAAGGCAGAGTTCTCTGAGGGCCTCTGCAGTGCCTTTCACAGCACCAGTGTATAGTAAGTGCTCAATGAATATTTATTGGTTTTTTGGTTGGAAATATGATGGCCCTGCTTTAAGTTTTGCATGAGAAGAATGCTGTGCCAGTACAAAGGTGCCTAATACTGAGCCTTCACGCTGTTGTTACCATGGGGGTCCTCCTGTGTAGCTGCTCAGATCCCAGAGTGTTCTGCCAGGAAGTGAAGATGGGACTCAGAACCCAGGCCTGAGAGGGCTACCATTCACCTTGCTCTGCCCGCTTCTCAGTATTAGTACCTGACTCAAGAGCAGCTCCTCTCTTTCCAGCACTGCCCCCTCCATTCCTTGAATTAGGGAAGGAACAGTGCTCCACATTTCTAGCTGGGGTATTTCTCTCTCCAAGTATGCAGGTTTTAACTCCATATTCTCTCCCCCTGTGCTGTTCATTATGTTGTTCAACCATTCACTCGCCGGCACTCAACGCATACTAGGTGACAGGGACAAACAAGCAACTTCCAAAAGCACTTGACCCCCCAGGCACTGCAGCTTGGCTTTCAGGTGTGGCTGGGCAGGCTAATCACCTGCAGTGTTTCAAAATGCACACCCAGGAGCACTGCATTTAGACCTGGCATAAAATATATGTGTGTGTATGTGTGAATATGTATTCATGTCAATACATATTTAAAACATTCCTCTTCTACTTCCCTTTCCTTCCTTGCTGAAAAAGTAAGTTCTAAAGCCATTAGGTGGGGCAAAGCAAGGTGGCATCTGGAGTGGGTGGGGGATGGGAGGACACCAGGGGCCAGAGCCAGATGTCAGCCACACAGGTGAAGAGGGCCACCTCACGGATGGGGAGCAGAGGTGGGAGATGGCTGACATATGGGAAGACTGATCAAATAAGGAAATGCTTTAGAATGAATACGAACAAGTTTTCTGAAAGTAAGTGAAGAAAGTTGCAAATAGAATTAACTTTATGGGGTTGGATTGGAATTGGAGGTATCAGTGAACTCAAGGTTTTCTATAAATATTGAGAGGGAGAGAAAGATGAAAATAAACATGGAGAGGGAGAGAAAGATGAAAATAAACATGCAAAAATATGTATCCATGTGTGAGTGTGAACTTGAACCATCTTTTTGCACCAGGAAGCAAGAAAGTGCTCTAAGAAATGATGGGAGCTGGGCACGGTGGCTCACACCTGTAATCCCAGCACTTTGGGAGGCTGAGACAGAAGGATGACTTGTGCCCAGAAGTTCGAGACCAGCCTTGGCAACATAGCGAGACCCCGTCTCTACAAAAATGAAAAAAGTTTTCTGGGCATAATGGTGGCCTGTGGTCCCAGCTACTTGGGAGGTCAGAATGGGAGGCTCACTTGACCCCAGGAGTTCGAGGCTGCGGTGAGCTATGATCTCACCACTGCACTCCGGCCTGGGCAACACAGTAAGACCCTGTCTCAAAAAAAAAAAAAAAAGAAAGAAAGAAAAGAAAAAAAGAAATGATGAGGATGTCAAAAGGACACAGATCCAGCTTTAGAGAAGCCACACTGACCACATCAAGGAGTATCTGAGCATCCACATAATCACACTAATGGATTATAACCCACTGAATAAAATGGAAAACCAGAAATCCATAGTGATACCAATAAACCTATAAAGATTTGGTGAGGAATGGAGTATTTGCATAGGTTCAAGTTCCTCTCCACAAAATGCTTGTTAATTTCAAATGAAAAATTAGTAGTCTGCAGGGGCAAGGCCTGGAAGATGACCTTAAGGAGTGGTCCAGGTCAACCTCACCAGTGATGGGACAACCTCACCAGTGATGGGACAATCTGCAGTTCACACAACCTGATAAGATGTCACAAGAAGGACTCAGCTTGACCCAATCCAATCTAACTGTGAGGAAATAGAGAAACCCTTATGAAGGACATTCTACAAAATACCCAACCTGTAATCTTCAAAAATGTCAAGGTCATGGAAGTCAAGGATATCCTGAGAAATGTTCCAGGTGAAGGAGACTAAGGAGACGCCACCGCTGAATGCAGCACCTGATCCTGAGCAGGAACCTTTGTTCTAAAAGGCATTATTGGGACAGCTGGCACACACACGTGGGGTCTGGTGATTGCATGTAACTGTGTGAATTCCTGATGTCGGTAGCCGTGTGGTGGTTGTGTCGGAGGATGTTCTGTTCATAGAAAATGAGCAAGAACTTTCCAGGGTGATGGGGTGCCAGGTTGGCTGTTTATTTTCAAATGGTTCAGGGAAACAAAAGCTCTTTTTACTGTATGTGCGCAACTATTTTGTGAGGTTTCGATTGCTGCCAATTTTTTGAACTGTTAAAATAAGGTTAATTGGGTTGGATGTGGTGGCTCATGCCTGTAATCCCAGCACTTTGGGAGGCCAAGGCTGGTGGATCACTTGAGGCCAGGAGTTCGAGACCAGCCTGGCCAACATGGTGAAAACCCGTCTCCACTACAAATACAAAAAAATTAGCTGGGCATGGTGGCAAATGCCTGTAATCCCAGCTACTTGGGAGGCTGAGGCTTGTAAAAAGTAAAATAGAGGTTCTTCTTTAAAGACTTTCCTCCCCATCTAGTTAAAAATAAATAGTAACTTCTTTTAGAAGCAAAATTTATTCAAAGACCTGTGCTAACATTCTTAAATATCTGCTAGCCATAATAAAAAAATCAACATACTTTATATTCTTAGCTCCCACAATTTAACCTAAATATTTGCCTTGCATACTTATACTAGTCCAAGCAAGCACTAAGTCATAGTCTGGTCCTCTTCCTTCTTTAAAAGCATTTTTACCTTTCTCAACATTCCACAAGTTACTTCCTCCTTCCTTTATTCTCCTCTGCATTTGCCTCTTTTAAAAAATTCTAAGTTACTAACCAATCAAAACAAATACAAAATGTAAAATCCCGTTCCAGCCAATAAAAACCAGACACATCAGTAAGGTGGACACGTCAGGTTATAAATGACCCTGTCTCCTTTATTCAATATACTCTCATAACAAAACTGCTGGCAAGTACACCCTTTCTACAGAAAATAAAAAATGGCCTCGCTAAAAAAAATTAAATTTATATTCAAGTAATATTGCTTTACGACACCAGGAAACAAACATTTCAAACAATTTTGGTGACCCGTATGGGGATACATTCTCTGCCGGGGGTGGTCTCCAGTCCCTCCTCATAAGGGAGCGTGCTCCTCTGCCACATTGCAGTGGCCTCAAGGATAAGAGCTCAAAACCCACCCGGTATGTGGAATAAACTCAGAGTCTCAGCAATGCAAAAAAAAAACAATTCCTCACATATCACGTGAACCAGAAAACTGTGCACAGATTGAGGAAAAAACACCAGGAAAAAACACCGGTAAAGTATTTCCTTAGTAATCAAGACTGAGGAAAAAGCTGCGGGGCAGTAAAGCATTCCTTAGTTAAAACATACCAAGGAGAGAGAAACTGCAGGGGCAGTAAAACATTCCTTAGGACTAGACACAAAAAGCCATGGGAGGTGGTAAAATATTTCTTAGCCAGGATGTCTTAAAGGTTAAAAAAAGGTAAAAAAAATCCCCACTGAGTGGGGGTTAAACCTCAAAAAGAGGTGAGAAATCCCCATGGGCGGGGGGGTTAAGCCTCAAGGTAAAAAATCCCCATTGTCGGGGGTTAAACCTCAAAAAGAGGTGAGAAATCCCCATGGGGGAGGAGTTGAACCTCACACAAACCTCCGATAGTAAAATATATATACATATATATGTATGTTACATATAGATATACATATATATGTATGTTACATATAGATATACATATATATGTATGTTACATATAGATATACATATATATGTATGTTACATATAGATATACATATATATGTATGTTACATATAGATATACATATATATGTATGTTACATATAGATATACATATATATGTATGTTACATATAGATATACATATATATGTATGTTACATATAGATATACATATATATGTATGTTACATATAGATATACATATGTTACATATAGATATACATATGTTACATATAGATATACATATGTTACATATAGATATACATATGTTACATATAGATATACATATGTTACATATAGATATACATATGTTACATATAGATATACATATGTTACATATAGATATACATATGTTACATATAGATATACATATGTTACATATAGATATACATATGTTACATATAGATATACATATGTTACATATAGATATACATATATATGTTACATATAGATATACATATATGTTACATATAGATATACATATATATGTTACATATAGATATACATATATATGTTACATATAGATATACATATATATGTATGTTACATATAGATATACATACATATATATATTCAAAACTCCCCTTTCCCCTCTTCTTGGGGGAAAAAAAAAAGACTAAGCTCCACTCCTGCCAGTCGCTCCTCTAGGGGAAGGGGAAAAAAAAAAGCAAAAACACCAAGCATGACGCCACACAGCCAGGCACACCAAAAATTAAGTCCCTCTCCCCACCCGAGCTCTGTGTGAAAAAGAGAGCGGGGACTGTCGCAGAAAGAAAAGCCAACAAGATGAAAGGACCTAACTCTTACGACTAACGACAGGTGTCTGCCAAGCCTGTGGGCCAGTGATGGCCCTGGGCCAGGACTGCAGCCGGCCGGGGGCCAAGACTACAGCCATGCAAATCCCACCCAGCCCAGAAAACTAAGTGTAGAAAAAATAAATAAATCAGGGAAAAAAAAAAAAAACAGGGGAAACAGACGGCAGCGCATACATGCAGGCGGGGCCCGTCCCTTGCCCAGCCTGCGCCGCAAGACCGGGAAAAAAAAAGGAAACAAAAAATGACAGAGAGGGAGAGAAAAATAAATGCAAATTAAAAAAAAAGGAAAATAAAGTGCAAATAAGAAAAAAAAATAGAAAAAAGTAAAAAAATAACTAGAAAAGACAAAAATCAAAGAAAGACATGGTAAAATTAGGAAAAGAAATAATGTAAAAGGCAGAACGTTAAAACATGTTAAAAATTGTCTATAAAAGTCATAAGAAGTTATAAAAAAAATTTATGCAAAAAATATTACGTAATTTAAAAGTAATTAGGCCTCCTAAATGTAAAACTATTTAAAAAACAGTTTATACAGTTTATATACAAAATATGTAAAAATATATACTTTTAATAAAATTACAAAAAGACATAAAAATATGAATTTTTACCTACATTAAAAGGTTAAAAAAATTTTGTTTTAAAACTTTAAACAAGGCTGGGCGTGGTGGCTCATGCCTATAATTTCAGCACTTTGGGAGGCCAAGGCAGGCGGTCACGAGGTCAGGAGATCAAGACCATCCTGGCTAACATGGTGAAACCCCATCTCTACTAAAAATACAAAAAAAATAGCCGGGCATGGAGGCAGGCACCTGTAGTCCCAGCTACTCGGGAGGCTGAGGCAAAAGAATGGCGTGAACCCAGGAGGCGGAATTTGCGGTGAGCTGAGATCGCACCACTGCACTCCAGCCTGGGCAACAGAGCAAGACTCCGTCTCAAAAAAAAAAAGTTTAAACAAATTTAAAAATATTAATTATAAAGAAAATTCTGTATGTAAACATATTAGCTAAAGAGGTATCCAATTTTTCTGTAAACTAAACATTAAAATAAAAGCACAATAAATTTTTCTTAAAGCACTAACCTGCTCTTTAAGAAAAATTATAAAAAGTTTTAAAAAGTCTATAAAAACCTTACCTTATAGTCAGACATTAAAAGTAAATAATGTCTTCAAAATTTTATTAAAATAAAGTTTAACATTAATAGCACATTAATGTTAAAAAACATAAAATCATACAAAAAGCATTATCAAATATAAAATAGTGCTTAACTTTCTCAAAGCCCGAGGGCGGCCGAATAAGTCACAAGGCCCCTCATCCCCAAGGCCACAACGCGCAGGGGCGGTGAAGGCCACAAAAAAGCCAAGACCTTAAGAGGGGGCAGGGCCACAATGTCCCCTAGGCAACGCTAAGCAGAAATGGAGCAGAAGACGTCACCATGGGGCCTCAAGCCCCAGAATACGCAACAAAAATTATATACGTAATTTATCTTCCACTTTCCCTTTCCTCAAAACTAAAAATCTTTTAACACAGGTACCAACCCTAAAATTTCTAGTACATCAGCACCAGCCTACAAACCACATTCTTGCCTGGCGCAGTGCCTCACGCCTGTAATCCCAGCACTTTGAGAGGCTGAGGCAGGCGGATCATGAGGTCAGGAGATCAAGACCATCCTGGCTAACACAGTGAAACCCCGTCTCTACTAAAAATACAAAAAGAAATTAGCCGAGCGTGGTGGCGGGCGCCTGTAGTCCCAGCTACTGGGGAGGCTGAGGCGGGAGAATGGTGTGAACCCAGGAGGCGGAGCTTGCAGTGAGCGGAGATCGCGCCACTGCACTCCAGCCTGGGTGACAGAGCAAGACTCCGTCTCAAAACAAAACAAAAACACATCCTTATCAAAAAATAAAAAACTCAAGCCAGCCTGGGAAGGACCCTATTTTATGCTGTTAACCACTAAGACCCCTGTCCACACAGCCAAGAAAAAAAGGACCCACTATACTCAAATCAAGAAAACATCTTAGGTTACTATACTAAAATCAAGCCCTACTAAGTTAAAATTTTAAAAAGCTTAATTTTCATATACTTTCTCTATTACTTCCTTTCCTTTCCTTATTCTGTTACTAGCTCCCTTGTTATTAATGTAACTAAATCTAACTCACCTCAAACCATTGCCTTTAATGCTTGCTCTATCATACCTTGTAAAAATATTAAAAAATCAATGACAGCTAGCCTTTTCACACAAATATTTATGTCCTGGCCCTCTAATTAACACAATTACCCCTAACACTTATCGTTATAATCACCTGCAGCCAAAACGCCAATTTTCTGCTCCTACTGAGAGGTGAAGCCAGCTGGACTTCCTGGGTTGAGTGGGGACTTGGAGAACTTTTCTGTCTTACAAGAGGATTGTAAAATGCACCAATCAGCACTCTGTAGCTAGGACTGTAAAACACACCAATCAGTGCTCTGTAAAACGCACCAATCAGCAGAATCCTAAAAGTAGCCAGTCACAGGGAAGATTGAAAAAAGGACATTCTGATAGGACAGAAATGGAACATGGGAGGGGCCAATAAGGGAATAAAAGCTTGCCACCCCCCCAGCCAGCAGCGGCAGCAACCTGCTCGGGTCCTGTTCCATGGTTTAGAACCTTTGTTCTTTCTCTCTCCACAATAAATCTTGCTGCTGCTCACTCTTTGGGTCCGTGCCACACTTAAGAGGTGTAACACGCGACTTCATTCTTGAAGTCAGTGAGACCACAAAGCCACTGGAAGGAACCAACTCCGGATACACTACAGCCTAACAACCTTATAATAAATGGAACGACGTCCTTTAAATTACTCAAGAGCAAAGTTAAACTTCCACACACACACAAAAAAAACATACAGATCTAAAACCCTTCATCTATTTCATTAAAAAACCTACCCAACCTTCTCAATATAACCCTGTCCTTCTGTCACCACCTCCACCTTAACTAACTCTAAACCTACCCTTAATCACTTCTATAATATAGAAATTTGACAGAAATTTTTAAAAACCCTAAATATTTTTAAAATACACATTATTCCCCCATCTTCCCCTTCTTCAGTAGCCTAAGTTCTAAATCCGACACCAGTTACTCCTGCATCTAATAAAAGTAGAATGCCTATTATAAAAATAAAAAATTAAAGACAGACCTTAGCCATCAAAACAATACATCAAAATACAAATGCCTAGCTAAAATATTCCATTCACACTTTAAAAACAATTATTACACTATTACATTTGTACACATGGTACTCCAGAGGCCCAAATTATCCCCTTTCCACTTAAATGGTCACCTCATCAACCAAATATAAACTATATAGTAGCTCTTTTTCAAAATCCCACTGCTTAAAATAATCCATCATGCCAAGCTCTCTCTGCTATTTCCTAAAATTTAACACTGTGCGGGTCAGCCCCTGAGGACAATCCAGCTTGCACCTTTTCTAAATGCCAAACTTACACTGTGCCTCTCATGGCAAGAAAAAAATTTAATATTCCTTAAAAGCATTTAAAAAATGCTTTTTCCAAAAGCTCGCCCATCAATCCATGCTTAGCCATCCCCAAGCAAATATATGGTAGTACTGTAAAGGACCTTTACTAAACGCTGTGCCAAATATTTGAAACAGTACTAATCCAGTTAGCTGTCCTTCACTCTAGCATTTCATCAATCTAAAAAAATAAAAACAAAACACCGCAGGCCAAAAAAAATTCCTTGTAAGTCCTTTAATCCTCAAGTTTATATAAATGCTATTAAAATCCTGTAAAAAAAATTTCAAATAAATTTAAAATACAAAATCAAATAGCTGCAAAATTTAAGTCCACGTTATTCTGGTAAGTATGAATTTAAAAAATGTAAACTAAACTGTATCTGTTACAATCAGCAACAATTCATAAATTACACTGAAAACGCCATCAAAAAAATAGCTAAGCAATTAGGACCTACCAGACAAATTGCCTTAAAAAAAGCTTTAAATATAATATCAGCAAAAAAAAAAGTCATAATTAAAACTCAATATTGTACCTTTATTCCTAATACTGCCCCTAACAAAACTATAACAAAAGCACTACAAAAATTAACAGCACTATCCAATAAACTTGCCAAAAATTCTAAAATAAATAACCCTTTTTCTAAAATAATAAAACATTAATTCGATAAGTAAAAAAAAAAATTGTGGCCAGGCATGGTGGCTCACGTCTGTAATCCCAGCACTTTGGGAGGCCGAGGCAGGTGGATCACGAGGTCAGGAGATCAAGACCATCCTGGCTAACACGTCTCTACTAAAAATACAAAAAATTAGCCGGGCGTGGTGGCGGGCGCCTGTAGTCCCAGCTACCAGGGAGGCTGAGGCAGGAGAATGGCGTGAACCCGGGAGGTGGAGCTTGCAGTGAGCCGAGATCATGCCACTGCACTCCAGCCTGGGCGACAGAGTGAGACTCCACCTCAAAAAAAAAAAAATTAACTTCAATTCTCACCTTGTTCGCTCTTATTAATATACTTATAAGCTATTATGTTATTCCCTGCCTTCAAAATTTTATACAAAAACTTATCTCTACCACTCTTACAAAGTTAACTCCTAACTCTCCTCCACCCTATTCGAAAAATTACTTCTCTTAAAGCTATTAAAACAGACAAATTAAAAAAAAATTATAAGAGGGAGAATTGTAAAAAGTAAAATAGAGTTTTCTCTTCAAAGCCTTTCCTCCCCATCTAATTAAAAATAAATAGTAACTTCTCTTAGAAGCAAAATTTATTCAAAGACCTGTGCTAAGATTCTTAAATATCTGCTAGCCATAATAAAAAAATCAGTATACTTTATATTCTTAGCTCCCACAATTTAGCCTAAATATTTGCCCTAGCATACTTATACTAGTCCAAGAAAGCAGTAAGTCACATCCTGTTCCTCTTCCTTATTTAAAAGTATTTTTACCTTTCTCAACATTCCTTCCTTTATTCTCCTCTGCGTTTGCCTCTTTTAAAAAATTCAAAGTTACTAACCAATCAAAACAAATACAAAATGTAAAATCCCATTCCACCCAATAAAAACTGGACACAGCAATAAGGTGGACATGTCAGGTTATAAATAACCTTATCTCCTTTATTCAATATACTCTCATAACAAAACTGCGAGCAAGTATACCCTTTCTACAAAAAATATAAAAATAGCCTTACTAAAAAAATTTATATTCAAGTGCTATTTCTTTACACCACCAGAAAACAAACATTTCAAGCAGGTTGCATTGAGCTGAGATAACGCCACTGCACTCCAGGCTGGGTAACAAAGCAAGACTCTGTCTCAAAAAAAAAAAAGGTAAATTGAGTCATAAGAAAAAGAAAAAACATGGGTAGTATGTAACCAAAATTCCACAGGTGATGGTAATGCATTCCCTAGGATTCACACCCTGCATTCTGGAAGTCCCAGGTGGCTGGGAACTGTGCCCATGAACCCATGAAGCTCTTTCCCCAGGCCATGCCAGGGGCCACATTTGCCAGCCCTGGCCCCACCTGCTGCCGTCGTCACAGACTCCCTCAGCTAATTCTGAGCATTCCTCAGACACTCAGGAACAAGTCTGAGAGCCACCTCTGGGGAGTCTTGGCTGGTGCTGTCATCTCAGCTGGCAGGCACTGCAGGTGCAGCCGAGGCTCCATAACGCTGTGAGCTCTGGCTGTCCTCTCAACGTGCACCTCCCTTTTGGGTGGCCTTGCTATGGGGGGACATCGAGGCTGCCACCTTCTGCCCGAACGTCTTAGGGTTTGAGTGGAAGCATTCTTGAGCCTGCGGTTTCCCTGATCCTCAGACGTGAGCCTGGGCATGGTCAGGGAGGGTCTGGGCCACCTGGGCTGCACATTCACATCGCATCCCCTCCAGCTCTGGATTGAAATCCAGACAGCCTTCTCACTGTTCTCCTCCATTGGGGTGAGTGTCTTCTAGAAGGCTCCTCAGATCTTGGTGGTAATGACCCCACCAGCCCATCAGATGTGCCCAGGGAACCCCTGGGTCCCTGAGAGAAATAAACAGGAGAGGAACCCCTCCATCCCTCTGGCCCCCACTGCTTCCTTGTGAAACACCCCCAGAAAGCCAATAGCCCTGCTACCACAGGCTCTGGTGGGCTGCCTCCGCCTGCAGAGAGACTCGCCTTCACAGCGGCCGGCACCCTTCACCTGCGGGCTCTTTCCAACTCATCTTCTGAGACCGCTCCCACGGTGGGGTAGGGGAGCTGGGACCTGTGCATTTGCCATCGGCGGATGGCATGAGAAGTGGCCCAGGATGGCGCAGCTGCCGGGGTCCATGAAGATAATATCCAGAGTGGGGAGGGCTCAGCCCCTGCATGAAGCAGTCCCCACTTTCTCCATCCTCCACCCTGTTTTAGTCAGTGACCAGCTGGCTCTGTTTTGTTTCACAGTGTGGACAACTCTGAGGACCCCGTGTACGAGAGCCTGGAAGAGTTCCACGTTTTTGTCCTAGCCCATATATTAAGAAGGCCCATCGTTGTTGTGGCAGATACAATGTTAAGAGACTCAGGTGGAGAAGGTAAGTTCCTCAAAGAGATGTGTTGTATTCATGACACAGAAAGCATAGCATCCCAGCTAGAAAGCAGATAGCACAGCACAAGGTCGAGCTCCCAGAGGCCACAAAGCATCACTCTGTGCAAAGATCTCCTCGACGTGTTTCTTTCTCCTCCCTGATGGCAGCAGAGATTGTTCTTGACTAGCTGCCCTGCCTATCAACGGCAGGTGGCCAGGAGAAATCTGGTCGTGTGAGGACCAGGACCAAGCCCAGAGGGGCTCCTGTCTCCTGTCGTGTGCCTAGGGCATAGCAGACAGCCCACACCCCTCCAACAGCCCTGGGCCATGTCCTGGAGGCACTCAGTCACTCAGGTGTGTTCCCACCCCTCCGCAGACCACATGTGTGTTAAAGACTAAAAAGAAAGGAAGACAGAATGCATAGAGTCATTTGGCAAAAGCTATGGTAGAATCAGAACTGGCAGAGAAAGAGGCAAGGGCAGTTTATGGCCTGCCCACCAAAAGCCACACTCTGTGCACAGCCCCTTCTAGAATGTTCCTCCATTCAGCCCTTGCTACAACCTCCCAGGGTGGACACCACCCTCCCCACTTTACAGAGATGAAACTGAAGCCCAGAGAGGCTAGGCAATGTCCCCAGCGGGGATCAGCCAAGGGCAGGGAGTGATCCAAAGCCTGTCCTCCCTCCAGCGTGCAGCTGCCCAGTTTGAATTTACACCTGCACCTTAACAAAAGTCATAGGTCTTCCAGGGAGCTCTACGAATCAGGATGTGGCTCTTCACGCTAAATCACAGCTGCCATAAAAAATCTGATGTGGCCACGATGGTTATGTAGCCAGGGAACTGGTAGGACACAGGTCCTGCCTGGCCCACCCCCTTCCCTGTGTGGCTCAGGGACGCGGGCCTGCTGAGGTCTGCAGGTCTCCGTGCAACACCAGGGCTTGCATCAGGGCACTGCTGCGTAAGCCCAGGACTGAGCTCCCAGCACCATCAGATCTCTGAGTTGCGGGGCAGAGGAAGGTCCACGCTTCCTACCATGCTACTCACAGCCCTCTTGCAGGTACCCCCACCCTGTCGCCTCTCAGTCTGACTCTCCTGTGAGCACAGTGATCAATTTAGACAAAGTGAGGATGGCGGAGGAACTCATAAGAGTTCATCAAAGACATCCCTGAAATTACCGTCCCTGAATTCTGCTCAAGGAGTGCAGCAATACACTCACTCTAGGGCCAAAAGTAAAGACGTTTCATGACCTCAAAGCAGATGCTGCTTTAGGACAGATATTTCCAGAAGTTATTCTATTTTGCTGAGGGTGTTAGGCTTTTCTGCCCTCTTTTTTTACAAGTAAGAAAATGAGTGAAATTGTGTCCCTGTCACTGAAGGACTTGATCCCTCTGATTCTCAGTTCCCATCTGACTTACATCTTGGTCCTGGAGCTCTCTGACTGGTTCCTTCAAATTCAATAGAAGAGGTTCTCAAAACATAGAGCAAATATACACCCTTGAGAAGCGCACATACTCTGTTGTATACAAATGCTTTACCAAACACTAGGAAAGGAAGAAGTACATCCAGAAAAAGGTGGGCTTCCAGGCTGCAACTGCTCTGACCAATCTCGGGTGACTGTCATCCCAGCCCTGGGGCTCCTGTACACCTGTGCAGGTCTCAGGGCAGCAGGAGTCCTGGGGCAGACAGATGACTCTGGAAACCCTCAGCCCCATCCCTCAGCACCGCCTCCATCCACCCCTCCTGTCCCTCCGCTTCTCCACGGAGTCCCCCCGGGGTAGTGAGGGACAGGGATGCAGGGGCCTCCCCTCCCAGCTCGAGCTGGCTGCTCCTCACACCCTCACCCTGGTTTGTGTCCACAGCGTTCGCACCCATCCCATTCGGAGGGATCTACCTGCCCTTGGAGGTCCCTCCCAACAGATGCCACTGCTCGCCTCTGGTTCTGGCCTATGATCAAGCCCATTTCTCTGCCCTCGTGTCCATGGAACAGAGAGACCAGCAAAGAGAACAAGGTATGCCTGTCTCCCAAGAGAGTGCACGCAGGAGCCTAGGGTGGGGGCAGAGCCATCAGAAGGGACCCCATTGCACGGGGAGGTGGATTGTGGAGACCCCCCCTTAGAAGCACACCTGTGCACACTCAGCAGTGACAGTTTTTGCATAAAGCTACCTTATGCATGTGTGAACGTTTTCATTGAAAATAACAATGTTAAAGACAACATTCTCTTTAAAATACTAAACAAAGGCAACCTACCCTTAAATAGCTTTTACTGTTTTCCCTTTCACATGTATACATATTTTATAGGAATGCAATTAGTCTTAGATATAAATTAAAGGGAAAAAAACTTCAAAAGCAAGTATTAATGAACTATGGCCCACCACCCATTTTATAAATAAAGTTTTATTGGAACAGAGCCACATTCATTCACAGATGCATCATCTGTGGCCGTTTTTGCACTACAGTGGTAGAGAGAGGAGCAGCCACAGACACCAAGGCCTGCAGCGCCTAAAATATTTACTTACTAATTAGCTATTTATGGGAAGAGTTTGCTCACCCCTGCTCCAGGGTAAGCTTTTAACTCAAAAGGTCAACATTTCCTTTCAAAGCATTGCAGCTGAGTTTCCTCTAAGCAGCCATTTCAGTGCTGCTGATGTTGGGCCAGCCCACAGGCTGTGCACTGCACAATTCCAGGGCACCAGTCAATGTCTTTACTGGGGAAATAGGGGGATTTTGTTTGGAACAATTGCTGTTTTCTCATGTTAGCTACTGATGGATGTGTGACCAGCTGAGTGGAGAGGAAACCCCTTCCTGTTGTCATTCTTGTTTGTAGTATAGGCAGAGACTCACTCCCCCAGGGGACAGACGGACAGGCAAGACCAACTATTTCAGAGTCCCTGCCATTAGGTATGGTCCCAGAGAATGGGAAGTGCCCTGTCCAGGGCCAACAGGGGGAAGGAAGCTCAGGGGTGTCTGCTTCTGACCTTTTCCACTGAGTGTGCAGCTCAGGAAGTAAATATAGCAACAAGATTGCACCCCTAGGACTCCCAAATGCTACTCCTTCCTGTAGACAGCTGGGAAGGAAAGGACACAGACAAATGAACAGAACCCAGCCTCCCCCAGCCCTCCGCCAGAGGCGGCACCAGCGTGTCACTTCCTGGCCTGGCAGTTGAGTCGGGAATGAGGCTGGGGCTGTGGAGCAGAAGCTGAAGGTGAGAAATGCACAGGGCATTTGAGACCCCTTCCCAAGAGCAGATGCAGAGCTCCCAGGAGCTGACATGCGTGGTGCAGCCGCAGAACCCAAGTCACAGGAAGAGAGACGACTGGAGGCTACAGCCGGCCGTGACAAGAATGTCACATCATGGTTCTTTATTATTTGCAGATGTGGCACTGGCCACAGAAGGAAAGATTTAATCAGTAAGGCCTCGGAGGTGCTCCGGTCTTTCCATTGTCTCCCCACTTTCAATCCGGAATGCGGAATGCCTGCACCTCCTTCCCGGGGATTTAGCTCTTCGTAGGGCTGACCCCGCCTCTTGGGAGACCAGAAGGGCCTTTTCAGGACCTGGGATCGGCCAGGGGCGGGGCCCTCTGTCCAGTCCCCAGGGAGATTCTGTGGTCAGAAGGTGATGGTCCCAAGGCCAGCGTCTCCCAGTTCCGAGCATGGGGTTCAGATACCCGACCCCCTCCTCGCAAAAGGCACCGAGTACTCTTCCAGGCCTTCCAGATACTGCTGCTTGGTGTTTTCAAGGCACATATGAAAGCATCCTCCCTTCAAAGGATGCCCATGGAGGGCGCTGTGGCTTGGGACCTTTCAGGAGGGCCTTGCAGAGTTGTGGGTGGTTTCACTTCTGATGACCTGGTTTCTAAAAACTGGGATCTGGTCCCAGTGCACCTCTCAGAGCCACTGTGGTGTGGGTCTTTGGCTCCCTCACAGTCAAAGCAGCCCACTGGGGTCCTCCTGGGGCGATGCAGGTCCCTGCCTCTAAGACCATCCTGTGGCCAGGCTGCACATTCACCCATAAGGTCCCCACCACCCACTGCAGGGCAGGTGCCATGGCCACGCTCTTTGTCACATGCACCCTTGTGCCCCCTTAGACCTTCACCTCTGCAGCCTTCCCTCTGTGCCTCAAAGGACACTGTGGGGACGGGACAGAGTCCCAGCTGTGCTCTCAAGTCACACGACATCTCAGCAGAGAGGGACGTGGAAATCACAGTGAGGCTGCAGCTTCCAGGATGAGCTGCAGACTCAGGCCTGCTGGAGTGAGCTGGCCAGACCGCAAAGTCGCAGGACCTGGTGGGAGGCAGGAGATGGGAGACTCCAGAATATCGAGCCCCAGGATGCCACCGGCCCCCACTGTGAAGCACAGGTGTCACCCTCTGCCATGGTACCCTGTCCGTCCTATAAACAGCACCCTGTGACAGAGGCTAATAGATACAATAATCACAGGCCCCAGGAAGAGCAGACACCGCATCCTTGTGCCTGCGGAACGATGCTTTGAGAGCCTGGAAATGAGATAAAAAATGTATTTCAGGCTGAGACAAGGCTCCCTTCTTCCCACCACCCACTTCCTCCTCCTCTGTTTACATGCCCCATCATGTCTCATCCACATGTGTCCAGCTCCTGGAGGCTTAAAAATCCATGAAGCATTCTTTAAACTTCTCATCGAGTGCCTCTCCCTCTAAGGGAAGCCCCCTCTTATAGGTGCTACTGCCGTGGCCCGGCTACTGCTGATGCCGCCACTGACCATCTTCAAGTTCAGGAATCCTCCCGTTTCCCAGGCTAGGCATGCAACATGGGGAGAGGGAAGGGCTTGAGGTGGAAGGTCAGGAGCTGGTGGGACTGGTCAGCTATGGGCAACCTCAGTGGCCCAGGCTTTGCAAATTTATCTTAGGACTTTTTAGATAAAATGTATGCATTCTTTCTTGGTAGCTTCCACACATGATGGTCACCTGCTTTCTCCTGGGGAGGACATTAGTCATTTGCTCCCTGACAACCTGAGCCTTGGGCCTTCAGCTTTTTGCAGGAAGCAGCCTCCTTGCAGCCACATCTTAAAATGGCCTGCAGGGGAGCTCTGTGAAACCCAGATCCGGGCATTCTCTCAGCACCCAGCTCAGGTCAGTTCCTACTGGCCACTGAGCAAATGTGTACATTATGAAAAATCAAATCAATTAACAGGAGAAGCAGAGGTGCCGCATAGTTCCTGGAAACATAGAACCTAGGAAAGAACTTTGGAATCATCCAGTGCAACAATCCCAACTCCCCTCCTTTTATAGCAAACATTGTCCAGTGTACTCTTCATTACCCTGAAATGAAATTCATGGATAATGTTACCTGTGTTGGAATAAAGTCCATTTAGTACCCCCACATCAGGAGAAATCAAAGGAAACCAATGTAATAAAATAATCTGCATTTCTGTAAATATTCTCACACAGCCATACTGCAAAACTCAATGAAGCAATCAGATCCTGGCACCCATATGTGGGGTGCCCAGTTACACAGAGAGGGGACACAGGTGTGCTGAGCATACCCTCAAATACCCCAGGAGGCTCTACAGTCCAAAATGGCAGCTAACTCTTGGTAAAGTCCCAAACAAGCCAAGCACAGCCTTGCCCATCTCCACAGCTCCTCTTCCCTTTGGGTGGATATAGAGCCGTGCAGAGCATACCCATGTGTACATGTTAGCTCTCGGCCTGGCCAGCAGGTTGCACTGGGAAGGGCTGGGTGCATACAGGTGCTGCCTAGGTCTGCACCCCACCTTCATGCTCATATATTTGCAGGTGCTTCCTGTGCTCAAGGGCTGTTCTAGGTCCTTTCCAGGAATACCTATTTAACCCTTCCCATTTCCTCTTCCCCACTTTACAGAGGGGGAAATTGAGAAAGGAGGAACCATCCCCAGGGAATAGTTGCAGCCAGTGAAGGGTTGGGAGGGTGGATGGCGAGGCTTCCACAAAGACTTGGCCCAAGAGAGTGGCATCTCCAAGAGAAGAGGCTCAGGAAGTGGTACCCCAAGTCAAAGCCTGCTTGGGATAAGATAGCGTCTCAGACCCAGGACTCAGGAACCTTCAGGGTCGAAGAGGGTAGGGAGGGGGTGCTTTGTTTCATGGAAGGTGTCAATGCCATCTGTGGCTATTCTTTTCTTAAAAATTAATATTTATTGGCCAGGCACAGTGGCTCACACCTGTAATCTCAGCACTTTGGGAGGCCGAGGTGGGTGGGTTGCCTGAGCTCAGGAGTTCAAGACCAGTCTGGGCAACATGGTGAAACCCCATCTCTACTAAAATATAAAAAATTATCTGGGCATGGCAGCATGTGCCTGTAATCCCAGCTACTCAGGAGGCTGTGACAGGAGAATCTCTTGAACCTGGGAGGTGGAGGTTGCAGTGAGCCAAGCTTGCGTCACTGCACTCCAACCTGGATGACAGAGTGAGACTTCATCTCAAAAAAAAAAAATTAACATATAAGTCAATTATTTAAATAGTTTTTCCCTCATATATACAAACAGCCTGTGAGCCTCTGAGGCATATCCAGGGGCCACACAGAGGTCAGGGCACCCTCAGTGTGTCCTCAGTGCCTTCCCCCAAGGGTCCCACTTAAGGAACCTAGAGAGCAGCACACAGGAGCCCTGAGGGAGTCCACTGGTTACAGATGGAGGGGGAGATGCTGGTGTGAACAGAGAGCTCTGAAACGGCTGCAGACTGCAAGGATCGAGGCTTACAGATGATCACACCAAGGTTGGCCATCCCTTTATTGGGAACAGAGACTCAACACATTCAAAATGTGATACTTGAAAAAAAAAAAGTTTTTGCAAAGAGCAGCTTACCAATTTGTCTCTTGCTGCTTAGAAACAACACAGCAAGTTTATAAGTGTCTGCTAGGGATCTTGGGAGCCAAACAGAGTACTTCTACCCACCGGGCCATGGAAGCAGCCTTCCATCTGTATTTGATGTATGGCTCGTGGTTAAATCAAATGCTCACCTATGCTCTACTATTCCCCAAGCCACACGGAATGTAACATTCCAGTTTTCAATATGTTTGACAATGAACCATGCTTTTTCTTGCAGGATTAATTTATAATAAACAGATCCAATCTCTTTTTAAATAGAAATGTATCTTTACATGTTACAAGTATCATTACATATTCTGCTCAACTTGATTTTAAAATTGTGTTAAAGAATCATTTATCGGCGGGGCGCGGTGGCTCATGCCTGTAATCCCAGCACATTGGGAGGCTGAGGCAGGCGGATCACGAGGTCAGGAGATCAAGACCATCCTGGCTAACATGGTGAAACCCCGTCTCTACTAAAAAATACAAAAAATTAACTGGGCATGGTGGCAGGTGCCTGTAGTCCCAGCTACGCAGGAGGCTGAGGCAGGAGAATGGCATGAACCAGGGAGGCAGAGCTTGCAGTGAGCCAAGATCGTGCCACTGCACTCCAGCCTGGGCGACAGAGCGAGACTCCATCTCAAAAAAAAAAAAAATCATTTATCAAATACCAATCAAATTGGTCTATTTGTGTACCTATCTGAATAAAATAATGGAGGAAGTATGTAATGCCTATTACAAGACATTACGGTAAGAATCAGCTTAGTTCATGGTGGCAAGAAAGTTTTTTTTTTTGAAACTTTTTTTTTTTTTTTTGAGATGGGGTTTCATTCTGTCACCCAGGCTGGAGTACAGTGCCATGATCTTGGCTCATTGCAACCTCCACCTCCCAGGCTCAACAGATCCTCCCATCTCAGCCTCCCGAGTAGGTGGGACTACAGGCACATGCCACAAGCCCAGCTAACTTTCTGTACTTTTGGTACAGACGGTGTTTCTCCATGTTGCCCAGGCTGGTCTCAAACTCCTGAGCTCAAGTGATCTGTCCACCTCAGCCTCCCAAAGTACTGGGATTACAGGTGTGAGCCACTACGCCCGGCCAGCAAGAAGGTTTTGGAAACCAGAAGTGCCCCCAAACTGAATTACGTTTGTAATTAGTCTCCCTTCTCTTGGCTACTTTCTAAGTTTGTCAGTTGCCACTGAAAGATAGGGTCAGAGTGGGAGTAAAAAGCACAGCTACGCCTACCCTTGTGGTGTGTGGCCAGTCTCACTGGGCCATATTTCTTTGCCACTCCTCTCAGGAGCCCCAGAGCACAGAACCCTGAAGAACCTTTGTCTGCAAAGGCCCCTGGCTAAGGGGTGAGAGGCCGAGGAGCTGGGGTTGGGGGCATCCAGACTTTTAGCTGAGACCTTTGTTTCTCAAGTCTGTCATCTTTGACACTGTTGACCTACAGATCACAAAGCACCATGAGGTGGCCAGGAGCTATGGAAGGGACTTCATGGCTATGGAGCTCTGTCTTCAGCTTATAGAGTGGGCAGGTGCCCAGAGAGCTGAGTAACGCTGATTAAAAGCACGAGGTGTGTTTATCCACAATACATCTGCTGATTGGTTCATGCCCTACCCCAATGACCATCAACTCAGGGACCCAAAGCACTGTTCCAAAGGGATGCCAGCCACAGTTAACTCCACGGAAAGAACTGGCTGAGGGTTTTTCAGTCATGCCTGAAGGCCTGGAGAGAAGAGAAAGCAAGAGTGCACCCAGATGCCAGCCTCCCCTCAGGAGCCCTGCCTGTCCCCTCCTGAGCTACAAATTAGGCACAGACACCTGGATCCCCCACCAGACCTCCCCAAGACGTCCATGCCCACAGGAAGCGCATACCAGCCACCATCGCCCCTGATTCCCAAATGAGGGCCCCAGCCATCTCTGTGTGATGTGCAGTTTCCTCCATCTGGCCACTCCAGGCTCCTGAGGACTCCACGCTCCCATGCATGGTACTGGAGTGAGAACATGTGCTCCAACAAAACCGCTTCTGAGAGGGGCTGGGAGGCAGCAGCACCAGCCACCTGTCCTACCTGCAGGACAGGAGCAGCCAGCACTCACTGCCCTGGATGTGGGGAGTGAGTTTTTGGTGGGCCAGGGTGACATCCTGGTTCTGCTCTCTGAGGAGACCCCAGTTGTCATTGTCCCACAGGGCCACATCTGATGTGTGCACAGAGTGCACCCTCTGGGGCTGAGAGCTTCACCACCCACTTTTGGCATGAGTTCAGGAGCCCAGAAATTGTGTTAGATGCTGAACGCTCTCTCAGCCTGAGAGTTTTTTCAGCAGTACAGTTTCCTTAATTCTGGTCAGCACTTTTTCCAGTTTTGTCTTAGTCAATTCAGGCTGCTGCCACAGAATACCATAGACTGGGTGGCTTATAAACAATAGAAATTTATTTCTGATAGTTCTGGAAGCTGGGAATACAAGATCCAGGAGCCAGCAGATTTGGAGTCTGGTAAGGGTGTCCTCCTCCTGGTCTACACACAGCCACTTTTTACTGTGTCCTCACGTGGCCAAGAGAGAGAAAGAAGAGCGCTCTCGTGCCTGTTGTTATAAAGGCACTAATCCCATTCTCAAGGACTCCATCCTCATGCCTTAATCACCTCCCAAAGACCACACTTCTAATACTCTTACATGGAGACTAAGCTTTAACAGTGAATGTTGGAGGAACACAAATATTCAGTCAATAGCAAGCTTAGTCTATAGACCAATGACCAATCCAAATATCTTATCTACATATAAACTTTAGGCCAGAGAATGTATGTCTGCCACCATTGGCCCTGATGCCCCAGCCTAGGGGCCCGATCCTCAGGGGCTGGCCTTGGCCTCACGTACAGGCTATCATTACTTCCCTCCTCCCTCTCTGCTTTGAGTTTAATTTGCTACCCCTTTTCTAGTTTCTTAAGGCAGAAATTTTGATTACTAATTTGAGACTGTTTTCTCATCTAATATGAGCATTTTAATGCTATAACTTTTCCCCTAAGTACTGCTGTAACAACTACACCATACAAATTTTGATGTGCTATATTTGCATTTTCATTCCGTTCAAACTATTCGTTAATTTCCCATGAGACTTCCTCTGACTTATGGATTATTTAGAAACAGGCTGTTTGAGTTTCAAGTTTTGGGGGATTGTTCAAATATTCGTTACTGGTTTATAGTTTCAGTTATGACATGAGCACAAACATCATGATTTCTGTTCTTTTTAATGCACTCAGACTGGCTAAGAATATGTTCTGTGTTGGTGAATATTCCATATGTATTTGAAAATAATATATACTCTGCTCTTGTTAGGTTCTAGAAATGTCAATTACCTCAAATTCTCTGAGAGTGCAGCTCAGTTCTTCTATATCCTTACTGGTTTCTGCCTACTTGCTCTGTCAGTTACTGAGCAAAAAGTAGCAAAGTCTGCAGCTGTAATACATTTGTTTATTTCTCTCATTTTTGTTAGTATTTGCTTCATGTACTTTGAAGCTATGTTGTTAGCATGCATACACATAGGATGATTATGGCTTCTTGGAAAATTGACCCCTTTAGCATTATGTAATGTTCCTCTTTTTCTTTGGTAACAGTCCATGTTGTGGAGCCTACTTTGACATAAATATGGCTACTCTAGCTCTCTTTCCATTAGTGAATATCTTTTAACCTCCATATGTCTTTATATTTAAAATGGGATTCTTTTTTTTTTTTTTCCTACAACCTCAACCTCTCAGGTTCAAGCAATTCTCCTGCCTCAGCCTCCCGAGTAGCTAGGATTACAGGCACACACTATCATGCCCAGCTAATTTTTGTATTTTTAGTAGAGACAGGGTTTCATCATGTTGGCCAGGCTGGTCTCGAACCCCTGACCTCAAGTGATCCACCCATCTCAGCCTCCCAAAGTGCTGGGCATGAGCCACAGTGCCTGGCCCTTACAATGAGATTCTTGTAGACAGCATATATGTGGGTTTTGCTTTTTCATCCAGTCTGACAATTTTATCTTTTAAAAGATACGTTTTGACCATTTTCATTTAATAGTATTAATGATATGTTTGGATTAAAATCCACCATCTTGCTACCTGTTTTCTATGTACTGTATGAGTTCTTTTTTCCTTTTGTTTCTCTTTTGCTATCTTATCTTGGGTAAATTGAGCTTTTTAATGGTTCCGTTTTATTTCCACTATGGACCTGTTATACCCCTATTTTTAATTGTTAGTGGTTTCCCTAGGGTTTGCAATAAACATCTTTAATTAATGAGATTTGTTTTTTTTTTTTTTTGAGACAGAGTCTCACTCTGTCACTCAGGCTGGAGTGCAGTGGCATGATCTTGCAGCCTCTCACTGCAGCCTCCGCCTCCTGGGTTCAAGCGATTCTCCTGCCTCTGCCTCCAGAGTAGCTGGATTACAGGCACACAGCACCATGCCCAGCTAATTTTTGTATTTTTAGTAGAGATGGGGTTTCACCATGTTGGCCAGGCTGATCTTGAACTCCTGACCTCAAGTGATCCAACCACCTTGGCCTCCCAAAGTGTTGGAATTACAGGTGTGAGCCACCACACCTGGTCTAATTAATGAGATTCTATTTTAAGTAATATTACTTGACTTCACATGTTGTATAAGGATATTACAACAGTGTATTACCAATCCCTCCCTCCCATTCTTTGCTATTATCAGACATTTTATTTTTACATCTGTTATAAATTCATAATGCACTGCTGCCCTTTGCTTTAGACAGTTATCTGTTAGAGCAATTAAAAAGAAGAAAAAAATGAATTTTCACATCCATTTATTCCATTTCCATCACTCTTAATTGTGTAAATACAAGTTTCTACTGGTACCATATTTCTTGCACTTTAACATCTCCTGTAGTTCAGGTCTGCTGGCAATGATTTGCTCACTTTTATTTGAAAAACTCTTTATGTCTTCTTCATGTTTCAGAGATATTTTGGCTGGGTATAGAATTCTAGATTAACAGTTTTTTTTTTTCTTTCAGCACTTTAAAAATGTCACTCCATTATCTTCTGGCTTACCTGTTTTACCATGAAAAGTCTGTTGTAATTTGTACCTTTGTTTTTCTCTGTATAATGTATCCTCTTTTTTCTCTGGCTGCCTTCAAGACTTTCTTTTTGTCTTTGGGTTTCAGAAGTGTTAAGAGGCTATTATAGGAATATTTGTGGTGGTGTTACTTTTTCTTCTTGATGTTCTCTTAGTTTCTTAGATCTGTGTTGATGGTTGTCATTAATTTTGAAAAATTCTTAGCCATTATTTCTTTAAAATTTTATTTTGCATTGTTCTTTCTCTCTTCTGGGATTTCATTTACACAGAACTTAAGGTGCTGATATTGTCACACAGCTCTTAGATGCTGTGTTCAGTTTCCCACCTCCTTTTTTTCTGTTTCAGTTTGTGTCATTTCTAGTAACCTATCTTGAGGTTTACAGATCAGATTCTTTGCTCAGCTATATCAAGTCAACTGACCAGCCCCTCAAAATCATTCTTCACCTCTATTATGGTGTTTTTCATTTCTAGCATTTTCATTTCTTTCTCATAGATTTGTTCTGTATGCTGAAATTAACCATCAAATCTTGCATGGTATCTGGCTTTTCTATTAGTCCTTAACTTATTAATCAGTTATTTTTAATTCCTTGTCTGATAGTTTCAACACCTGTGTCATATCTGAGTCTTGTTCTATAAACTGCTTTGTCTTTTATCAATGTGTTGGGTTTTTTTTTTTATCTTTCCTTTCGCCTCATAGGTTTTTTGTTGTCGTTGCTGAAAGCCAGGCATCTTGAGTAGGACAGTAAAGACTGCAGTAAATCACTTTTATTCCTGGAAAGAAGCATGCCTTTCCTTTTGCTAGGTTTTCAGAGTCTAGGTTTGGACCAGTCTAGTTATGATAGCCCAGGAAGGTCACCCCCATCCCCAGATCCAGGGATACAGTGCCTGCCTAAGACAGATGCTTAATCAGAGTAACAGAAGATGACCCTTAGTGCACCCAGTGTTTGTTGCCCTACACTCTGCAGTTTAAGCTTTTATTCCTTGGTAGAGGTAGGATGGAAATATCTATGGAGACACTCTCTTAGAACTCCTGCCAGTCTTTTTTGGGAGAACCAGGTAGGTCCTGTGGAGAGGAGCCTGCAGGTGCATGTGAATTTCCTTTATATCTTCAGCCCCCAGGGTTCCATATTATTTCACTAGCTGATACTGTTCCTTTACCAATTTAACCATTTTAGCTGAATGATTCTTACTGGGGTCCAGCTGAATTGGCCCTTCTTAAGCTCATGTCTGTCTCTCCTTGGAGGCACCTGTCTTTCCTTAGATATTGGATAAGTTGGTTTCCCTGTGACTTCAGCTGTCTGGTGGGTTAAAGATAAGTTGTGAATTTGCAGTTTGACTGGAATGTTTTCATGGTGGAACAATGCTCTTCCAGCTTTTCACATCGGAGACAAAAACCAGAAATCTTGATTTTTTTTTAGAAAATAAGTACTCAGAATATATTCAGGCTAGCATGAGATGATGCCTATATGTTTCCAGGCTAAAAGACATACAAGAGGCCTTTCAAAAACAAAAACAAAACACCTTTCCGGCCTTTTTAGGCTCATTTTGAAAAGCAGTTGCTGTTCTAGACATTTACCACCAGAGGGCAAGCCGCTGCATGGCTGCTCCTCACTGGTAAAGCCAGGTTTCCAATAGGGAAATGTCAGGGTGTACAGTTGAGAAGCAGAGGCATCCTGAGCAGCCGCTGCTCACGAGGAGGACCTGTTTTCATGGCCTCCTGGCCGGAACTGTCCCTGGGCTCTGCAGCCCCAGCCCTCACCACAGGCCGCAGTTGACCCTCTGCAGAAAAGCCTTCCTTTGAGCCCCTCGGTGTCTTCAGTTGTGAGCAGGCATGTCCGTAGAGCCTCTCAGTACCTGGCCCTTCACCCCAGCCAGATCTAGGCCGCAAGGCTGCTGGACCCTTCTAGGTGGACAGGCACTAGCCCCTTCAGGGGTATTCCCACCGTGCACTGGAGCCCTGGGCAGCCCAAGGAGTCCATTCCAGCCCTGCTGTTGAGGGGAGGAGTCCCCAGGAACCCCATGATAGGGAAGTGAGGGTGACTGTCTGGGGTGCCGTCTTAGCTTAGGTGGTTTATCTGAAACAAACAAACCAAAATCACAGTGACTTAACACAGTGGAAATCTAAAAGGAGTGTTCTCAATTGTCAGGCAGCTCTTCAGTGGAGATCTGCTGTCTTCTGCAGGCACCATGGAAGGGGAGTGGGGAGAGACACCCCCATGCCTGAGCACATCACCCAGCACTTCCCACATTGCTTCTGCCCACAGACCATGGATGCCACTAGGTGCCTGTTCCCCCTAAATCCTGGGGCCAGGGTGGCTAAGACATGGAGTGGTGGCTGGGCTGATGTTCTCCAACAGCAATTCTACCCTGGGAAGCGGGTGGACAGCCAGACCCAAAATGTCCAAGTTGCACCCACAGGAACTGCTTCTAACAGATTATTCTTGTTCTAGAACAATATTTCCTGAATTTGCTTGATTTTAAAAGCCACAGGAGATGCTTATTTAAAATGTTGCTTTTTGAGTCCCTTTCCTGGACACTTTGGTTTGGCCCATCCATTCATGGGGGCTTGGAACTCCCAGGAGCTGCACTGCTCTATTCTGGGAAACATTGTGGATGGGGAGAGCCTGTGCCACCCCCTGCCCCATGAGTAAGAAGCGAGGCTAACCCCTTCTCTGTTTGTGTAGTGACTCATAGAACTATGGGACAGGCTGCTGGGCACCACCCAAGGGAGACCTGTCCCTGAGCCAGCCCTGCAGCCCTCCCTGGGTGTGTCTGCCCTGCAGCTCAGATCTGGAAAGGGTGGCCACGTCAAGGCAGAACCCAGCAGGCTGCAGCAAAGCCAGGCCAAGCCACCCCTGACCTCTCAAATCAGAGCACTGCACTTTCCAATCCCAAGCCAGATTAATGAAAAGCCCGGAGCTGGTCATTGGTCAGCAAAGCTGCATTTCCCTTATTGGCAGCTTGGGGAAGCTGGAGAAGAAGAGGTGCGGGGGTGGAGAGGGGAATTATTTGCACCCACTTTTCCTCTTAAGCAACACTGGAGGGCAGCATTGAGTCAGTTTTTCCAATTTCTTACCAAATCAACTATTGGTGTTCAGTCTTCGATTTGATCTATTTCCTTGCCTTTTTGTTCTTGCCATGGCACCCTTGCCATGAACCATGGGCACCAGCAAAGAGGCAAAGCAGCTGGTCCAAGGTGGCTGTGCTTCTCTGCTGTGTGTGACTCCCAGGTGTGGGGCCTGCAGGGGAGCTAAGTGGAGCCCATGGAGGAGGCTGCTGCTTGTTGCGAGGAAAGACTTGGGGAGACCATCTCCCAGTTCCTCCTGCCCTTGTCCCTGACAATGCCCTTGGGAGGAGTCAACCGTGTCACTAGGCACTCCTCTCATCAGGTCCCCCAGCAGCTCAGAAGCTCCTAGAAGATCCCAAACCTGTAGATACCCCCTCCACCCTAGCCCTTCTGGAGTGAGCCAGGATTTCCCACGGGTGGTGAGTTTCACCACAGAAGTTTTGTGATGAGTCAATCCCTCTGAGAAATGACCAGCCAGTGGCTCATCACTGCAATCTCCACCTACATGTGACCTCCTCAAAAGGACCCCCTGACCCCATCCGAAAAAGGCTTCACCATCACTGCCTTCTGCCTGGTGTTTACCCTTCCAGGGCTCATCACCACCTGACATTATGAGATGTTTGTTAACCTGCTTATCTGTCCCCAGCACAGGTGAGCTTCCCACGGGCAGGGGCGGGTGGGTCCATGGGTCCCAGGCACTGATACAGACTTGTGGCACAAAATTACAAACCAGTAGAGGTCAGCAACACCCTTGCTCACCTGACTTGCACATTCGGCCCTTCTCTGGGACGAGACAGGAGAGCTGAGCCTCAGGCCCACCTGCAAGGTGGCCTCCCAAAGTGTGCCTAACCTGCCTAGATCCTTCCTAGAAATAGCAGAGGCAGCAATAGCTTTTTTCCCATTCTGCTGCCCAATGGAGTATCTGCCATTGGACAGACCCAAAGAGAGCCAGGGTCCAGGTGACGCTTCCAACTGCTCTCCACTGTCCGCAATAAATACGAAATTTTAAAAACTAGCAATAGTGGTTTTGGTCTTCATGCTCCTGCTGGCACAGATCTGTGTAGATGTCCACTCGGTGCATTTGTCACCCAGATACCTGGCTTGGGAATTTCCTTGCCATCCTGCCTGGGGACTGCCGGGGCTCCAAGCACGGCTCTGTCTCTTCTGTTCCAGCCGTGATCCCCCTGACGGATTCTGAGCACAAGCTGCTGCCTCTGCACTTTGCAGTGGACCCTGGCAAGGACTGGGAGTGGGGGAAAGACGACAACGATAACGCCCGGCTGGCCCAGTAAGATCCTACTCTGTCCCTTTCCCCAGCGCCCACAGGGAGGGCTATGGCTGGGGCATCCTGGGGAGGGAATGTACCACCCCTGCTCCTCCTGGGACAGCTGGCATGCAAGTGGACTGGGTGCTATAAGGGCCAGCTCAGACCATTTCAATAGGATATTCTTCTCTTGCCAGCCTTATCCTGTCGCTAGAAGCCAAGCTGAACCTTCTGCACAGCTACATGAACGTGACGTGGATCCGGATCCCCTCCGAGACACGGGTGAGCCTGGCTGTGCTGGGACCAGACCTGGCAGCAGGGTCCAGGCTGCTCAGCTCCAGTCTGACCAGGGTGCATCCTCCCAAATGCTCCCACACTCTTGCCTGCCCCTGCCCGGCCGCCCACCCCAGCCATACCCACAGCCCAGTAGCTCCTCCACCTCCTTTGACCTAGCCATCCCAGCTGCATGCAGCTGGGGCCACCCTGGCTATGGCTTGAAGTGGCTCTGGCTGGACCTAGTGGCTGTGTACACACATGTAGGCATGTGTGCATGCAAGCATGCGCTCTTGTAAAGGGATTTTTTGTCCCCCTATTTTCTGCAGAAGGAATCAACACGCCCACTCAGAAAACAAGCCACAGGCAAGTCACAACACAAAACTATCTGCTAAGATCAGAACACAATGTGCTGCCGCAGAGCGGAATTAATTACAAACCGTGTGGGTCCTCAAAAAAAGCCAGGGAACTGACAGCGCGATTCCTCGGCGCCCCCTTCCTCCCCTCCCAGAGGCAGCACACTGGTGGGTGGAGCTGGCAGGAAGGTGAGGAGAGGGGCCTACGCCCCATGAGGCTGCCTGCCTCCAGAGGGTCGGGGCTGCCCCTGCTTGCAAACGCTGAGGGATTCATTTTAAGCATCTGACTGATTGATGTTTTTTGAAATCTCAGTAGTGAACTGCCAGGGAAAAGGATTTGTAAAAAACAGCCTGCAAGTAATTGGTCCTCTCCAGACATTTACTTAAAGTGGGGTTCACAAAGAATTAGTAAAGGAGTGGCATGAGTCAAGGAGTCGGGCGGTGGCCAGCACTGCTCAGTGCTCTCAGACTCCAGCCTCTGCCTGTACGTCATCTCCCAGGGCTCCATGAGGCAGGGACTGATACCCCATTTTACTGATGGCATAAGTGACAGCCAGTCGGTGGCAGTTTGAGTCCTGCGTCTCAAAGGCCTGGAGCACTCCCGTAGTGCTGTGGCTGTTCTTCTTCAGCACCCACATGGGGAGTGATGGCAGTGGCTCGAGATGTAGAATCAGGAGGCTCTCGGGCTGAGAATAGCTCTGCCTGCAATTGCCAGGCCTCGGTGCCTTCATGTTAGATGCAGGGCTCTCAGCAGACAACTGTGGGAAGGGTCCTTCCAGCCAGGGACTCCTGAGCCCGCTCTCAGTGCGCTCCTGCTAGCACCAGGCGCACCTCCCTTCCTGGCCCAGCCCGAGTGTCCACCCTTTAGTGTCTCACGCACCAGTCTGAGACACTTCACACCTTCCTATCCCAGGTGGGAAGGGGAAAGGAATGTCAGAGTGGGAGGTGGTGAGGGTCAGTTCTGCCCACCTTTGCTTTGGGGTGACCTGGTCACAGGAGAGTCACCGACTCTTGAACTTGCTTGAAGGGTTTGAGGGGGGGACAAAAATTAAGTGGGAGAGCAATGGGCCTTCTCCCAGGCTCATCCCCTGGAAGCCAGGGACGCCTGTTCAGGTATGAGCACCAGTTCCTGCAGCACCCAGCGGCCAGCATGATGGGCCCTGCCTCTCGTCCAATGACACTCGGTCAGAATTCTCTCCTCACCCAGGGAGGTCCCTACAGAGTAGTAGTAGGTGCTGCCTGCCTCTCTGCTCTCCCACCTCTTTTCTCAGGGTCCCCCCACCCCAGATATGGTCGTGCCCCCCTCAGACTGGTTGACCTCATCAGTGGGTCTCATCCAAGAAGTGCTCCCCAGCGTCACCCCACCCCACCCAGGGGGACTTTTCTGGGAATGGGAACATCTTTTTTGCTGAGCGCAGGCCTATTTCAGAATCCTCCTCAATTTAGCATTCCATCTTGCCAAACTGAGTGAGAAAGGAACTCCTGAAGCGATTTGGCATCCCTGAATCAAGGGGGTGTTTGATCCAAGATCCGATGAATGAGGTTGAGTGCAAGGTTTCTGTCCCATGCCTGGCGTGAGGTGAGACATCTTTTCAGAGGAGGCACTTTTGTGCAGGCCCAGTGTCCTCCCCACCTGAAGGCCTCCATCCTTACAGAGGCCAGCCTGGGACCTGTGTCTGGTCAAGCAGGCGGCCTTGCCAGTGGGGGAAGGCCAGAGTCTGAACCTGACCGTTCTAAATTGTGACAAGGCTCTGGGGACCAAGACCAAGTAGGGTATCTGCACCCTGCTGCAATACCCTACTCAGGGTTCCAGGGTACCAAGTACCTGAGGTCCCCCAGAGAGAAAGAATGAGTACACCCCAGCTTCCCTGGCCAGAAGACACACGCAGTTAAGAGGTCCCTACATCCTTTTACTACCGCAGCAGATCAGAGCCCACTCCTATCTGCTCCTTCAGCACCGCCCATCCGGATGTCACAGTCACCAGAGCGACAGTGGGGACTGGGACAGTGAAGGTCCAGGGCCCTAGCCTCGGCAACACAGGGGCAAGGTGTGTCTTCCTCGCTGGCGCGTGGACAGCTCTTCTCTAACCACCTTCGATCCGGCCCTCCCTCTCCACACAGGCGCCCCTGGCACAGCCGGAGTCTCCCACGGCCTCGGCAGGGGAGGACGTGCAGTCCCTGGCCGACTCGCTGGACTCGGACCGCGATTCGGTGTGCAGCAATTCTAACAGCAATAACGGCAAGAACGGCAAGGACAAGGAGAAGGAGAAGCAGCGCAAGGAGAAGGACAAGACGCGCGCCGACTCCGTGGCCAACAAGCTGGGCAGCTTCAGCAAGACGCTGGGCATCAAGCTGAAGAAAAACATGGGCGGCCTCGGCGGCCTGGTGCACGGCAAGATGGGCCGCGCCAACTCCGCCAATGGCAAGAACGGGGACTCGGCCGAGCGGGGCAAGGAGAAGAAGGCCAAGTCGCGCAAGGGCAGCAAGGAGGAGTCTGGTGCGTCGGCCAGCACGTCGCCGTCGGAAAAGACCACGCCGTCGCCCACAGACAAGGCAGCGGGCGCGTCGCCGGCGGAGAAGGGCGGTGGGCCGCGGGGCGACGCCTGGAAGTACAGCACGGATGTGAAGCTGAGCCTCAACATCCTGCGCGCCGCCATGCAGGGGGAGCGCAAGTTCATCTTCGCCGGCCTGCTGCTCACCAGCCACCGGCACCAGTTCCACGAGGAGATGATCGGCTACTACCTGACGAGCGCGCAGGAGCGCTTCAGCGCCGAGCAGGAGCAGCGGCGCCGCGACGCCGCTACTGCGGCCGCCGCTGCCGCCGCCGCCGCCGCCACGGCCAAGCGGCCGCCGCGCAGACCGGAGACGGAGGGCGTGCCGGTCCCGGAGCGCGCCTCTCCGGGCCCACCCACGCAGCTGGTGCTCAAGCTCAAGGAGCGGCCGAGCCCCGGGCCCGCGGCAGGCGTGCGGCGCGGGCGGCGGCGGGCGACACGGCCTCCCCGGGGGGAGGGCGCGCGGCGTGCGGGCGCCAGCGGACCAGTCCCTGGACGCAGCCCCCCGGCGCCAGCGCGCCAGAGCGTCATCCACGTGCAGGCGTCGGGCGCGCGGGACGAGGCGTGCGCGCCGGCCGTGGGGGCGCTGCGGCCGTGCGCCACGTACCCGCAGCAGAACCGCTCGCTGTCGTCGCAGAGCTACAGCCCGGCGCGCGCCGCCGCCCTGCGCACCGTCAACACGGTCGAGTCGCTGGCGCGCGCGGTGCCCGGGGCCCTACCGGGCGCGGCGGGGACGGCGGGGGCGGCCGAGCACAAGTCGCAGACCTACACCAACGGCTTCGGCGCCCTGCGCGACGGCCTGGAGTTCGCCGACGCCGACGCGCCGACCGCGCGCTCGAACGGTGAGTGCGGCCGTGGCGGCCCGGGGCCGGTGCAGCGGCGCTGCCAGCGCGAGAACTGTGCGTTCTACGGGCGCGCCGAGACCGAGCACTACTGCTCCTACTGCTACCGCGAGGAGCTGCGGCGGCGGCGCGAGGCGCGCGGGGCCCGGCCCTGAGCGGCGCGGCGCGGCGCGGGCGGCGAGGTTCTACCTTCGAGGATTTCTTTTCCATTGTGTCGGTGTCTTTTTTACATGCCCTGGTCCACCGGAAGGCCGGCGCCTCCTCTGTCAGTGCCGTGTACGTGTTTGGTCAAACGTTCCTAATGGTGCCTGAACCTACACTGACGCCACTCAGGTAGTAGACGGATAGGAAACAAGTCATACTGTTGGAAGTGGGTGTGCTAGCCTAGCATCTGCCTCGTACCTGTGGAAACTCAATAGCCATTGCAAGAGTATTTTTGTTCCTCAGTAAGAGAAATAAAGAAATTCGCAGCCCTTTGTTTTAAGAAGGGAGTGTTTTACATGCTTTTTTTGCTTTTTTTTTTTCTCCTACCCTAGCGATGACCTCTTCCAGGTAGCGGTCCCTTGTGCGCGGTTGGTAGTACCCAGGGCTTAGAGCGAGCGCGCACCCGGGGCTGCGGTGGAGGCTCCTCTGTGAGCTCTACCTGCCTCCCATCCCGAGGCCTAGGAGAAGGCGGGTACCTGGCCGCCAGCTGACGCCCTGGTGGTCACTGTGGCCCTTTAGAAACACACAGCTCCATTTCATAAGCAAAACCTCCTCCCCCAGCCCCGGCTCAAGCACCATTCACACTGCCATCCAAGCCGCGGGCGGCCGTGGAAAGGGCACTGGACCACCCGTCTCGCGGGCGCCGTGAGGTACAGCGATGGCTCCCAGTGCCGGGCAGTTCAGGTGACAGGAGCTTTCCAAAGACACCTAGGGTCCAAAAAGCAGGGTTCCCATCTCACAATTTGGATTTGCTCATAGAGGAGCAGATAGGACAGGCTGCTCACATTTCTCCTTTGAAGGCACTTCCACAGTGGACTGTCGCTGGCGGGCCCCTGGGCGGTGACCATCGGTGCCCCGGGAGACAGCGAGGAATTGACCCTTTGGTCACTGTGTAAGCCCCCACTAGGCTGCTGCTCTTTCCAAAGGGAAGGGGCTGGGGGAACCAGGAAGGAAGCCCACCCCCACACCTGCATCTGTCTGGGTTCAGCCAGGTAAAGGGACTCACTGTGATCGTGGCCCCTCCACGGGGCAGGACGACCCTGCCTCCGTCTCGTGACACAATGAGGGAGCAGCCCGATCCCTGAGCGGTCTCTTTTTTGGTGCCTCCTACATTTCTTGAGGAAAAAAAAAATGTGTCCTTAGCTACCCTGTTTTGAGCAGCAATATGCAGCCTCTTCCTTCCAAGATTACCTCCGGAGAACACCGTTCTTGGCCAAGGACACTGAGGAGCTAAATCTGCCTCACTAAGGAACGAGCTTGTTTCCAAGAAATGAGGATAAGATGGGTAAAATCCTCACTAACAAAGAATACTATAAAACCTGTGAGAGCCTTAGAATAGCTTCTAATAATCCTAGGACAGGAGAAAGCGCCTGGCTTTGCTGTGAGTGTATCCTCAGAAAAAGCAGGAGGTCGACCATCTCTTCACTGGAGCCAGCTTCTCCTCTAGAAACGATGCTTTTTTCCCTAACTAAAGAGCAGCAAAAACAAAAAAAAAAGGGGGGCGAGGGGATTTTTTTTACTTGTTTGAGAAATTATAATAAAATAATTGAGTATCTCCTGTGAGTAATGCCTTTTTGTTTTTAATTATTCCACAGCAGGTGGAGTTTTCAGTAATTTGTTCAAGTTTTGCATAAGTGGTTCCTTAAATCAAAAATTATTTATTAAATAGGATCTTTAAGAAATTTTTTGAAAGTTTACTTTTCCTGCTGAACAATATTTTCAATGTGTGGTAATTACTGTACTAACATCCATGTCCCTAATATTACTGGGGTTTCTTTTATTACTCAGAAAACAAAAGTGGTTTTTTAAAAATCTCATGGAGAGGGTCTGTGGCAGCTTTCTGGACTGATTCTTCGTGTCACGCTGAGCAGCTGCTTTGGCATCCAAAGCTGTGGGATCACAGAAAGTGTTGCTTCAGGTGTGGATGCCAGCCACTCCTCATGCTCGTCACTCTTAAAAGATTGAGACACCCAACCTTAAAAATGCTCCAATAATCCATTCAGAAACCAAACTCATATGCACAAGATGTCAAGGAGGCATAAAGTCAATTCTTGCTTGTTTTTTTCATTTCTTAATGTAAAAACAGCCAACCAGAAATTTCTAAAACTGGCTATGCTAATTCAGATATTTTCTTTCTCACGCTATCTGCCAGGTTTGTCTAATTTAAAAAATAAAAAAATAAAACAGAATAAAAACCGTCCATTGTAATAGAGGAAAACCTTCCAAACCAGGCAGAGTACGTAATTATCAAAACACCAGGACCTATTCTACCCTTGCATTTCCAAGTTACCTCCACCCATCACCATCTGATGACAGATGTGCCCTAAATAAGAGCCTGAGATAAAGCCACTGGCTGCATCCTGCACCCCAGCTTCTCAATGTGGTAACGAGGCGCCAGACGCCTGTAGACACCTGCTCCAGGCTGATACATTACCACTCAGTCCACATGACTTAGGAATAGCCATTTCCTTTTGTGAGAGAGCTGGATCCATCCTTCCTCTAAACAGTATTAAAAATGCAAAAGGGAGAGAGCCGATGGTCATATTAAATGTGCTAGTCCCGTGCACCGATAGCATGCTCCTTGAGAAGAGGCGTGTAGACCTCGTCCCTGGCCAGAGACCAACTTCAGCAGGCTGGCCAGAAACTATTAAAAACTGTGTTGACTGCATGTGGGCCAAGGGCTTCCCTCGTGTTCCATGGCGTGAGGCCCCTTTGTGGAGCAGGGAGAAAGGGAAGAAGGTGAGTCCTACCGGGGTGCATGGCCCTGCTGCCCTAGCTGACCCTGCCTGAGAGCAGCCTTCCCCACCTGATCTGGCCACACTTCCCTTTCTAGGAAGGACAGGTGTCTCCAAGGGACTGCAGGTTTCCAGAGGATCCCAGATACTTCTAAACCCCTGCGAAGGTTATTTCAGAAATTTACTTTACATTTCCTGCACATTTGTTATCTGGGTAAATGATTTTTTTAATATATTGTTAAGGGAAGGTGTTTTTCAGTGTATTCTGTTGGTAGATTTTATGCTGTGTTACGTTGAAATTTTACAAGCCAAGTTTAAACTGTACTATAAAAATTATTTTTGTATTATTTTCAGAACATGCCACAGAGCAATATTTTGCACCCGTTATTGCCACAGGGTTGTCCCTTGGAAGGGTAACTGGAGGTGGGAAGGAGCTCCACTGTGGGCTCCGGGGGGTTAAACGCTTTTTGCTGCTTGTTCAAATACCTTCTGAAAGTGGGAATGTATCAGTGTCTTTTTTTATTGAAAGCTTGATTTCCTTTTTTCTGTTCATGGATTTTGGTACTGCACCTTTCCTCTTAAATGAATACTTTGTATTCACTAAATTACTGTGGACCTTTTCATACCTATTACCACCCAGTGGCATTTGAATCTATTTACAAATCGAATGTTTTCCCAAATGATTTAATTTACTACTTCTCGTAGCTTACTGTCAAGAATTGGGGGTGCTGAAGATAAAAGGACTCTCCATGCCCCCCAGGTGCACACCTCAGGGTGTGGACATCCTCCATGCAGAGCCCGCCCTGTCTCTGGGGAGGGGTCATGGGCCCATCACCCACCCCCCCCCCACTTAGTGTCCACAAACTTATTTTGCGAACTATTCTACTTTGCAAAAATAAACTTAAAATATACTTCCCATTGGTTAAGATAAAAGGGCTGTACTTATCAGTGGTGGGAAATTTGTACAAGAAAAAACAGACTTTTCCAAATCCATGTGTGTAAGTTCCATTCCATGTGAGTCTTTTATTTACGAAGAGACCTGGAGTAAAAGCTGAAGGCATCTACTGTATGTTTGGGGCTCCTTTCTTTATGGCCATGATTTTTTTTCTCCTCATCTTGGTGTGGACTTTAAAATTAAGTACCCCCAGTGTTCTGTCCTTTTTCTTTCCTCAGTGCTTCTAATAGATAAGAAGAAATGTGTTTCTGTGGCTGAGCAAGCCCTGCTGGGCCAGACAGACCTTACCAGCCCTGGCTTCATCCTCGCTGGGCTGCAGAGGCGGCCCCTGCTCTAGTTGAGTCCGGTTCTGCTGCCAGCTGAGGACAGACACACCGTATGAAGGGCCTAGAGGTGGCTGGCATGCCAGGGAGCAGGTGGCCCCTTCCAAAACGCCTTAAAGTGGTGGCTCTCTAGAGATCTGAGGCACCACCTTCCCATTTACTCCTGACTCTAAACTCTAGCTGGCCTGTTTTAGTGTGGCTGGCCGGGGCAGTGACCAGCGCTCAGCTTTGTTCTTGTTTAATTCAAGTCCACCCTGTTGCCCGTGTCCTCTCCACAGCTCTGGGTCTGTTGGCCCGGAGTGTATTTCTGCCAGTGCTGCCTCACTGACTCGGGAGTGGGTCCTGGGTAGTTCACGATAGAGAGGCCAGCACACGCCATGGGGAGAGCCCCCCACGCTCACCCCAGGAGGCCCTGCGGCACATCCAGGCTGGACCACTCTGCAAGCTTCTGTCACAAAAGACAGCTCCGGGCACTGTGCAAATTGGCCTGTTAGCAGTTATGCAGGTCCCTTCTTTGCCAAAAGATCTATTATTCCTCCCCACTGCACCCCCAGCAGAAAAGAGCGAGGGAGATGCCCTGCAGGGACCCCTTGGGAACAACAGTTATGTGCAGTCTGTGCAGTATGAAGAACTTGGCCCCACCAGGCTGAGCCGAAGACACACGTAGTTGCAGAGTAGCACTGAAGCCATCATCTCCAACCATGCTAGTAATGTTACTGTTTCTATTTATTTTGCCAAATGATTTGTTGAAAATTGCATTTTTGCTATTTTAATCTTGCCAAAAAAGGGGGCCTCACTAATCCTAATTATGTACATACAGAATGATGCACATTGCTTGCATCTTTTTATTCCTCCCAAAGAGCATATCAAGGATATATATATATACATAATTTGTTAGTTTAACATAAGGCGAAGAGTACCATTTGGTTTTAAGAGTAAATATAGGCTGAATTTATTCAAGACCAAAGCAACCTATTTAATGAGGACAAATGAGTGAAACCAGCTGTTTTAGAATTTATCTGCAGACACTGGAGTGCTCCTTTAAACGAAGAAACAGCCTCCCATGGCAGAGGAAAAGCCAGGTCCTTACAAAGGCCTCTCCCATCCCAGTACTTCTTCTGCCTGCTGCTCTGCCCTGGGACGTAGGCCTTCCTGCCGTTTCTAGTCACAGGCACCCTCCTGCCTCAGGGCCTTTGCACATGCCATTCCTTCTACCTGAACATTCTTCCCCAGAGAGCCACATGGTTCACCCCTCACTACCTGCCAGTCTTTGCTCCAATGTCACCTTTCAACGAGGCCTTCCCTGACTTATTTAAAAGGACAACACACCCCACCCTCCCTCCCTACCCACCTCTCTGCATCTTCTTCTTGTGCACCTATCACCATCTGAGTGCTGCAGATGTTAATCATTCATCCATTTATTTGATTCTCGCCTCCCCATCTCCCATAGACTGTAAGCTCCATGTGGGCAGGAACTTTTATATGTCTTGCTCATTGCTGTATCCTGGTGCCTACAACAGTGCCTGACACATATTAGGCACTGGATAAGTATTTATTGAAAAAAGGAAATTAAATCAGTAAATTGAAAACTATTAAGAGGCCAGAAAATGTCAATTTCAGCTTTCATCAAATCTAGGTTCTATTATTGTGAGAACTTTAGCTGACCCAGTGACCTGGCTCCTATGGGTACAAGATGGTTAGATACACCGGGCAGCAGCGGTGGCTTCTGTTCACAGACAAGTGAATGCCTGCCCTGCCGCTAGCCCCACCTCACAAATATGAGGCTCACTGTTCGCAGGGGAGCATTTTGGAACCAGCTGGGATGAAGACAGTTTTCTGCAGGTAGCTTTTGTAGCCAGATGCACAGTAGTGGGTTCCCATCACTCCATGAGGTCACTGTAGACCTGGACCATTCCAGAGAATCCTTTGTAATCAGTCTTTAGGTGTCTCCCAGTCCTTCCCAGTTCAACACGGGTGGCAGCAGATGGCCCAGCCCAGGGAAAGTCCACCTGACCATTAGAAGGACTCATCCTCCAGCCACCAAAGCAAGGCTGCAGAGGAAGAGGAGCTTGTCACAAACATTAACCGGCTCAGGGCTGGGTAACTGCATTGACAAATTTGGAAGCAGCAGGGCCAGAGAGCCAAGGCCCCCGGGTATCCCCATTGGCCACTGGTGGAGGTGCACTGGAAGGTCAGGGCCTTGACACCACAGAGCCAAGCAACACACACCTCCTTGGGCCCAGGCCCCAGCACAGTGGCCCTCCAGTGCTGGCAGGTGGCCTCACCCACAGCAGGGGAGGCGTGGGTCCTCCAATGACCTTCCTGCCCCTGCCAGATGATTTTCACAACTACCTAACTTTGGTGTTTACTTCTAGGTCCTTTGGCCAAATGCGTTTTCTTCTAAGAGTTGTTGGCAAAATACTGTTACAAGCTTCTTATGGGACTTTTGTCCTACTGTGGCCTGGTTAAAGGCTTTGTCCTCCTGTTTAATCCACTTCCGTGGTTTTGCTGTCATTTCTCTTGATGCCATATTTTCAGGTCCCTCGTGGGAGGGGGCATAAGGTCTCCATCGTGATGCCCTCTCTGCAGCTGTCCAGCCAGCAGTGAGTGGGCCCACACATGTGCATTCCTGTGCTTGAATTGCCAAATAAACAGTGTCCCTTTCATTGCTGCCCAAACAGACTGGAAGCCTGCTCCTGCCAGCACTCAGGGAGGGAGTGTGTGCTTCCCAAGAGCCTGCCCCCTTGGCCCATGCAAACTTTCTCCATGGCAGGTGTCCGTGAAGGTCTCCCAGGCCCTATGGGCTGTCCAGCTCTTTGCACACATTCTTCCCGCTTGCAGGAATGGAATCCAAACACCTGATACGGAATGATGACTTGGCAGTGGGGAGTGGGGCAGCTTGTCTCCACTAACTTAGGACCAAAACTAGGAAACTCACCATGAGCATGTGTTGGAGATCAGCTGTGGCCTCCAGCCCCTGTACACACAGAGGCAAGCCCCACCTCTGACAGAGCCAGTCACCGTTCAGTAGGAGCTTGTCTTCCCTGGGCCCCCAGGTGGGAAAGGCTGGGCTCTTAGTCCTACAAGTAAAGGCGCTGTTAGGAGCAAGGAGCAGGCTTAGCTGGGTCCACAGAGGGACTAAGCTCCTTAGTGACCTGTTACTGCCTCATCTACGGAGTTTGAACTCCATTCACCATCACCTTTGAGAATTTGGCCTTGTTTTAACTAAGGATTGTTGAAGTTAATTATAACAAGGGACCATCCTCACCCTGTGTTTGCTTTGTTCCATTAAACGTGCGTTTGGCCTAATGAAGTCAGTGAATGTTCCTCTTTTTTCTTTTTTGGTTTCTTTGACTGATTTTTGGATGATATATGTTGCTTTATTTCTCCCATTTTCTTTGATTACTGTGGACAAAGGAAAACACTGAGGCAAAAGTAGGTCGTCAATCACATTACTTTGACCCAGTTGTGCAGAACCCCTTTCTACCTGCAGGTGTTAATTCCAATTCAATGCAAATATCCTTTTCAATCCGGTCCATTCTTGGAGAAGAAACCCATTGTAAGAGCTGTCTTCTGTGGTTGGGATATTACTTTGTAAAGTATTAAAGCACTAAACCAGTTTTTGCAATATGTAGTAAATCTTGCTTTCATTTTGGAAAACTTCCAGTAATGACTACTGCACTTTTTATAGAAGAATTGTATTTAATTTCTTTCTTTTATGAAAGATTATTTCAAGTAAAAATAGCTCTGTAATCTGTGTGACATGGCTTCTCCATTACCTGACACAGAGAGAAGCTTTGATGCCTACTCAATAAAATTAACATGTTTGTAAAGTATTGGTTGGTCCAATTATTTGCCCACTGACTCCTGTGTTCTTGGTAAAATGCCATCTAAGAAAAGCTTTATTGCCAAGAGGAAGAGGACTATATCAGACATCCATCCATACCAGTTTTGTTTTGTTTAAGTGTTTTCCCAGCCAGATGAGATGTAAACCCAGTTGTCACCATTTCATTCTCTTTTTTTTTTTTTTTTTTTTTTATTTGAGACGGAGTCTAGCTCTCTGTCACCCAGGCAGTGGCGTGATCTTGGCTCAGTGCAACCTCTGCCTCCCAGGTTCAAGTGATATTCTCCTGCCTCAGCCTCCTGAGTAGCTGGGATTACAAGTGCACACCATCATGCCCAGCTAATCTTTTTTTTTTTTTTGTATTTTTAGTAGAGACAGGTTTTCACTACTCTGTTGTTGGCCAGGCTGGTCTCAAACTCCTGACCTCAAGTGATCCACCTGCCTCAGCCTCCCAAAATGCTGGGATTACAGGCGCGAGCCAGCACGCCTGGCCAAGTTTCATTCATATAAGAGGAAAATAGTTTCTCTCCTTTCTAAAATGACCATGACACATTCTATCTGGATGAAAGCTGTATTTAGTCTGTTTTCACACTCCGGATAAGGACATACCTGAGACTGGGTAATTTCTAAAAAAAAAAAGAGGTTTAATGGACTCACAGTTCCACGTGTTTGGGGAGGCCTCCCAATCATGGCAGAATGCAAAAGGCAAGTCTTACGTGGCAACAAGCAAGAGAGAATGACAGCCAAGTGAAAGGGGAAACCCCTTATAAAACCATCAGATCTCATGAGACTTACTACCACGAGAACAGTATGGGGGAAACCGCCTCCATGATTCAATTATCTCCCACCAGGTCCCTCCCACAACACATGGGAATTATGGGAGCTACAATTCAAGATGAGATTTGGGTGGGGGCGCAGCCAAACCATATCAAAAGCTGAATAGGGTTGTCCTTAACATGTCTTCACCAGAGGTTGCAACCATAAGCAAGAGAATGGCAGCTGGGAGCATAGAGGAGGAGGAGGAGGATTTTGCCGTGAATTTTTATCTGTGAGTGCTCTTCTATGGAGGAGAGGCGCTGCCTCTGTAAAAGAAAGAAGCCCCCTCAGGAAGCTGTGGGTGGGGTCCAGGCCACAGGCCTATCTAAAGAAGGTGTGATGCACCCAGGACTCAGTCCCAACCCACTGTGTGCCATGCACTGGGACAGTGATGGAGGAGGTAATGACAGGGTCTCACGCACTGAATAGGCATCATTGGGGGGTGGCACATTCTGTGCCTAGTGGAATTCAATCCATGCAGCAACCGTGTGAGATAGCAAAATCTCTGTGTTGTAGAGAAGAAAAGTAAGGTTTGGCGAGGTAAGTCGTAAAGCCAGGATTCCAGCTCAGGTGTGTCTGACATGAGGGTCTGTGCTCCCAGCATCAGAGTACATTGTCATCCTGAGGAATGGGCAAGGCCCCTGCCCAGGAGGAGCTCAGAGTCTGGGGGATGGTGACACCCAAGTCCATCTGGCTCCAGGTGGGGGGTGAGTTAGCACAGATGGGAGAAGGACAGGAAAGATACCTGGCAGGGCTGTGGGATTTGCTGGAGCCATGGCCACTACATACCCATGGAATCCTGTTAAGGCCAATGGGACCATCCGTTTCTGGCTCTAATGTTTTTCTACACGAGGAAACAGGAAACTGTTCTTAGTTTGTTCAGGACAAGCAGAGAATCCCGTATGAAAGACAAAATACTGCATTTGAAGCTTTGAAATGTGCTTAGAAGACTATATAGGATGATGGTAGGAACCCTGGATTGGGCTGGCCCCAGAATTGACCTTGAGGAAGGCATCTCACCCCTCCAGCCCCAGGTTTCTGTTCTGTAAAAAGCGACTCAAGGCTCTTGAAGTTTCCCCACCAAATCAAAAAATCTGTGTATTATTTAGAAAAACAGAAGTCACCTCAGTTATTTTGACAGAGAATTTAATATAGGGAACTAGTCAAGCAGGTATTGGAAGCCTAAAAAACACAAAAAGGAGACATACACGTCCCACGGAGAGAACATACAGGAAGCAGCTTCCTCACAGGGTCAGGGGCAAAGCAAAGAGAGCATGTTGTTAAAATCCACAGGCAGATAGGGCAGGGCTCCACCGCGTTGAGGTCAGACCTTTGAAAAGGGAGCTCTTCCCAGCTGGTGCCTGTGCCTCAGGAAGCCAGAGGGGGAGGCTCGCAGTGCTAGGCTCAGATCACCAGGGAGGGGTTGCCGGTGTCTCAGTAGAGGCTGTGATTTGGCCACTTCTTTCCTGTGGGGGGAAGAATGAAATTGAAACAAACTGCAGCTAGCAAGTGAAGAGCTGTTGCTAAGACAACATTGAGAGAAACTGGAAGCAAAAGGAATGAGCAAGTCCTTATGTGTCTTGACCCACCTACACACATGCATATATATGCATGTATGAACGTACATGTATGTGTGTATACACGCACACTGAGCAAGAAGAAAGATAGGCAAATATGCCTCCCTACTGCAGGCCCCCTGGAACTGAAGCTGGCCACAGAGCACTGTTGGTGTTTGAAACTACCTTCTTCCATAACCATTCCATGTTGGCTTTGCTCTCAGGCAGACCTCAGGTTGTTGGGATTCTTTACCTGAAGGACAATCCAAACTTTCATTCCTGTAGATGCTGAGTCCTCACAAGCCCTTTTTTTCAATGCCATCATTTACCATTAACTTATTTTTGGATGTGGACAAAATTAAAGGCACCCCAAAGAGTCCCCTAGATTTCAGACATCATTTATTGGCCCCCATTATGTAGCAACAACTCATTCAGTCACCCAGCCAATAGAGTAACGACTTTCTTTGCATTGATTCACCCAGCTCAGAAGCCCAAAATGGCCAAGTCTCAGCTCCAGGTTCAGCGAAATCACTGTGCTGCCTTTTGGGAAGCTCCCTGGGGAAGTAAGAACTACAAAACAGAAAAGCGCTAAGGTGTGGAGCAGGGGAGGTATAGATTCTTGGTTACGAGGTATGGGGCAGGGGCAGGTACAGATTCTTGGTTACAAGGCTTCATAGTGACAAGAGCTCCTCACATGCCCACCTCTTGTTTCCCAGACCATGTGTTCCGGCCATGGGATCATCATATGGCAGACCATATGGCAGTTGCTGATTCAAATCCCAAACTCCATCTGTAAGGTAGAACTCCGACCTTTCAGGGAGCTGTCTCCCTGCTGGCATACTAACTGAGTCTTCACTAGGCAGGACCACAGCACTATCAAGCCAGCTGCTTCTGGGTCAGTGGGATGTGGAGTAAGTGAAATCCTTGTGCATGATCTCATTGCTTTAAAATTGAAATTCTTCATCAGAAGTAACACTGTGTAGAATACCACAGCGATGAATAAGGCACTCTTTAAGTCCACGATAGTGGCTTTTGGCAGCAGCATTGCAGACAGGGAAAGCAAATCTGAATCCAGGGCACACCTATTCCAGTGAGGGAAAATTATTTTCCTTTATGAATGGGGTCCAGCTGGCCAACAGGAATCTGGCTGGCCCTCCCCAGGAATGCACCACAGGGGAGGCTGTCAGAAGATCACTCCAACAAAGCAGTGGTGGCCTCCAGGCTGGCCTTGGCAAGAGGAAATTCATGTCGTGTTCATTCACAGCCTCCATCCCTGTAATCATGGTCCTGGGCGCATTGAATAAACATCAGGATGGCTGGTGGGAGGGTCAGCTAGCATCACAGAGCATGCTTTCTTGTCCACCTGAGTCTCAAGAGCCTCCTCTGCAGAGGGAGCTCCTGGTGAGCATAAACATGCCACCCAAATATCTCCAGTCTCTTTACACCTTCTGAGCGATCCATCCACATACATCCTACTCCACCTTCCCGTACATACATCTGTTACCATGCTTCCTTGTCACCAACCTTGGAATCCTGTTCTTTCCAAGTTCCTGAGCATCTAGTCAAATTGTTTTCACCTGCCCATGAATCAGTGTAACTCATGGTTTTTCAATAGTGGCACTATTGAAATTTGGGGACAGATCATTCTTTTCTGTAGGGAACAGTCCTGTGTGCATTGTAAGATGTTCAGCAGCATCACTAGCTGACTGTGGTGGTTAGTTTTACGTGTCAACTTGACTGGGTTAAGGGATGCCCAGCTAGCTGGTAAGCCATTATCTCTGGGTGTGTGTGAGGGTGTTTACAGAAGAAGTTAGCATTTGAATCCATAGACTGAGTAAAGATGGCTCTCAGCAATGTGGGTGGGCCTCATCCAAATCGTTAAGGGCCCACATAGAACAAAAAGGCCCCTAGAGGAAGGTTGAGTTTACACTCTCTGCTTGAACTGAAACATCCATCTTCTCCTGCCCTTCTGCTGGCTCTCCAGCCCTCAGACTGAGACCAGACTTACACCATTGGCCTCCTTGGTTCTCAGAGCTTTGGGTTCAGACTGATGCTACATCAGGGGCTTTCCTGGGCCTCCAGCTTGCAGGTGCAGCTCATGGGACTTCTCGGCCTCCACAATCACGTAACCAAACCCCTCATAATAAATCTGTTTTTGTGTATCTCTCTATATTCCATTGGTTATGCTTCTCTGGAGAACCATGACTAATATACTGACCTCCACTCACTGGATGCCAGTAGCACCCCCACCTAGTTATGGCAATCGAAAATGTCTCCAGACATTGCCAAATGTCCCTGGGGACTGGAACTGGAGAGCACCCACTGCTGAGAATCACTAGTGTAGGTTAATTCTTCTGGCTGTCTTTCGGTCCAGAAAAGCGAGAGCCATTTGTTCTGTTCAAGCGCCATCCACTGGGACAATTTCCCTTCCCTGCCATCTTCCAAGGACACTCCAGAATTCCCAGGGCCCACTCTCAGCTGGTACCCACTATCCCAGATAACCATCTGAAGGCTGGTCTCAGCCATTTGGTCACGGGAGTTTCTGTGAGCCACAGACAGATTGAGAGAGGAGTCAACACAAGCAGGAGTGCATGTCACAGGGGTCTCAGCCACCTGTTCACACACTGACACGTGCCTTCTGGATTTTCTCCAACCCATCCTCTCATACCCGATCTTCACTTGATGACAGCTTACAGCTGCGTGTGCCCAACCTTATGGATGGGCGGGTCGAGTAACACCCAGTCTTTGATGGCCAGCTTAGTATTGCAGAGTCAGCTGATGTCCCCAGTCATCTGTTCAGTCCTTACCAGGACCCAGGGGTACGCCAGGAGCTGCTTTTTAGAAAGCAGAATGTATATATAGAAGAAGGCATGGGTTTGCTCCAGAATATGGAGTTCAATACTACAGTTCACCTCCTGGAGCTCTCTGCTATGTTGCTGTTGGCCACAAACACTTGAGCACCACTGAATCTGTTGGGTGATGAGGCCCAGGGGACCCCACCTGCAACTGGTAGTCTCAAAGTCACCCTGGTCAATGCATTGGGATAGCACCCCCAAATCATGTATAGGATGCCTTCAAAATGCAAAAAGTCTCAGCAAGCATCATGCCTCATTTTGGGGTATGACCACTTATCTTTCACTTTCTTGGGGTGTCCTGAAATGCTCCACAGGATCCTCAGCCACTTCACCAAGTGGGTGAGCCCCTGAGCATTTATGGGGTTCATCTCCTACTTTTGTGTCTTACCAAGGTGATGGCAGTGGCTGCTGCCATCACACTGGCTGCAGAAGGGAGGTGGCTGGGGCTGCACACTCCATGGAGCTGGTGGGAGCCCTGCGCTTCTGAGTTGGGGCAGAAGCTCCCTGAAAGTCGCTGTGGCCACCCAACCCACAGCTGCAGACCCAGGCCTCCTGTGCTTCGAAGAAGGCAGGAGCCCCGCCCTCCTGGACAAGGCTACAGCCGTCCAAACTGTAGCTGTGCTTCCAAGCCTCCCTGTGCTCTTGGAGGGGGGCAGGAGCAGGTAGGAGCTGCCCTCCTGGGTGCAGCTGCCTGAGCGGCGGCTGCAGACCTGGCCCTCCTGCTCCACAGAGCAGGAAGGCGCTAGGGACAAGCAGGACCCCCGCCCCTTCCAAGTTGGTGGGGCGGGAGCTCTCCAGGTGCAGCTGCAGCCCTCCCAGGTGCAGGACGGGGGCATCTCTGCAGCCTGTAGCCTCGGCCCCCATCCTCCATCCCTGCAGGCTCAGGGGTGTCTGCTTCCACTGCCTGGCCCCTCTCCTCTCTGGCACCTGCTCCAATCTCGAAGCCGGGTTGGGGCCAAGCCCTGGGGCCACGAATGGCAACGGAAGGCCTGGGCAGAAGTCGGGGGCGGGGGGTCCCTGTAAGACCCCACCTTCAGGTCAAGGAGGGCCTGAAGGCTGGGGCCGGGCTACCAGTCCCACGGACCAGAGTGGGGACTCGTGGTGCCTCCTCTGGCCCACCCATGGCCACCAGTGGACCAGTCAGCATGCACTTCCTCCCCTCTGAGGTCCATAACAGCCCTGCTCTCAGCCAGAGCAGGACAGAGGACGGTCAGCCAGAGGCCGGAGAGATGATGGGATGACCAGCTGCAGAGAGGAGCTACTCACTGTGGGTCTTCTCTGAGCTGTTCTAATACTAAATAAAGTTCTTCGTCTTCTTCACTCTTCACTTGTCTGCGTACCTCATTCTTCCCAGATGCAGGACGAGAACTCGGACAAAGACGCCATGGAGGTTTCCAGGAAGAAAATCAACACCAATCAACTCCCCAAAGATCCCGAAACAAAGGATCCTAATGTACTTGCTACTCCCGTCCCATCAGGACCAATCAGCATAGTGTCAATGGTGTGGCCCACTATGGTTTTCTGTGGCATCTCTGTGGATGCTATCATGGCAGAGAGAGCAGGAAAACTGGCATAACCCTGAGGCAAACTGGGAAGGGGTGCTGTGGGTGCCCTAGACACGAGCAGACTGTTTCTGGTGTTCCTGGAAATTGACATAGAGATTAAGAGCCAACTCTCAGTGCTGCGGGGCTGCAACTGTGGCTCCCAATGAAGAAGCTTCAGGCAAGGCGCTGTGGCTAACACCTGTATTCCCAGCACTTTGGGAGGCCAAGGTGGGTGGGTTACCTGAGGTCAGGAGTTTGAGACCAGCCTGGCCAACATGATGAAACCCCATCTCTACTAAAAATACAAAAATTAGCTGGGCATAGTGGCATGTGCCTGTGATCTCAGCTACTCGGGAGGCTGAGGCAGGAGAATTGCTTGAACCCAGGAGGCGGAGGTTGCAGTGAGCCTAGGTTGCACCACTGCACTCCAGCCTGGGCAACAGAGTGAGACCCAGTCTCAAAAAAAAAAAAAAAAAAAAAAAAAAGGAATCTTCATCCAGAACAGCAGCTGCAAATGGAGTCACCAGCTGGTTACCTTCACTCTGGAGCACTGTATTTCCCCAAGACGCGTCTGTCTTCAGTAGAGGTTAAGCAGGCCAGGGAAGCAGAGACATAATAGGAACTTCCACCCTGAAATCTCTCGAGTAGTTGATAGCGGCACTAATCTCTGCAACTCCCCTAGGATGTGGGGTTAATTACTTTTGATTTACTATTGAAGTAGGGAGGGAAAATTCCCTTTCTTTCCACTTTCCCTTTCTTTCCACTTTCTACCAAAATGGCATTCACTCCGTGGCAGAAGAGCCAATGTGGGGGCTCTGCTGGTTGCTGAATGGAACTATTTCAATTGTACATTCAGAAATGGGAGACATGACCCCCGGAGAGCCCGCAGACACCGTCCCATGGAAATTCACACCTGGGACCAAACACTTTTTATCATCTGACCTCCATAAGCCCCCACTTTGACTGCTGGGCCATGGTAGTGTCTTGAAGTCCCCCAAATCGGTGACATCTCAGAGCCAGTGCCAGGTAATCACCGGATTATCAAGGCGTTCCTTTCCCCTGCCGTAATTCAGGAGGAGACATTTGTTAGAACAACTCTTTTTGCCCCAGGGCACAGTCACCCTAGAGAAAAGCCACAGGCTCATGGGCAGTAGGCATCTGGGGTAACATGGCCGGGTCCCTTCTCCAGGGACTTTTCTCCAGGGGGCCTGGCTCACGTTTAGTCAAGGAGCTCCATACCTGTCAGGTGGCTCTGGAATTCTGGAAAACCTGATGCATTACTGTCTACAATATGGCTACCTAAGTAAGAAATTTCACCTTCAAATCTGCAGTGTTTTCCAATAAAATTAATTTTATTGAGGTGTATTTTATATACAGTAAAATACACAAATATCAAAGTATACTCTGATTAATTTTGGCAAAGACACCCCCCAGGTCATCATCACAGCCAAGATACAGAACATTCCCACCACCCCTGAGACCCTCCTGCCCTTCCCACTGCCCCCTGCCCTCAGAAGCAGCGATTGCACAGGTGTGCTCACTTTAGATTTATTCTGTATAAACCTCATGCAGCATGTGCTGTTTCTAGTCAGTTTTCATTTGCTCAACCTAAGGTTTCTGAAATTCATTGCGATTGTTGTGGGTTTCAGCAGTTTGTAATGTTTTTTGATGAATAGTCTCCTATTGCATTGGCCACACCACCATTTGTGTTTGTTTTCTTATTAATGGACATTTGGGTTATTTCCAGTTTGGGAATAAAGCTGCTATGAACATTTGTGAGCATTTGGTAGACACAGGCTTTCAGTTCTTCTGGATAAATACATAGAGTGGGCCGGGCGCGGAGGCTCTCTCACCTGTAATCCCTACACTTTTGGGAGGCTGAGGTGGGCAGATCACCTGAGCTCAGGAGTTCCAGACCACCCTGAGCAACATGGTGAAACCCCATCTCTACTAAAATACAAAAAGATTAGCCGGGGCCGGGCGCGGTGGCTCACGCCTGTAATCCCAGCACTTTGGGAGGCCAAGGCAGGTGGATCACGAGATCAGGAGTTTAAGACCAGCCTGGCCAGGATGGTGAAACCCCCGTCTCTACTAAAAATACGAAAATTAGCTGGGCGTAGCAGTGGGCCCCTGTAATCCCAGCTACTCAGGAGGCTGAGGCAGAGAACTGCTTGACCTGGGAGGCGGAGGTTGCAGTGAGCCCAGATCGTGCCACTGCACTCCAGCCTGGGCGACAGAGCAAGACTCCGTCTCAAAGAAAAAAAAATTAGCCGGGCATGGTGGCCCACGCCTGTAATCCCAGCGACGGGGGAAGCTGAGGCACGAGAATGGCTTGAGACCCAGAGGCAAAGGTCCAGCTTGGGCTACAGAGCAAGACTCCGTCTCAAAAAAAAAAAAAGAAAAAAAAATACATAGAGTAAAATTGCTGGGTCACAGGATGAGAAGTGTGTACTTAACTTTATTCGAAATTGCCAAACAGTGATCTAAACAGGTTGCATGGTTTTCCATTCCACCAGCAAATGGATTCAGTTACCTGAGACAGGACCATACCATGTCCATTTTTCTGGTGCCCATGCAGTAGCCCCCACAAACGTACCTGGAGCAGCCCAAGTAGCTGTCTGTTCCTTGCACATGGAGTTTTCCACATCTGAGTTAGGCACATGCATGGAAGCACAGAATCCCGCCATGCCCCATGGCATGTTTGCACAGGCCTGTGCCATGTGTTCCTCCTCCCAGGAGCCTCCCCTGTCTCATGCCTCCTCCTACTCCCTTCCTCTTGGAGGTGGAGCTCACATTCTGCCCTCTGTCCTGGTCAGCCTCACCTATGCCTCCTCTCCTCCCTCAGGTGTTTGGTGTCTGGGTGCCAGGATCTTGATTTGCCCCTGTGCCTTTGAAGGCTCAGTCAATGGTGTGATTAGCACCCTTTCCTTTGGTGCAGAAGAGAAGACTTCCTCTGTGCCCAGGTGAGCTGGGTAAGCAGCCTGAGCCTGGGCATGCCCCTTGCCCGGGGAACAGAGGTGACTCCCTGCCATGCAATTCCCAGGGAGTGTCTGGGAGTGCCCTGGGAGGAGCTCCACAAAGCACCAGGGCTCAGCTCTGCCCCAGGCAGGGACTGCCCAGGAAGGAAGACTTATCAGTGGAGGTGAGGGCTGCACAGGGCCCTGATCTACTCAGACAGAGAAGGGGACAAAGGGGCACCCCAGCAGATAGGACGTGCACTCCTTCCACAAACTGCCTGAGGACTGCTTTGTGCTGGGCTCACTAAGTGTTGTGGATTTGTCCAGGAATAACACAGCCCAGTGTCCTCCCTTAGTGGTACAGAAGGCAGGAAAGTTAGCATAGGCGCTGCTGTGAGAAGAAGGAACAGGGACAATAAGAGCCAGGGCGGTGGCCACTTTCCCCTGGGTCTGGGGGCTCCTACAGTGAGCCCAGGGCTGTCGTGACACAGCCTGGCCACTCTCACATCCTTGACGGGGAGGATCACCAATGCAGCTTTGTGGATGAGGCTCAGAAGGGATAAGATCATCTGCCCAGGGTCACACAGGGAGGAAGGAGCCAAGCCAGGCTGCAGGGTAACTTGGCCGAGTCCCTAAATCTGCACTTGTCCTGGACAAGCCAGCAGAGGGACAGGAAGCCAGAAGTGACCAGGGGCCATTCATCAGTAGCTGGTGGTGCTGGCCAGCCCTCAGGTCATCAGAGCTAGGCGGGCACCATCCTCCATGGCCCCTTCGTGTCCACCCTATTGTCACAAACAGTGCAGGGGCCATGAAGGGAAGGAAATGTGACCAGAGCAGTCCTCGTCCCCACCAGGCTTTACTGCAGGAGACAGCATGGCCCTCCTGCACTCAAGTCTGTCCCTGCCTCCCTGCCCTTAGAGCTGGGCAGCATGAGGCCACTGATGGCTCCCACTGTGCTAGCTCGCCTTCCTCTACAGACTGTCTCAACAAAGTCCCAACACTCATCCGTTCCAGATTTGTGCTCTGTGTTTTTGACTTTCCAGGTTTCCATAACTCATCCCAGCCACTGGAACTGGAGTTCTCTGTGGGGTGGATGAGGGTGTTTGAGCCACGTGTCCCCTGCTCTGATGAGCTCAGCAGCCCTCACCTGAGCACTTCGGCAGCAGAACGGAAGGAGGAGTTATGGAGGAGGAGAGGCGGGAGCCCCAGCCTGTCTGCTGTTGACCTCCCAGGACCAGCAGGAGCACCTCAGAGGCTGGTTCAGGGGTAGGAACCAGTGAAGCGTAGAATATTTCCTGCCAGTCCAAGGAACAGCTGCTATCAGAGTTCCCACATTTGCAGAAAATGCTTTGCCCTAAGCAGTGAGGTGAGAGCTGGACACCTGCATGGTGAGCACCGTGGAAGAAGAGACCCCTGGTTGGCCACGTGCTGTGTCCACATCAGGGTTTTTCATGTTTTATTCTTCTCACCCAGGAGAAAAAAAGTAAGTTGCCTGTAGCCAACCAATTATTTATTTCTCCTTTCAAATCTAGTATCTTAACCAGTGAGTTAATTCTGTAGTTCTAGATTTTACTGCAGTTTTTGATCAGTAATTCATAATCTGGAATCCATAACCTACTTGTGCTACACCCAACAGTAATAAAATTGGAAGGTTGGGCTTGATGCTTTGTTTATTATCAAATAAAGCCCAGCAGTTTATTCTCCTTTGTCACGAGCAAGCAGTTGGAGGAACACGCCTGACCCATACATTTCCTACCGGAAAATAGGAATGAGCAACGATACCGTTTTGGAAAAACTCTCTCAGTTGTGTTTTTCCTCTGCTCTCACACCACCACAACCATCATCACAGAAGAAGACTTCTGTGACCAAAGGCGTGGAGGTTTCTCCTACACACCAGGCAGCAGACACCAGCTGGGTGTCCTCCACTTCAACTCCCACACTGTCTACCTGGAAAGTGGGGCAGATCCTCTCTTAGGACTGCCTGGCTCCCAGACACCAGGTGCAAGTCCAGGCCTCTGGAACTTCTGACCAACCGGCTTCAAGTTAGAGTTCCCACAACCCTCTCTGGGTTCTATTAGTTTATTGGAGCAGCTCACAGAACTCAGTAAGAAACACGTTTACTATTATATATAATATTTATTATTATAAAGGATATTACAAAGACTACAGATGAAGAGATGCGTAGGATGAAATCGAGGGAAGGGGCACGGAGTTTCCATGCCCTCCCTGGGCGCCACCCTCCAGGAACCTCCGCGTGTTCAGCTCTCGGGAAGCTCCCGAACCCAGTCCTCTTGGGTTTTGTTTTTTTTTTTTTTGTTTTTTTTTTTTTGAGATGGAGTCTCGGTCTATCGCCCAGGCTGGAGTGCAGTGGCATGATCTCGGCTCACTGCAAGCTCCACCTCCCGGGTTCACGCCATTCTCCTGCCTCAGCCTCCCAAGTAGCTGGGACTACAGGCGCCCGCCACCATGCCCGGCTAATTTTTTGTATTTTTAGTAGAAATGGGGTTTCACTGTGTTAGCCAGGATGGTCTCAATCTCCTGACCTCGTGATCCGCCCGCCTCGGCCTCCCAAAGTGCTGGGATTACAAGCGTGAGCCACTGCGCCCAGCCTCCTTTTGGGTTTTGATGGCAGCTCCGTGACATCAGCATTCCATCTCCCAAGGTATAGGGCAGGACTCCCTCTGGGGAGGGTCTGGTGACCCACAATCAGAAAGGTGCAGGAGGAATAGAGTCCTGTCTTGGGGCAGGTAAAAGGAGGTCAGGAGAAGATCAGAGAGATTCTGTTTCCTGAGCCCTAAAGCACCCAACGTTATAACAAAAGACCCTAACACAGGCTATGGGAGTTACAAGCCAGGAACCGTGGACAGAAACACATATATATATAATAACACCACAGATACTAAACACATCATATTCAAAAACAACTTCTTTAAGAATAATCAACTTCATAGGCCGGGCGCAGTGGCTCATGTCTGTAATCCCAGCACTTTGAGAGACCAAGGTGGGTGGATCACCTGAGGTCAGGAGATCAAGACCAGCCTGACCAACATGGAGAAGAAACCCCATCTCTACTAAAAATACAAAATTAGCCGGGCGTGGTGGCACATGCCTGTAATCGCAGCTACTCAGGAGGCTGAGGCAGGAGAATCGCTTGAACCTGGGAGGCAGAGGTTGCGGTGAGCCGAGATTGCTCCATTGCACTCCCTCCTGGGCAAAAAAATCATCATCATCATCATCATCAACTTCATTAGTTAGATTCCTTTTTGTACCAGGTTTTTAAAAATCCTTTTGTAAGAGCCTCAGCACTGCCACCATGAGGAGAATTTCTACCCAGGGGAGATGGAATAAGAGTAACCAACCCTGTCCCCTGGAGGAAAATGCTTTAAAAGTGGTTTTGATGGTCTGGGGGTGAGGGCTCATTTGAGTCTGTTTTATGGCTCCTCCCCCAAGCTCCTGAAATAAACCCCAGGCCCTTTCCTGCTTTGTCCGTGCTCACGGTTATTCCTGGCACGCATGTTGCTATTCTGGTCCGCCGTGTAGCAGGTGCTTTGTGGCCAAGGCACCCACTGCTTTAGGGGTGCCAAGCCCCATCAGGCTGAAGGGCAAACAGGAAAGGTCAGTGATGGAAGAGGGGGCAGAGGGCCCTGGGCAGAACCTGGCTGTGAACTGGAATGCTGCGCTCATGTCGCTATCCAAAGGCTTTAAGGTAAGACTTTGAATTCTCTTCTGTGCTTCCCTCCCAAGCCTTTAGGAAATGACTCCGTCATTGCCACCTTGACTTTGAACTCCTGAGATGGCATTCTATAACAGCATTCTATAATGTCACTCCAAAATGTACGTGATAAAATGGTGGAAATATTTATTTTTTTCAATTTGGACATTATGTATTAATTAATTAACCTTCTGGAAAAAGAGAAACAAGCCCTGAGTGGGGCCACATGCAGGTCAGGAAGGAGGTGAGTTAGCAGGTATGCCAGGACCCACCTCGGAGCTCCTCTGGGGTGCTGGTCACAAACACCAGCGGCACAGTCACAGAACACCAGGATATGTGAGTCACCTCTATGTATGACGGAGGCATCTGACAGCCATCACTGGCGCTTACCCTGAGAATGGTCCTATGGTCTAAGAAGAGTGTTGGCAGAGTTCTGAGTTAAGGAATCCAGGAGTGGCCAATTTGGAGATTCACTCCTTATCCATGAAGGACATCCGAACCCCTGGCCCATCCCTTGGAATGCAGACTGTACAGGGGATAGGAGCCCTTTGTTCTGGGTTAAATAGAGGTTGCTAGGTGGAGGGTGCTAAGTGAAAATGCTACATAAACTGTCTGCTTTTTACAAATGGTAGCAATCTTCCTGTCTAGTTTGCCACCACTGGAAGTGCCCCAATAAACCCTAGGTCTCATTCGCTGGCTCCAGCTCTTAGACATGTTGCCATCGCTACTGGAGTCAGTAGGGATCTGGCACAACACCTCAAGAACGTTCCTCAGATTCAGTTCAAGGATCTCGCTCAGAAATGGGTCTCAGTGCCCCAGAGTGAAGAACAAGTCCACATCCCAAGCCTGCAGTGGAGAATGAGCTCAGGGGCCAATGATCTGGTGGAAGGGCTTGCCCGAGAGAGAAACAGGGATCTCCACTGCCAGGAGGGATGAATAAACTCATCTGAATCAACCCAGCTAATCTGTCCACCCATCAATCCAGCCAACAACTTAAAAAAAATGCTCAAAATATGAGAAACATCTGCTAAAGATATGAGATTAATGAGGTTATAAAGAATGACCTTGTTTAGGACTATTTAAAGTCTAGAGGTGACTGCTGATGCTGGAAGAGTGACAAAGAAACATGAAGATCTTTTGTAGGGTTAAGGGGACAAAAAGCAGAATTCAGGGCCCACCAAGAATAGAAACACTAGTTGGGGCCAGGCTCAGTGACTCACGCCTGTAATTCCAGCACTTTGGGAGGCCAACACAGGCAGATAACTTGAGGTCAAGAGTTCGAGACCAGCCCGGCCAATATGGTGAAACCCCATCCCTACTAAAAATATAAAAATTAGCCAGGCATGGTGGTGGGTGCCTGTAGTCCCAGCTGTTCGGGAGACAGGAGAATCACTTGAACCCGGGAGGCGGAGGTTGCACTGAGCCAAGATCGCACCACTGCACTCCAGCCTGGGCGACAGAGCATGACTCCATCTTTAAGAAAAAAAAAAAAAAAGAGGCTGGGTGTGGTGGCTCATGCCTGTAATCCCAGCACTTTGGGAGCCTGAGGCGGGTGGATCACAAGGTCAGGAGATGGAGACCATCCTGGCTAACACGGTGAAACCCCGTCTCTACTAAAAATACAAAAAAAAATTAGCTGAGCGTGGTGGCGGGCGCCTGTAGTCCCAGCTGGTGGCGGGCGCCTGTAGTCCCAGCTACTCAGGAGACTGAGGCAGGAGAATGGCGTGAATACGGGAGGCGGAGCTTGCAGTGAGCCAAGATCGCGCCACTGCACTCCAGTCTGGGCGACAGAGCAAGACTCCGTCTCAACAAAAAAAAAAAAAAAGAAAGACTAGTTGGGGTGGGTGTCACCCTTTGCATGGGGATACCAAAAGATTGCCTTCTCTGAGAAAACAAGAAAATTAACCCTCATGAGGGCTACAGCCTGGCTTCAGTCATCAGTGTGGCTCAGGAGACCTCAATTTCTGAGCTGGATTAAAGAGAATGTTTATGCTATGAACCTGCCAGAAGCAAGTCTCTGTAAAAATAACAATAATAATAATAACAATAATATCATTATCCTATGCTTCAAAGTATTTTTATAAAGTTTTGCATACTTAATATCCAACTCAAAATGAAAGAGAACCAAGAATTCAAGAAGACAAATCAACACAAACGAAAACTAGTAGAAACAATAGGCAATAGAAATTGACCCATGCAAGCCCCAAGTAGTGAGGATATCACATGGAGATTTTTAACTAGCTATGCTTACTACTTTCAAAAAGATAAAACACATAATTAAAAATTCTGGTGAAACTGAAACTGTTTTTTTTAAATGAAATAGCATAAATGAAAGAAGCCAGACCCAAAACGCTATATATCATATGATTCCATTCATATGACATTCTGCAAAAGATGAAACTATAAGGATGGAAAACACATCAGGGGTTATGAGATTCAGAGGATCAGGAGATGGCTATTATAAAGGGGATGCATAGGACAATTTTTAGGGTAATGGAGCTACTTTGTCTGCTACTGGAGTGCTAGCTACAAGTATCTTTGTATTTGTCAAAACCCATAGAACTGTACACATTACAAAGAGTTCATTTTTAGTGCATGCAAATTACAAAACCTCAACCAGTAGGTTGGGGAATCCCAGGATGGAACACAGACTGTGACAAGACACTCACTGAATTACAAACATGACCTCCGTGAGGGGGTGGGAGGAGGAGCTGGCCTAAGTAAGTTGGGAAAGCGGTGTTCTTACTGGAAACACCTGCAGACAAAGGGAGCGATGCTCTACTCAGCACATGCATGTCAAGTGAGAGCAGGCTAATGATTCCGAAGCTTCCACACAGGTACACTGGGCTTGAACAAACAAGTGAAGGCATGCTGGGTGGTTAGAGCCAGTGTCTCAGTGTGGCGAGTGTGGAAGGGGGGTTATGGATCAACAGTGGGGGCGGGAATGAGTCCTGTAGGGCTGGCCTTGAGTCTGAGATATCAGTGTGAATCCAGGCTTAGTTCAGTGGACAAAGAGGGACAGAGAGAAATCACTAAAGGCACAGGATATGATATGGTTTGGATGTGATCCCAATGTGATCCCCAATGTTGGCAGATCTCCCATGAATGGCTTGGTGACTCCTCACAGTAATGAGTGACTTCGTGCTGTCAGTCCACATGAGAGGTGGTTGTTGAAAAGAGCCTGACACCCCTCCCCTCTCTCTTGCTCCCTCTGTGGCATGTGATGCACCAGCTCCCACTTTTCCTTCCACCATGACTGAAAGCTTCTTGACATCCTCACCAGAAACAGATGCTGGCTCCATGCTTCTTGCACAGCCTGCAGAACCATGAGCCAAATGAACTTTTTTCTTTATAAATTATCCAGCCTCAGGTATTCTTTTATGGCAATGCAAATAGACTAACATGATCTACAAATGGGTGAGTACACATACATATGTGTCCTAGCTCTGTCCACTAAGAGAGGCTAGAGCAACAACTCTCCAGTGGCCAGGAGAACACCCAGCGCCCAGATCTTGGGCTCTATACCATTTTCCAATCAAAGGAAACAGGATCCCTGGAGAAAGGAGAAATCCAGGAAAGAAAGGCAGAGGCTGCAGCATATCTCTGCTTCCCTTCAGCCTGAGTTGGGGGAGACCCCCAGGGTTGCCCCAGGTCTAGCTGGAGCTCATTTTGTCATATGCTTCAACTCAGGTCCATCCCTTCAAAGTCAGTGACACCACTCATCTGTGCTGCCATCAGAGGGACTTTGACAAAATGGGACTAGACCTGCCCTGAGGCCCCTAACCTAGAAAATCCCTGCACTCCCTTCACCCCAGCCTGCAGGGTCCTAAAGCTGGCTAGGCCTGCTCTGCATGGTTCACCAGGCCACCTTGTGGGACGCAGCTTTGCATGAAGAGGCCATTGGTTTTCTTCCTCCGCAGTTGCACCTGGAATCTCTGCCCACAAAAGCTAAGGGGGAGAAAATGGCCAGTCCAGGTGTCGCACAGCTGCAGGCAGAGATCCTGGCGGACCCCTTCTGTAACCAGAAGGCACCCTGTGGGGGGCTCCCTTTTGTCTTGGGGCACCTCCACCTCTACTTACAGCTGCCTGTGCCCCTGCGGCAGGCAGGGCAGGTTGGGAAAAATAGGTCCCAGCTGAGTCACACTCTTAGCTCCAGCCCAGACGGCCTCTTGGGCCAAGGCTGCTTCGGGCTGTGCTGTGCAGTACAAGAGTCTGGGTTTGTCTGGAATCCACAGTAAATAAAAAGGACATTCCCAAATGACTCATGAAAATAATTTGCAAACACCAGGGAGAAAATAGATCATCTTAAGGAAAAAACAAAACTCCTAATCCACACTTCCTTCCCAGGCTCACTTTTTCCCAAAGAGATGTTTTTATAAAGTCATGAATGGGTTTTAAACACATATAGTAGAAGGACGGTGAAAGCAGGCTTAAAAGGGATGAAATGCTGATTTAGTTAAAAGAGAGTGATGCAGAGAACTGGGGTTTGGACACCCATTCCCGAGGAGCCACAGCCTGCAATGTGCCACGTGTCCCTCCAGACACCCAAGGCCATATGCGCATGCGTGAGGATATTTGTGTGAGTGCTTTGTACATGTGGGAGCATGCTGTGCACATGTCCAAATATCTTGATCACAGAATCCTGCTTTCTGGAAAGACACATGCCATTGTGTGAATGGATGATACTTAAGTCATCCTGTTTGGTGGGCATTGGGTGTTTCCTGACTTTTGTCACAAACACTGCTTCAGTGAACACATTTGTCATTGTCTTTACTCAATCATGAGCACATTTGCAGAATAAAGTCCTACAGAAGAAATCACTGAGTCACATGTGTGCAAACACAGTTTGTTTGAGTGATGTTGCTGGAGCCGTGGGGAGTCGAGGTGGGCAGAGCCCAGCGAGGGGTCCACACCAAAACTGGCCAGACACCAGCCACAGGGCCTCTGACCTCGGCCACACTCCCCAGGGGGCACCAGAGGAGCAGCGCCAGCATGCCCCGAAGACAGGACGAATGCCCACAGTCAGCACCACCATAGGGAGGAGGAGCAGAGGAGGGCTGAGGAGACTCAGGCATCTGAATAAGACTGAGATTCCCATTAGGCTTTGCCCATCCAGGACCAGCTGAGAGGACCAGAAGCAGTGCTGAGTCCAATTGCCCTGTAGACCCTCCAGCCTGAGGAGCAAGGTGCAGTGGATGGGGACAAACTGTTCCAGAAGTATGAGTGGGAAGCAGCTGCATTCATCTGCATGTAGGAGAAGCAGCCACATTCCCCTGTACCTGGAGTCTCAGCTGGAGGTCCACAGTATCTTCCCAGGAGAGGCAGGTCAGCATTTCTTATCCTGCCTCCAGCTGCCTGAGGTTAAGTTCTAGGTGAGGGTGACGAGAGGTGGGGGCTCCCTGATGTCCAGCCACCACTCGTGACATGAAGGCTCTGCCTTGGGCACAGTGCTGCTGAGAATAGTGAGGCCCCACCAGAAGAGGTAAGCTGAAAAAACCCAAAGCTACTGCCCACCTCCATCCATCAAGTGCCTAGCTCCTGAGGTGGGACTATCACCTGGAGAGAAGTGCACCCTTGTCCCCACCCCCAGCTCAATATCCATTGCTTGGAGATTTTTCCCAGAGAACCTGAGGAGTTCATCTGGAGTCAGAACATATATCAAATTCAGTTCATATCCACAAGGATTGGTTCCAGGACTCCCCAAGGATACCAAAATCCATGAGTGCTCAAGTCTCTTGTATAAAATGGCCTAGTATTTGCATATAAAATACACACAACCTCCCATATACTTTGAATCATTAAATTACTTATGCAAGGTAAATACTAATGCAATATACATGCTAGGTAAATATTTGTTATACTGTATTGCATAGGGAATAATGACAAAGAAAAAAGGCAGTTCAATATGGACACAACCATCTTCTTCTTTAAAAAAAACAAACTAACAGTATTTTCTATCTGCGGTTGGTTAAATGATGGCTGTGGAACTCAATGATATGGAGGGCCAACAGTACCAACCTCCAGAACCACTCCTTCAAAGGATCCTGTATTTGATTGACTCCGTCTGTAGAGCAATTGAATCTCAAGGGCATTGTTGAGAACAACACCACAATCAGCCAGCAATTACTGGAGCTTAAAGCTGGTGTGGTCAGGGAAAGAGACAGTCAAAGAGGGACTGCCAAAACCACTGCCATCACTGTGACTGTGGAGCCAAAGCTGCCTGAAGAAGCAATAGCAAATGTTCAACACCAGGGGAGTAGGTTTCACTTAAACAATCCAGCCCTTCACTAAAAAATAAACAAGTAAATAGCAAGCCCTCTGGGGGAAATGGGGACAAGCACCCAGAGATGCTACAATATATTATCTGTTATCTAAAATATCCCAGCAAAAAATAATGAAACATGCTAAGAAACAGGAAAGCATCATCTGTACCTCAGAAAAAAACAGCAAGAGAAACTTCCTGTGAGAGTAACTCGATGTCAGATTTTTAAAAATAAATTTTATTTGTCTATATTTGAGGTTTACAACATGATGTTATATGTATACACAGAAAAATGGTTACAATAGTGTAGCAGATGAACATAGCTGTCATCTCCTATAGCTACTTTTTTGTGACAAGAGCAGCTAAATAGGTGTCAGATTTAACAAAGACTTTAAAGTGGCCATTATAATATGTTCAAAGAACTAAAGAAAGCCATGATTCAAGAAGTAAAGCATGATGACAATATCACATCAAATAGGAAATAGCAACAAAGAGAGAGAAATTATTTTTTAAATGAAGATACTGGAATTGGAAAGTACAATAATGGAAATAAAATTCACTAGAGTTTTTAGTGGATTAAACTGGCAGAAGATTAAAACTGGCAGAAGAAAGAATTCATTAACTTGAAGATAGATCATCAGAGAGTATGCAAGCCAAAGAACAGAGAGAAAAATAAATGAAAAGTGAACAGAGCTTCAGAGATATATGAGACACCATCAAGCACACTAGTATACACATCATGAGAATACCAGGAGAGCAGACAGAAGAGAAGGAAAAATATTCAAATAAATAATGACTGTAAAATTTCTAAGTTGATTGAAAAACAATATACATCCAGGAAGCTCAACAAACTCCAAGTAGGATAACCACAGACATCCACAAAGAGTAAAATGTACTATATCTCAAATAGTAAAAGTGCTGGAGGAAAAAAAAGCTGAAAGCCAAAATCAAGTAGACAATTTTGAAAACCTGCAAACAAAAAAACAAAACAAAGCAAAACAAAAACATGTCCCTTACAAAAGAATTCCCATAAGATTCACAGCTGCATTCTCAAAAAAAAAAAAAAAAAAAAAAAGGCCAAAAAGCACTGGAATCACATATTTAAAATGCTCAAACAGGCCAGACATGGTGGCTCACATCTGTAATCCCAGCACTTTGGGAGGCCAAGGCAGGCAGATCACCTGAGGTCGGGAGTTCAAGACCAGCCTGGCCAACATGGTGAAACCCCATCTCTACTAAAAATACAAAAATTAGCCAAGTGTGGTGGCACACACCTGTAATCCCAGCTACTCGGGAGGCTGAGGCAGGAGAATCGCTTGAACCCAGGAGGCAGACGTTGCAGTGAGCTGACATCGTGCCACTGCACTCCAGCCTGGGCAACAGAGTGAGGCTCTGTCTCAAAAAAATAAAAAATAGGTCCCTGCGGCGGGTGTGTTTCGGCCTGGCCTGGGCAGGCGCTTGTGCTGCCAGGGCGCCGGGCCCGGGGAGGCCGGGGTCTCGGGTGGCGGCCGGCCCAGGCGCTGGACTGCAGCAGGATGGGGAAGGCGAAGGTCCCCACCTCCAAGCGCGCCCCGAGCAGCCCCGTGGCTAAGCCGGGTCCTGTCAAGACGCTCACTTGGAAGAAAAACAAGAAGAAAAAAAGGTTTTGGAAAAGCAAGGCGCAGGAAGTAAGCAAGAAGCCAGGAAGCGGCCCTGGTGCTGTGGTGCGACCTCCAAAGGCACCAGAAGACTTTTCTCAAAACTGGAAGGTGCTGCAAGAGTGGCTGCTGAAACAAAAATCTCAGGCCCCAGAAAAGCCTTTTGTCATCTCTCAGATGGGTTCCAAAAAGAAGCCCAAAATTATCCAGCAAAACAAAAAAGAGATCTCGCCTCAAGTGAAGGGAGAGGAAATGCTGGCGGGAAAAGACCAAGAGGCCAGCAGGGGCTCTGTTCCTTCAGGCTCCAAGATGGACAGGAAGGCGCCAGTACCTCGCACCAAGGCCGGCGGAGCAGAGCACAATAAGAAAGGAACCAAGGAAAGGACAAATGGTGATATTGTTCCAGAATGAGGGGACATCAAGCATAAGAAGCAGAAAGCTAAGGAGGCAGACCCTGCCCCACCCACCGAGGAAGACATGTGGTTTGACGACGTGGACCCGGCGGATATCGAAGCTGCCATAGGTCCAGAGGTGGCCAAGATAGCGAGGAAACAGTTGAGTCACAGTGAGGGCAGCGTCAGCCTCAGACTCGTGGAAGAGCCGGCCTTCGGCGGCCTGACAAGAGCCTTAGCCTTGGACTGTGAGATGGTGGGCGTGAGTCCTAAAGGGGAGGAGAGCGTGGCCGCCCGTGTATCCATCATGAACCAGTAGGGGAAGTGCGTTTATGACAAGTAGTCAAACCAACCGAGCCCGTGACGGACTATAGGACAGCGGTCAGTGGGATTCAGCCTGAGAACCTCAAGCAGGGAGAAGAGCTTGAAGTTGTTCAGAAGGAACAACTGTCAGAAGGAACAACGGTACTGTCACCGCTTATCTTCAGTGACACCCTGGGGTGAGGGGCTCAGCACCTTCCTCTCGGGGAGCCACATTTTCCTCCTTTGTCTTAGGGGACATAACAAGCTCTGCTGGGCTTGAGGGACCCAGACCAGGTGTCTGCAGTCAGCTCCTGAGACACGGCTGGCCGGCACAACAGGTGTTACATCAGGGGTTTCCTGTGGCCGTTTGGACTTTGAGCGTTTATCTAAATTAAATTGGCCCAGGGTTGGCTGGTGGGTCACCCAGCAGAGGCTTCTCCCCATAGCACGAGGATGTGTCGTCTGGGCACGGTGACCGCGGTTATTCCTGGAGGTCGGCAGACATGCCGACCTTGGGCTATTTGAGCTGGAGAAGCTATGTGATGCTAGCCAGTAGCTTTCTTGGCTAGGCCCCAGTTTGAGGCTCCCCTGGGAACTAGAGTCAGGAACAGCCAGTGGCACTGACAAGGGGACGGAGTCCAAGGCATTATTGGGCCACCTGACAGCTGGACAGAAAAGGTGCAGTCACACCGAGGATGTGATTTAAAATAAATGCAGAAGTTTACTTTGAAAAAAAATGAATAAAATAAAAATAAAAAATAAAATAAAATGCTCAAAAAGAAAAAAAAAAACTATATCCAGCAAAACTATCTTTCAAACATGAAGATGAGCTGAGCATGGTGACTTATGCCTGTAATCCCAGCACTTGGGAGGCAGAGGTGGAAGTATGGCTTGAGGCCAGGAGTTTGAGACCAGCCTGCACAACTTAGCAAGACCCCATCTCTACAAAAAATAAAACGAAAAATAAATGAAGGTAAAATAAACTCTCAAATAAACAAAAACTGACAGATTTTGTTGCTACCCGACTTCACTTCCCCACTTACAAGAAATACTAAAAGAAGTTCTTCAGGCTAAAACAAAGTGACCCCAGAGGGTAATTAGAATGTACCCTAAAAAAAAACCCAAAAAGTGCTGGTATAGGTAATTACGTAATTACATCGTATAATTGCAAAAGACATATAAAATGCATGTTTTTTTCATTGTTCTCTTAACTGATTTTAAAAGCAATTATATAAAGTTACATATATAGAATGTATAGTTGGACATATAACATATAGAAGTGCAATATACTTGCCAATAACAATAAAAAGGAGGTAGGTGGCAACAAAGCTGTATTCGGCTAAAGAAATGGCTACAGACGGTAACTTGAGTCCACAGGAACAAAAGAGAAGAACTAGAAATAAGGAAGAAGGTTAATATAACAGAAGCTATTAATATATACTCAGTCTTCTTTCTTCTCTAAACTTCTTTAAAAGACATAAAAGTATATAATGTAATAATTATTAAAGAGTCTCTGGGTTTGTAACAATAATGTAATATGTATAACAGTAATATCACCAAAAGTGGGATAAAAGGAACAGAGCTATATAAGAGTAACGTTTCTATGTATCACTAGAACTAAGCTAGTATAAATATGAAACTGATGCTAATAATTTAGGACGTATGTAGTAAGACTTAGAATAGCCACTAAGGAAATAACTAAAAGAATTGTGAAAAAAAATTAATGAAGTTAAAATGGTACATTAGAAAATATTTAACATAAAGGGGAATCGAGGACTGAAAAGACGTAAAACATATAGCACCCAAAAAGTAAAATAGCAGATGCAAATCTAACTATAACATTAAATGTGGATGGATTAAATAATACAATCAAAAGGCAAAGATTATCTGGCTGGATTTAAAAAAACATGATCTAACTATGTATTCTCTACAGGAGATGCACTAGGCCCAAAGACACAGTGGGATGGAAGTAAGTGGATAGAAAAAGGATGCACCATGCATAAAGCAATTGCAAGAAAGTTGGAGTGGCTATACTAACATCAGACATCTGACAAGCTAGACTTTCAAACCAAAAAAAGTTTGTCAAGATAAAGAGATATTTAAAAGTGATAAAGGGATTAATCTATCAGGAAGATAAAGCAATTATTTAAAAATTATGCACCCAGTAATGGAGCACCAACATGGAGGAAGCATAAACTGACAGAAAGGAAGGGAGAAACAGACAATTCAGCAATGAGAGTTACAGATTTCAATACCACATTTTCAATAATAGAGAAAAGGTTTCCAATAAGTAGTCTAAGTTTCTACCTCAAGAAACCGGGGAAGGGGCAAAATTAAACCAAAAGCAAGGAAGAAGGAAATAAGAAGTAGAGGAATATAAATCCATTAAATTGACTACAGACCAGTATCTCCCATGAATATAAATGCAAAAATCATCAATAAAATACTAGCAGAACTAATCCAGTAACTACAAAAAGGATTAGGCACCATGACTGTGATGGTTAACTTGGCTCAGGGGCCAGTTGCTTGGTCAAACATCAGTCCAGATGTTGCTGTGAAGTTATTTTTTTAATTCAAATTAATAATTTAATCAATACACTGAGTAAAATCAAATTACCTGCCATCATGTGGGTGGACCTCATCCAATCAGTTGAAGGCCTTAAGGGAAACGACTGAGGTCTCCAGAAAAATATATTCTGCCTCCAGATTGCTGTTGGACTCAAGACTACAACACTGACTTGTGCCGGGATTTCCAGCCTTCCAGCCAGCCCTGCGTACTTCAAACTTGCCAGTCCCCAAAACAGTGCAAGCCAATTTCTTAAAATCTCTCTCTCCCTACCTCCTACCCTCCCACTCCTTTTTCCTCTTCCCTTCCACCTCTCCCTCCCCTTCCCCGTCTTCCTTCCCTTTCCCTTCTCCCTCCCCTTCCCCCTTAAGCCTCTCTCTCTCTCTCTCTCTCTCGTTCTTTTTGCTTAGAAGTAGAAATGGCCAGACATGTGATTATGTACCAATTATGGACTATGACCAATGGTCTGAATGGATGGTCAGGGACTTGGAGGGAATATAACTGGAAAATTGGCGACAAGGAGGTCATGTGTATAGATCTCTGATATTATGTGTCAAGGTAGGTATGTGTATAGATCTCTCTGAATGGGCACAAAAAGTGAAGATATTTGTGTCCCATGTGACAGCTCACCAAACAGTGACCTCAGAAAAGGAGGAGCTTAATAATCAAGTGGAGGCGGGGCACAGTGGCTCACGCCTGTAATCCCAGCACTTTGGGAGGCCGAGGCAGGCAGATCACAAGGTCAGGAGTTCAAGACCACCCTGGCCAACATAGTGAAACCCCGTCTCTACTAAAAATACAAAAAATTACCCGGGCGTGGTGGTGGGCACCTATAATCCCAGCTACTCGGGAGGCTGAGGCAGGAGACTCACTTGAACCCAGGAGGCGGAGGTTGCAGTGATCGGAGATCACGCCACTGCACTCCAGCCTGGGCGACAGTGCGAGACTCCATCTCAAAAATAATAATAATAACAATAATCAAGTGGATAGGATGACACCAGTCAGCCTCTTTGTCCAGCCACCCTTGTCATCATCCATGGGCTCCTGAGCAAAAAGTGGCCATGGTGGCAGGGATGGAAGCTATGCACAGGCTCAGCAACACAGAATTGCCACTCACGAAGGCTGACCCAGCAATTGCTCCCACTGTGTGTCCAATCTACCCTCAAGAGAGACAATATACCCAATCTACTGTGTGCCCAATCTACCCTCAGCAGAGACAACACTGAGCCCTCAACATGGTGCCATTTTCCAAAGTGTTCAGCCAAATACATGGTGGCAGGTTGATTACGTTGGACAGTTTCCATCACAAAAGGGACAGAGTTTTGTTCTTACTGGAATAGACATTCTAGATATTGATTTCCTTTCCCTGCACACAATGCTTCTGCCAAAACTACCATCTGTGGACTTCCAGAATGCCTTATCCACCATCACGGTATTCCACACAGTATTGCTGATCAAGGAATTTACTTCACAGCCCATGAAGTGTGGCCCTGGCTCATCCTCGTGGAATCTACTGATCTTATTATGTTTTTGACTATCCTGAAGCAGCTGGCTTCATAGAATGGTGGAATGGCCTTTTGAAAATGCAGTTACAGCACCTACTAGGTGGCAACACCTTGTGGGGCTGGGGCAAGGTTCTCCAGCAGGCTGTGCATTCTCTGAATCTGTGTCCCATATAGGGTGCTGTTTCTCTGATAGTCAGGATTTCTTCAATAGTCCAGGAATCTAGGATGGAAATGGGAGTGGCACCATTCACTATTACGCGTAGTAACCACTAGGACATTGTTTGCTTCCTGTCTCTGCAACTTTGTGCTGTGCTCTGCTCATCTAGAGGTTTTAGTTCCAAAGCAAGGAATGCTTCCACCAAGAGACACAATACTGATTCCATTGAACTGGAAGTTAAGACTGCCATCCGGCCACTTTGAGCTCCTTGTGCAAATGAACTAACAGGCAAAGAAGAGAGTTACTGTACTGGCTGGGGAAACTGATCTGGAGTACAAACAGGAAACCGGACCGCTACTGCACACAGAAGATAAGGAAGAACACGTGTGGAATAGAAGAGCTCCCTTAGAGCATCTCTTAATACTACCATGCCCTGTGATTAAAGTCCATAAAAAAAAACAAAAACAGAGCACAACGCAGGCAGAACTACTAATGGCCCAAACCTTTTAATAATGAAGTTCAGGTCACTTCATCAGGTGCTCACTGAAGGCAAAGGGAATACAGAATGCACAGAAGACAAGGGTAACTGGAAATACCAGCTATGACCACGTGACAGAAACAAGGACTGTAACTGTTATAAGTGCTTCTTCCTTATTTTGTTACAAATATGTTTGTGTGTATGTGTTTGAAAAAACATTTGTTTTCTTCCATCTCTTATTGCCTTATCATATAAGATGTATTAGTTTTATATCTTAGTGTTTAAGTTATAGGATATCAAAGAAAAGTAAATGTCCTTCAAGGACTTTCTGTCTTTTTCTGGGGTAAGGGTTAGTGCATTTTTGGTTGTAGGCAGAATAGTTGTATCATGCTAGGTGGAAGTATGACCTTGTTATTTAATGCCTCTGTTTGGAGATGAAGTACAGTTTAAAGGAAATGCGTCTGGTGACAAGGGGTGAACTATGATGACTGAGTCTGTGTGTCGACGTGGCTAGGCTATAGTGCCAAGTTGCCTGGCCACAACATCAGTGTAGACGTGCTGTGAAGGTAGGGACGTGGATGAAGCTGGAAACCACCATTCTCAGCAAACTATCGCAAGCACAAAAAAACCAGACACCGCATGTTCTCACTCATAGTGGGAATTGAACAATGAGAACACTTGGACACAGGAAGGGGGACATCACACCCCAGGGCCTGTTGTGGGGTGGGGGGAGGGGGGAGGGATAGCATTAGGAGATAGACCCAATGTAAATGCCAAGTTAATGGGTGCAGCACACCAACAAGTCACATGTATACAAATGTAACAAACCAGCACCTCGTGCACATGTACCCTAGAACTTAAAGTATAATAAAAAAAAAAAAAGAAGGTCAATATCACTAACCATCAGGAAAATTCAAATTCAACCACAGTGGGATATGGGATACCACTTCACAACCACTATGATGGCTACGATTAAAAAACCAGATGGGCCGGGCGCAGTGGCTCACACCTGTAATCCCAGCACTTTGGGATGCCGAGGCGGGTGGATCACGAGGTCAGGAGATCGAGACTATCCTGGCTAACACGGTGAAACCCCATCTCTACTAAAAAATATAAAAAATTAGCTGGGCGTGGTGGCGGGCACCTGTAGTCCCAGCTACTCAGGAGGCTGAGGCAGGAGAATGGTGTGAACCTTGGAGGTGGAGCTTGCAATGAACCGAGATCGCGCCACTGCACTCCAGCCTGGGCGACAGAGCGAGACTCCAACTCAAAAAAAAAAAAAAAGTCAGATGACAAGTGTCAGCAAAGATGTGGAGAAATCAAACCCTTATATCAATACACTGTTGCAGGAATGTAAAATGATACCACTAGTTTGGAGAAGAGTCTGGCAGTTCTTTAAATGGTTAATCAGAGAGTTCCTGTGTGGCACAGTAATTCTGCTTCTCGGTATATCCCCAGGAGAAATGAAAACATATGCCTCCACAAAAACCTGTACACTAATGTTCATAACAGCATTATTCGTATCAGCCCCCCAAATGGAAACAAACTAAATATGCATTGATTGATGAATGGGTAAACGAAATGTGGTATAGCCATACAATGGAATAATATACAAAATAGAAAGGAAGTGCTGACACGTGCTACAACATGATGAACCTTGAAAACATGCTAAGTGGAAGAAGCCAGGGGCAAAGAGCCAATACTGTATTACTCCATTTATATGAGGCATCCAGCATAGACAAATCTAAAGAGACAGGTGGTTGTCTCAGGGCTGTGAGGGATGGGAAGAATGGGCGTGACTGCTAATTGACATGCGTTTCGAACTCAAATAAGATTTTTGTTTGGTTGTTTTTGAGACAAGGTCTGGCTTTGTCGCCCAACCTGGAGTGCAGTGGTGCAACAGTGGGGTCTCCCTGTGTTGCCCAGGTTGGTCTCGAACTCCTCAGCTCAAGGGATCCTCCTGCCTCTGCCTCCAAAAGTACTGGGAATATAGGCATGAGCCACCTCGCCCAGCCTGATATGGTGTTTCTTTATGGGGTGATGAAAATATTCTAAAATTATGGTGATGGCTTAAGCGGATCTGTTAAAACTATGGAACAGCACACTTTAAATGGGTGACTTGTAAGGCATACAAATTATATATTAAAACAGTTGTTATACTGAAAACCCAATGAAATTAAAATCAATGAAGTAAAATGCTGGTTAATCAAAACAATAAAATTGATAAACCTCTAGCATGCTTACTTTAATTTTTTTTAAAAAAACCTGCCATCCTGGTTTCCAGAGTGGCCATAATGTTTTACATCCTCACTTTTAGCATCCTTCCAATATCTAAGCAGAAAGCAAAAATAAAAGTTTCTTTATAAAGAAAAAAAATTAAGGTGGGAATCGGACTTCTCCACAATGCTAAATATCAGAAGGCAGTAAAGTTCTTTCTAAGAAACTTACAAAAAGGAGTGCCTGTGACCCAAGAATTATATAGTTAACTAAATTGTATCTCATCTTATGTGAAAAAGCCAAAAGACTATATGCAAAAGCTTGCTCAGAAATTATATCACCAAAAATTCTTGAAAACATAACCCCAATTGAATAACATATGAAATTATTTAAAGGTTCAAAAAACGAGAGTGATATGATGTCAAAGATGGATGGTGAGCAGATAAATCACTTGAAAGAAGAGATCAATCTATACTGGTGCTGTGAATACAGTTCCACAACTGAATGTGAATGCTTAGAATTATTCTTAAGGCTGAAAGTACATAACATCATAGCACTAGTCCCATGCCAGTGGTCTAGATGTCAATGCCAGTTTATTTTGTTAAGAACCAAGAAGCGAGTGGATAAGAGACCAGGTGAAGAGGAATCTTTTCTAAACTTATTATTTTTAATATAGGCAATAATCTAAAAGAGCTCTACTAATAGAAAAGAAGCAGAGACGATGCCTTATAAAATACAGAATAATATAACAACCAAAGATGACAAAATCCAGACAGTGAAAGACAGAAAACAAAGGAAAGAGTAAGTAAGCATAAATATTAGAAAGCAACTGGGCATGGTGGCTCACTCCTGTAATTCCAGCACTTTGGGAGGCCGAGGCAGGTGGATCACCTGAGGTCAGGAGTTCGAGACCAGCCTGGCCAACATGGCGAAACCCTGTCGCTACTAAAAATACAAAAATTAGTCGGGCGTGGTTGTGCAGGCCTGTAGTCCCAGCTACTTGGGAGGCTGAGGTGGGAGGATCACTTGAGCCTGGGAGGTGGAGTTTGCAGTGAACTGAGATTGTGCCACTGCACTCCAGCCTGGGTGACAGAGTGAAACCCGGTCTCAAAAAAAAAAAAAAAAATCAGAAAGCATGAAACAGCATAACAAAAATAATACCGAAAGTATTAGTTATAGTGACAAATGTGGGTAGTTCAAATACCTCTATACTAAGACATAATTGGTTGACTAAACTCAAAAAATAATATCCAACTATATGCTGGCTATAAGAGACACAGTTAAAATAGAGTGAGGCATGGAATGTGATTCACGAAGGTAGGAACCATGTCTCTATGACACTCTGCAAAGCCCAGTTCTGAGACACCACGTGGCATACATATAGGAGATGCTCACTGTGGATTTGCTAATGAAAGCAAAGGAACAAACGAAAATGTTCTAGGTCTACTGCAAACAAGTAAGTGAAAAGAACAGATGTTACATTTAAAAAAAAATCACAGAAAATAGAATCTAAAACAACAACTATGAAAATAAGGCAAAGGTGGTCATTTTATTTTTCTAAATCATGAAATGACAACTTCCACAATCCTTCTTACATGGGAAATATTATTCCACTAAAATGTATTAAATGAAAACTTTAAAAAATACAAAGGGAAATTGACAAAAATGCAATTGCACGGGGAGGTTTTACTGTATCACTCGCACTTTTTTTTTTTTTTTGAGAGGGAGTCTCACTCTGTTGCCCAGTCTGGAGTGCAGTGGCGTGATCTCGGCTCACTGCAAGCTCCGCCTCCTAGGTTCAGGTCATTGTCCTGCCTCAGCCTCCGGAGTAGCTGAGACTACAGGCGCCTGCCACCATGCCCGGCTAATTTTTTGTATTTTTTGTGGAGATGGGGTTTCACTGTGTTAGCCAGGATGATCTCGAGCTCCTGACCTCGTGACCCGCCCTCTTCGGCCTCCCAAAGTGCTGGAATTACAGGCCTGAGCCACTGCGCCCAGCCTCACTCACACCTTTTTGATGGAGGCAGTATATTAAAAATCCACAGGCATATGAAGGCCTTGAATAATGTAATCAATATCGCTGATTGAATAGACACTGCTAATGAAGTCAACCCCCACCCCCCGACCCCCCGACACACACCTACACACACACACACACACACACACGTTTGTTCAGAGACATCAGTTGTCATGTGAACTCTTTCTTTTTTTAAGGGAAACAGTCTTTCTTGAGGACCACATGCAGGCTGGTGGGTGGGTGAGGTTGAAGAAACACCATGGCAAAGGTTCTCTCTTGGGGCTTTTGGGCTCTGTTTGAGCTCCTGGGATTGAGATCGGTTTGAGGGCCCAAAACCAAGATTTTCTTGAGCAATCTGGTAAATTTCTAGGCCATGAGGTCATAGTCTGAGGTCATCTAACTGTTGAAGAGGAAGTCTTAGAGCCCAGATTAGGGAACAAAGGAAGCCTTACTTGGTCTAGGTGAGAAAGTCTAGCTTCGAGCTGGGTTTGTACCTTTGATCTTTCCACTGCTGTAGGGACATAAGCCATATTCCATGGAGGACTGTGCCCTTGGCAATGGGACGGGAGGGAGGGAGGGTGGGAGTCTCAACAGGCCTTCATAATCTGGGTGTAACATGAGTGTGCATATGACTTTGTGGTTATAGGCTATGACATATGAGTCATATCTATGTTAAATTTTATATAAAAATAGAGAACTGGCCAGGCATGGTGGCTCACGCCTGTAATCCCAGCACTTTGGAAGGCCAAGTGGGGGCAGATCACTTGAGGTCAGGAGTTCAAGAGTAGCCTTGCCAACATGGTGAAACCCCGTCTCTACTAAAAATACAAAAATTAGCCAGGCATGGTGGCAGGCACCTGTAATCCCAGCTACTGGGGAGGCTAAGGCACGAGAATTACTTGAATCTGGGAGGCAGAGGTTGCAGTGAGCCAAGATTGTGCCACTGCACTCCAGCCTGAGCAACAGAGCGAGACTCTGTCTCAAAAAAAAAAAAAAAAAAAAAAAAACCCACCAAAGACAGAGAACTTTCCTTTCCAGAATTCAAGCAATATTTATACACATCGATGAAATATTGGGCCACAGAGAAACCTCAATAAATACCAAAAGGCAAAAAAGGTAATAAGGTTAAAAACCTCAATGTAATAAATCTTCAAGTCAATAACTAAAAGTTTAATTTTTAAAATGCCATGTATGTAAATCACACCCCAATTTTAAACATCTAACCCCTTGAAACTTAGAAATAAAACCACTGTCCTAAAGAAATGTCAGCTCACCGAGAAAAACAAAACTGCATTTACATAAGACGGGAATGATGAGAAAATTGCCCAGCAAAACTTATGGGACATGGCCACAGCCTGTTTTTATTACTAAGCAAGAAGAAATGAATAGACATGTGATGAGTAGTCAACAGATGAAGTCAGAAAAACAGAAATAAGATGCGAGGAATGTGCTTTAAAAGACACACACGTCAGGACAAAAACAAAAGTTGTAAGTGAATTACATGAGAAAAAAATGTCTAGTCTTGATAAATAACACTAAGGGCTGCTCTGAGAAGAGACTGGTCCCCCTGCAGGCACAGGGTGGGGAGACTAGGATCCCAGCCCAGCTGCTGACAGCTAAGCCTCTCTGAGCTCCCTGTCTCCCTCCATCTGCTGGATGACTGTAAATCAGACCGTCATAGAGAAGCCTATGGTACCAATTTGTACCCAAGTCTCCCCTCTTCCTACCTAATGTAACTGCTTTGTAATTTTGCATGACTTGGATCGGGTCATTTATTATTTGCGGGGCTCAGGCTCCTGATCGGCGCCCCCTCCAGCATTAGGGTGCAGAATTATCAAACACGATGTGGCTCTCTGGGTCCTGGCAGTCAGTTTCCTCCAAGCCTCGGTGGCCCCAGACAGAGACTGGTTTTTGTCATGGAAAAACACTCCTCAGAGCAGGGTCTTTAAAACCGTTCCGCCAGCCAACCCCACCCAATTTGCAGAGATTCAAGAGTAAAAGAAATGTTATCATTGTCAAGCCACTAAGTTTCCAGGTGGGTTGGCACACAGCCATAGTGACTGCAAAAGGGCATCAAGGAAGAAATTAAGGAAAAGCAAGTGTGACGTCAAAGGCCGAGAGATTGTGCCTTAGACTGATATGTGTTATACAGCAATGTAAAATGTTGTTGTTAGGATAAGAATCGATATACCCTCGCGGGGCTGTAGTCAGGATAGAGACCCTGTATGCAAACCGCTCAGCAAAGTCTCTGGACACACTAGGCGCTCAAGATAGAAACAGTGGCTACCATCATCACCCTCACCACCGCCGGCAGCAGCCCTTCTCCCAATACTGGCAAGGACGTATTTAGCCAGTGGCATTCATGTGAACTAGCTATCCTGTCCCTGTAGCCATGTAAACATATCATCAACAGGGGCCGGGCGCCCTGGCTCACACCTGTAATCCCACCACTTTGGGAGGTGAGGCAGGAGGATGGCTTGAGCCCAGGAGTTCAAGGCCAACCTGGGCAACATAGTGAGACACCTCTCTACAAAAACAAACAACCTGTGTGGTGGTGCGTGCCTGTGGTCCCAGCTACTCAGGAGACTGAGGAAGGAGGCTTGCTTGAGCTCAGGAGTTCTGAGGCTGCAGGGAGCCGAGATCGCCACACTGCACTCCTCCAGAGCAAGACACTGCCTCAAAAGAATAATAAAAATAAAGGGCCGGGCACGGTGACTCACGCCTGTAATCCCAACACTTTGGGAGGCCGAGGCAGGTGTTACACGAGGTCAGGAGTGGCCTGGCCAAGATGGTGAAACCCCGTCTCTACTAAAAATACAAAAATTAGCCGGACTTGGTGGCGGGAGGCTGAGGCAGAGAATTGCTTGCACCCGGGAGGCAGAGGTTGCAGTGAGCCAAGATCGCACCACTGCACTTCCAGCCTGGGAGACAGAGCAAGACTCCGTCAAAAAAAAAAAAAAAAAGACATTAAGGGCTTTCTGGGACCAACTCGCCCACCCTAATGTCCCTCGCTTTTCCTTTCATTCATGTGCTTCTTTTTTAATTAAAGGACTTTCTTTGCATCCTGGTGTCCAGCCAGTTTCCCGATTTAAATCTAGGTTCTGGAGAAGCTGACGCCGGGTGGGTTGCGGGGGGAGGTGCGGCGCAGCGCGGAGGCCGCGTGGACAGGGTCCCGGGCGCGGGCACCGGGCGTCTCTGGAGCGGGTCTGCAGGCGCCGCCCACGCTCGCGGGTCACCCTGACCTCGAAACCGCGCGACTCTGACTCGCGCTTTCCGCTGGCTCCGCTGGGGCGGTGCCCGGACAGCGAAGGGCCCGCGGGTCAGCGCGGACCACTCTCTCCTGCTGCCCGCCCGGCAGCCACATCGGCCACAGGAGCGGGGACTGCGCAGAGGCCCCCGGTACTCCGGCCCTTCCCCCACCCTCCCACCCCCAGCCAAAGACTGGGGCGGGGCATCCTAGTCCGCGTGACTCGGATGGGTGGCCTGAAGCTTCCACAGTTCCGCCAACGCGGGACCCGAGCGCAGATGAGAATCCACAGGCGTGGGGGGTGGGGCTGGACCCCTGACCTGCCCTCCAGGAGCCCTCAGTCCACAACCAGGCCGGCAAGCGCGAAGCGATTCCAAGAGACCTGCAAGAAAGGAGCCAGCTGCCAGAGCCCAGGCTTGGGGTCTGGACGCTGGGAAAGTCCACGAGGAATTTGATCCTGCCTTGAAGGATGGCCGTAGTGCACCTGTGCACCCGGGAGCAAGGCCCACGCAGGGAGCAGGACAGCGCAGGCCCAGGAGAGGACCCCGGAGGAAGCTCAAGGGGCTAGGTTAAGCCTAAAGGAAGGTTTGGTGGGAAATAAGGCTAACCAATAGCATAACACGATTAACCCACATCAGCCATTAAGAACTTAGCTGGTAGGGGGAGCGGGGAAGGGGTTCCAGATGTTGGTCAAAGGATACGAAATTTCGGCCGGGCGCGGTGGCTAACGCCTGTTATCCCAACACTTTGGGAGGCCAAGACGGGCGGATCACCTGAGATCGGGAGTTCGAGACCAGCCTGACCAACATGGAGAAACCCCGTCTCTACTAAAACTACAAAATTAGCCGGGCATGGTGGTGCATGCCTGTAATCCCAGCTACTCGGAAGGCTGAGGCAGGAGAATCGCTTGGACCGGGAGGCGGAGGTTGCCGTGAGCCGAGATCATGCCATTGCACTCCAGCCTGGGCAATAAGAGCGAAACTCCGTCTCAAAAAAAGAAAAGAAAAAAAAAAGATACAAAATTTCAGTTAAAGAGGAGGAATAAATTCAGGAAGTCTATTGTACAGTATGGCGACTATAGTTAATAACAACGTATTATAGACTTGAAAATTGCTGAGAGTACATTTTAAGTGTTCTTACACCAAAATGTAGGTGAGGTAATGGATATGTTAATTAGCTTGATTTAGACACCCACAATGTATACATACTGTATATCGCACATCATGTTGTATACCATACATATATACAATTTCATCAATTTAAATTAAAAAAAGATATTAGCTCATATTAGTATTTCAATCAGCCAGCCCAGGAATATTTGATAGAGGAGGGAGGCATGGTGCAGATCCCAAGAGACTGAGAGAAGGAGCAGAGGAGCTATCATGGGGGCGGTGGGGCCTCAGATTGCCCAGGGATAGCTGAGGTGTCAGGGGAGGCCAACACGTGCTGCAGCACCAAACAGCACCTAACCTCAAGGCTGAGCACAGCGAAGGTGCGTTTCCCCTCACATAAAGTGCACTTCAGACATGGGCAACTCTTGAAGGAGCAGTCGCCCTGGTGGCAGGTCTCCACCCGAGGCCTCCTCCATGGTCACTGTGGGTGGGAAGAATGAGAGGACCTGGAGAGTCAGATTGGCGGGTAAATGCCTCCCCCTGGAGGTGACATAGCCTTCATCCATGACATGACCTCGCTCCCTGTGAGGGATTCAGGAGTGTCATCTCCCAGGGGTCTGGAAGGAGAGGAGAGTCAGATGGGGTCGGCGCTGAAAGTCTCCATCAGCAAAGGGCCGGAGCCTGTGGACTGATTCTACCTACACCCTGCTTTCACAGGAGGCTGGCTTGCTGCCTGGGGCTGCACTCTGTCACCTGTCAGCTGCATAGAGGTGCTCCTGGACTTACTATGAGGTCACATCCCAATAAACCCATTGTAGGTTGAAGATTTCATAAGGTGAAATTGCATGTAATACACCTAACCTACTGAGCATCATATCCCAGCCTACCTTACACATGCTCAGAACACTCATTTAGCCTACAGCTGGGCAAATTGTCTGGCCGCACAGTCCCCTATAAGGTCGTTTACCATCGTGATCACGTGGCTGGTGTCCGGCATCGAGAGAGTATCTTACCGCTTCCTACTGAATACATATTGCTTTCTCACCATTATAAAATCAGGAAAATTATAAGTGGAACCATCATAAGTTGGAAACTGTCTGTAATTACATGGCCATCTGATTGGCTTGTTAGAAGTCTCAACAATGGGTGCTCGCAGAGTGCTATGGAGAAGAGGTCTCTTGTGAAGTACTTAAGATCAGCTGAAGCCGCACTCAGCCTCACTTAGGAACACATGCACTCGGGAGGCAGGCAGAGAATTCAGCATGGGTGTGGCCTGCAGAGGTCACTCCCATTCCCCATTGGTACATGGACCTCCTACCTGTACAAGAGTGAAGATGTGACTGGGCTGAGTGAAGAACTGGGCTGGTCCCAGTTCTGCCTCTCCAGCCAAGGGGCTGGGCACATGACCCAAGGGAGAGGAGTCAGAAAGACCATGGGGACTTTCTTGAGCTCTCCGCTCTGGAAGCTCTAGCTTCTCTGACCTTGGAGTTATTGATGATCAGCTTGCTGCTGGGAGAGCTGGTCTGAGGAAGAAGCCTAAAAAGGGGGGAAACAGAATAGAATTGTGGAGAGAGAGAAAGAGAGAGAGAATACAGATCCAACTTGAGCTTCTAGAACCAACTGTGCCTGAAGCTATGACCCATTACACAGCCGATACGTGTCCTCTCTCTGTTTAAGCTAGCTTGAGCCATATCCTCAGTTATAAATGAAAAATTCCAATTACTAATTGGTCTTTGGTGCAAAGCCCAACACAGAATTCTCCTAAGCTAGGCTGACCCACTAGTAGCACTCCTTTGGTGAGGCCCCCTTTTCCCCTAAGGCCAACCTGTTAGTAAAAAAAGCAAGTTACCCGGCCTCTGTGTGGGAGCAGGAAGACACAGGCCCTTCTGCTGGGGGTGTGTCTATCCTGGCCCTTCCCTCTCATGCCCAGTCTTCCCATTTCCCTTCAAGCTCATGTCCTGTGGGCCCAGGGGTGGGGATGTGACAGAAATGAGGTGCTCCTAGGACCACTAGAGAGCCCCATCTCCTCTGACGTGGGGTGGCACAGGGGTCACTGAGTGAGCCTCCTCTGCCCCTCATGGGAGAGCTCCTCGTGACTCACTGCAGGGTTGGGTGCAATGGGGGACAGGGTTTGGGAAACAGAGACCTTCTCAAGTGAGCTCAGGCAGAGGGGGATTTCCTAGCAGGCCACAGGAGACCACGGCCCACCGACATGAGTGCTCTCGGGTCCTTGGGAGCGTGTGCAGCTTCTCTCTCCTGCACCTGCAGGGCCTGTTTCCTCTGGCCCCTTCTCCTCACATCCATTCTCTGCATGTGGGTTCTGCAGCCTGGTGGCCTGCCCTGGCTCGCCCTGGCCAGCAGCCTCAGCCCCCAGCCCGTGCAGATGTCATGTCCAAAGACCCGACCACAGAGCCCAAGGTCTAGCAGGTACAGCTGCCAGATAAAATGCAGAACATCCATGCAACATTTGGGATGTGCTTATACTAAACTCTTACTCAAATTTTTATTTGAAATTCAAATATAACTGGGTATCCTGTATTTTTATTTGCTAAGACCTGACAACACTCATGGGAGGAAGCCCCCGAGTGGGAAGAAAGGTTAAGGTAGAAAGGGAGATCCCAGGATTGCTTTCTGGGGTGCACGCCTCCCTGCACCCCACCCCACAGATATTTAGACTTTGAGGCAGGCCTTGGGCTGGCAGTGCCCCATCATCAATGGGGGAGCTGTAAGTGGCTGCGAGGGGAACCAGAGCAAACCCCAACATAAGGCATGGCAGAGAAGAGGCACCCTGCTGCTCCTCCACATTCCCAGTCACCTGTGAGGGCCTCCAGTGACCAGCATTCCAAGATCCTCTCCCCAGCCAGCAGCCACTACTGGCAGTGACTATGTGGAAGCTCCCAGTGCCCTTGGTGGGTATGAAACTGCTGGGGTCCATCTCTAACCTGGCCCAGTCTTTGCAGGGAAGGATGATAAATGGCCACTTGTCGCGCCCGTGCCCACACTTCATGAAAGTGTCCAGGGGATGGTCAGTCCACCTCAGATCGCCCTGGCAGTCAGGGCTGGCATTCCACACGTCTGGGGGGCAGCCTGAACTTTGAACACCCCACCCTCAGGGGTTACCTAGCTGACCCTGCAGCAGGGATCTAAGCCTGTGAGGATGGCAGCGAGTCCCTGAAGCCTGGTGACCTGAGCTCCGGAGCTCCGAGAGGATGGCTGGCTAGATATTTAGTTCTCTCTCCTATCTGTGGTAATGACTAGCAAAAGGGGGCTGGTCGGGTTCTTTCCAGGAAGGTAACATTGTCACACAGCATAGAGTAAAGGGACCCCACAACCTGCTGGGCAGTGCAGTAGCCCCAGGCCACACCTCTGTGAATGGAGCTTCCTGGTCTGGGACCCCAACTGGGGCGAGCGAGGGGTGAAGTGAGCAGTGCACAGCACATGGCATTCCCACATCCTGCACCCTCCCACCCACCCTTGCCTCACTCATGCCGGGCCCTGGGGGTGGGATGAACTGAGAGCCAGAAGTCCCACGTGAATGCAAAGCACTTCCACCCTGCTCACCTCCTACCACACCAAGTGCTGTGGTAAACACGCTCTCCCAGAGATGGGCCGAGCCACGGGCTGGGCATGGATTCTCACCATCATCTGCATTTAGAGGATACCAGGACACAGAGGGGCTGAGGGGCCCGGCTGCCACATGCACTCACATCCTCGGAGGCGTCACCCTGAGTTCCTCTTACTGGGACCCCAGAAACAAGTCATCCCCTAAGAAACCCCAGAGTCCCAGAGTGGTGCCTAGCTGCCTGGCCCTGTTCAGCTCTCACAGGTCCTGCCTACGATGGTGGAGGTGCTCCCTCCTTCCCTCCCTCCCTCCCTCCCTCCCTTTTTCCCCCGCCCTCCTTTCCTTCCTTATGGGCCAAGTGCATGTGCCTGCTCCACTGGGTGGAGCAGAGTGATCAGGACCCAAATTAAGGGACTCCTGGGGCCCTGCAGACATGACTCCTCCCGGCTCAGTGTTTGCCAAACTTAGACTATGATCCACTAAGGTTTGGACATAAGCTCAGTGGGCGGCGATTCCTAGAAAATAGGAGTGTATCACACGTAGGGTGAGTGTTTCATGAAAATGGCATAAGTTATACACATACATGAATAAATGTACATACATCTGTACATGCATGAATACAGCAACTATGAATGTATACTTTAATTTTCTGTAGAGATGGGGGATGAGTGTAGGGTGAATGTGTCTCGCATAAGGGTGAGTGTTTTTGTGAAATTGGTGCCAGTTTTAGATATCTGTACACGCCTGTGCATACACATGCATGTGGGGGTGCCGTGGAGATTGCATCATCTCCTGTGGGTCACAGCCAAAGACGTCTGAGCAACTCTCTTTTATTCTGTTTACTTCAAGAGAAAGAAAAAGTAACAAGCCAAAAGCCCCTGGGCTTCTCAGGAAACAGGCTGAGGGACACTTTCAGCACAGGATCGGAAGGTCTGGGGGTGGAGACACATCCTTTGCCCGCCACAGACACTGGAGGGCGTGTCGACATTGCCTGCAGATGTCCAGGAAAGAGCTTGGACCCTAGGGGGCGGAAAACCGTGGGTCTGTGACCTTGACAAGCTCTCCAGCCTCCCGGATCACCTTCCTTGTCTTCCTTGTCTTCTTTGTCACCTGTAAAAGATCGAGAGCCTCTTGAGGCCGTTTTGAGATTAAACACACCACCTGCGAAGGGTCCTAAGCATGACCCTAGCGAGACCCTTCTCCTAGTCATTCTCACAACCAAAGGTTTTCAGCTTGAAGAGAAAGCCCGAGCTGTCCCCAGTGTCCCTTACTGTGACAAAGGCCCCTCGGAACAGCCCCGCCCCCACAGCCTACAACACATTGAAAGGACAAAACATAGACAAAACTTAAAAGAAGTAAAAACACACACGTTGCACCCGCCCCGTCCCTTAGCGTGCATAAGATATACACAGGAAGGAAGTGGCCAGGGTGATTCAAGGAGGCTGAGCTGCGACGGCTCAAGGAAAGGAATATTTCTGACAAGTCCGCCTTGACTGTGGTTTTGAACATGATTTCAGCCCTAGTTTTGGCCAGTCCCCCGGCCCCCGCCAGCACTTGTGTCTGCAGTCTAGACACAGCAGCAAAGGGGGACACCCATGCAGGAAGGCGCCCAGTGGGCTGCCCCATGGCCTTGGGGTTGGAACCAGGGCAGGATGAGCAAAAGCTGCTGCGCGCCGGCATTGACGGGGGGCTGTGGCTGGGGCAGGGAGGCGTGGGCTGCTGCCCAATCCACAGGGCTGAGGATGAAGGGGAGCTCCAAGAAGCCTGCTTCCCAGTATTTTCCCAGCTACTGACTCACAAACAAACCTGTTTTTGATTTCTGCTCTTAACCCGCTTCAGGCCCTAGCAGGTCCAGCCCTGTGGAACCAGGGAGCTCCAGACACGTCATTCTCAAACTCAAAAGTCCCTTCCACGCCCCTGAGATAGCAAAGACCCAGTTCCAAGCCTCTCCCACCTCCATCCACAGCCTCTCCTGCTTTCCAAGCCTTTCCACACCCCAACTCTGGCTCAACTGGGGGCAAGCACCTGATTCGAACCTCCCTTGGGGGGTACTGTTGGTTCCCGGCCCTTCTTCCCAGTCCTCTATAAAAGGCCTGCCCATCCCCAGAGCCAGCTCAATGCCACCTCCTCTGTGCACCTTCCTGGCTCTCCAACTGGCAAGTCTCTCTCCTGCTGCCACTGATCCTGCATTTTACTGTGTGGGCAGCTGTATGTCCAGCTGTGTGCAGCTGTGTGAACCTGAGCAAGTCACTTACCTCTCTGAGCCTCATTTCCCCATCCGTAGAATGGGGATATTGAGAGTTGTCTGCTGAGATGAAGTAACGGACGCGAAGCAACGAGCCTGGCACACAGTCTTGGCACCAGCATTGTACCACCAGTGGCAATGATGGCAGGCCTCTTACCCTCCACTAGGTGGGAATCTCTCTGGGGTAGGACTTGGCTGTTCTCTCTCCATCTTCTCTTAGTTCTAAAAAGATTTCCTACATCTGGCAGGTGCTCAAAAAAGAAATGTGAGGGGTGGTGTCTCCTGGTGGTCTGGGGCCAGAAGATTCTTCACATGGCGAGGGCAGATAAGACCCTGAGCTAGGCAAACCACACCTTTTGCAGGAGGGGCAAGAGCGGCTGTGGGGCAGCTGTGGCCTCGGCTGCCAGGGACTGGCGTGGGACTGATGTCCCTTGCATGGAGCCTGAGTGGCCAGTCAGTGTCAGCCCACACAGGGGCACCACTGCTTCCAGACCAAGGGCTCAGGGAGACCTCACAGGGCTGGGCTCTCAGGGCAGAGGTATCTTTGAGATGACATTCCCTGGGGCCCACAAAGGTGCCATAGTCTGAGCCCACAGGCTGGACGGGCATCCTAGCCCATAGCCTTCAGTAGAACGGGAGGTGGGAAACAGGTGAGTCCTTCAGCAGTCCTGGCTCACTGCCCTGATCGCATGTACAGGGTGCAGAGCACACAGGGACTGGGGAAGGGGGGGACCCTGGTGGAAGAGAGTGGACTCCCTGAGAGAAGGGAACACAGCTGACAGCCCAGGGAGACCAAGGTGGCTAGGGTTTTTAGGACAGAGGACCTAAACAGAGAGAGCTGGCAAAACACAGCCCTGGACATCTGCAAAGGGACTCCTCGGTTATTCACCTCATGTGTGTGGAGAAACTGCCTGGGGCCAGGGAAAAGCCACCGCATGGAAGTAAAGAACAGCAGCTGGAGCTCCCAGGGGGCTCCCACCAGCCAGAACGCATAACTCCTGATTCACTGGCCATTGGGCACAGTACTCAGTGGGTAGCCTAAACTCAGCCCTGGACTAAGCACTGCTCCACGCCCACCTAACAAATCATAAAAGCAAGACCCAACAAGATCAAACAGTTTCTCAGTAGCTTCATTGTATCTCAGAAAAAAAGCTCAAGATTATTTATGTGTTTATTTTTCTGCTTTGTTTTGAGGCAGAGTCTCGCTCTGTCGCCCAGGCTGGAGTGCAGTGGGCGCTGGAATCAGGCATGTGCCACCATTCCAGCTAATTTTTGTATTTTTAGTAGAGATGGGGTTTCACCATGTTGGCCAGGCTGGTCTTGAACTCCTGGCCTCAAGTTATCCGCCTGCCTCGGCCTCCCAAAGTGTTGGGATTACAGGCATGAGCTACCGCACCCAGCCTAAGATTATTTATAATAATACAAAAATATCCAGCATCCAGCATGGTAAAATTCACAATATCCAGCTTCAAATGGAAATGACCAGGCCAGGTGCAGTGGCTCATGCCTGTAATGCCAGCACTTTGGGAAGTTAAGGCAAGAGGATCGCTTGAGTCCAGGAGTTCAAGACTAGCCTGGGCAACAAAGCAAGGCCCCATCTCTACAAAAAAAATTAAAAGTTAGCTGGGTGTGGTGGTGCATGCCTATAGTCCCAGCTACTCAGGAAGCTGAGGCAGGGGGATATCTTGAGCCCAGGAGACTGAGGCTCCAGTGAGCGGTGATCACACCACTGCACTCCAGCCTGGGCAACGGAGTAAGACCTTATTTAAAAAAAAAAAAAAAGGAAAGAAAGAGAGAACAAGAAAGAAAGCAAGAAAAGGGAGGAATCAAGAAAAGGGAGGGAGGGAGGGAGGGAAGGAGACAGAGAAAGAAAATGACCAGGTATAGGAGAAGGTGTGGCCCGGTTGGCTGGTATGGAACCTTCTACGGAGGGCAGAGGCCATGTCTAGATAGGAAAACAGGGAGCAGAGAGAGGCGGTCAGGAAGGAGCCCCCTTTCCAGTGCAAGAGCTCCAGGAAAAAAAATTCTCAACTTCACTTCCCCTTCCAGCAACCTTCCTTTTTCAGCAAAACGACCTGAAAGGTTTTGTAAGTGCTCTGATTTCTCTCCTCCTTTCTCTCTAGTCTTCCTCCTTATTGTGAAATATAACATACATCCAGAAAAATGTTTAAAATGCAAATGTTCAACTTAGCAAGTTGTTGTAAAGCAAACACCTGTGTAGCCACCACTTGCATCCATCTGTATCCCACCTCCTCCATCCCCGTGCCCTTCCCCAGATCTCTGCCACCTGGCATTCCCAGTCAACACTTCCTTCCTTCCGTTGCTTTAGAGTTGACCACATAAGCAAGCGTCCCTAAATGATAAGGTCGCATCCGCAAGTCTTCGCAGGGTATAGAAATTGAATCGTGCAGTGTTTGCATGGTTTGAGATCTGGCTTCTTTCTCTCAAGATTATGCTTTTAAGATTTGGCCAGGCTGGGCGCGGTGGCTCACGCCTGTAATCCCAGCACTTTGGGAGGCCGAGGCGGGAGGATCACAAGGTCAGGAGATAGCGACCATCCTGGCTAACACGGTGAAAACCCATCTCTACTAAAAATACAAAAAATTAGCCGGACATGATGACGGGTGCCTGTAGTCCCAGCTACTCAGGAAGCTGATGCAGGAGAATCGCTTGAACCTGGGAGGCGGAGGTTGCAGTGAGCCGAGAGCACGCCACTGCACTCCATCCTGGGCGACAGAGGGAGACTCTGTCTAAAAAAAAAAATTTAACCATGTTGCTGTAGGCATTTGCAATTCATTTTTGCTGCAGCATAAAATCCATTATATGAATATACATTTTTTAGTCCATCCTACTGTTGGTGGACATTTCTGTTGTTTCCATTTGAGAGCTGTCTTAGTCAGTGTGGGCTGAGATAATAAAAAATAATAATACCACACACTGGATGGCTTAAACAACAAGCACTTATTTTTCACAGTTCTGGAGGCTGTAAGTCTGAGATCAAGGTGCCAGGATAGTTGGGTTCTCGGTGAGGGCTCGCTTCCAGGTTGTAGACTGCCATCTTCTCATTGTGTCCACACATGGTGGAGTGAGAGAAAGAGGCAGCAAGCTCTTTTGTGTCTCTTTTTTTAAGGTCACTAACTCCACCTGAGAGGTCCACCCGTATGACCTAATCATCTGCTGCATGCCCCATCTCCAAATACCATCACCTTGGGGGTTAGAATTTCAACGTATGAATTGGGGTGGTGCATATATACTCAGTCCGTAGCAGGGGCTATGATGAATTGGAGGCTCATGAGTGTACTTGTCTTCAGCTTTAGTGGATACTGTTACATCCTCCTCCAAAGAATGGAGATTCTACCACCAGCAGTGTTCTGAGTGCCTATGACTTCAAGGTCTCACCAATACTTGGCACTGTCAGACTTTCAGAATATGGAATGATCTCATTGTGATTTGAATTTACATGATTAAGGAACATTTACATGTTTATTGGCCATTTAGATATCTTCTCTTTCAACTTGTTGAAACATTTTGTCCATTGCTAACCTTTGAATGTGTCCCCTAGAAAGTATATGTTGGAAATTTAATCCCCAAAGCAACAGTGTTGAGAGGTGGGGCCTTAAGGAGAGGTGGTTAGGCCACGAGGGCAGAGTGAATGAATTTGTGCCATTATCATGGAAGTGGGTTTGTTTTCAAGGGTATTTTACTCTCTCCCTCACCCTCTCTTTGCCCTTCCACCATGTGATGCCTTCCAACATGTCGTGATGCAGCAAGAAGACCCTTGCCAGATGCCGGCCCTTTAATCTTGACTTACCAGCCTCCAGAACTGTAGGAAAATTAATTTCTGTTCTTTATAAATTACCCAATCCTTGGTGTACTGTGATAGCAGCATGACACAGACTAAGACACCCATTTTTTCCCCTTTTACTCATTGTTCTCTCTCTTATTGATTTTTAGGTGTACTTTATATATCTAGATATGACCTCTTTGCTGGGTGTATGTACTGCAAATATCTTCTTTCACTTTGTGACTTAGCTTTTCACTCTCTTAATAGTGTCCTTTGATGAAGAAAAGTTTCTTAATTCTAATGAATCAAAATTATCAAATGTCTCCTTTATCATTAGTGCTGTTTGGACCTTGTTTAACAATCTTCCCCTTCCAACCAAGGCAACAGAGCATGATCTTTAATTTAAAATAAAAGAATCAGGCCAGGCACGGTGGCTCATATCTGTAATCCCAGCAGTTTGGGAGGCCAAGGCGGGCGGTCACAAGGTCAGGAGATCGAGACCATCCTGGCTAACATGATGAAACCCTGTCACTACTAAAAATAACAAAAAATTAACCAGGCATAGTGGCGGGTGCCTGCAGTCCCAGCTACTCGGGAGGCTGAGGCCGGAGAATGGTGTGAACCTGGGAGGCGGAGCTTGCAGTGAGCCGAGATTGCGCCACTGCACTCCAGCCTGGATGACAGAGTGAGTCTCCATCTCAAAATAAATAAATAAATAAATAAATAAATAAATAAATAAATAAATAAAAGAATCTTTCTCTGTGCTAAGATCATAAAGTTAGTCTCCTGTATTTTCTTCTACAGATACATTGTTTTGCTTTTCATCTTTATTTAATTCTGGTAAAATATACATAACATTTACCATTTTAACTATTTTTAAGTGTACAAGTCAGTGGCTTTAAGTTCACTCATATTATTGTGCAGCCTTTACCACTATCCATCTCCACAACACTTTCAGTTTCCCAAAGACAAATTCTGTACCTATTAAATAATAACTCACTATTCCCCCCTCTTCCAGCCCCTGGCATCTGCTATTCTGCTTTCCATCTCTATGAATCTCACCATTCTTGGTATCATATGTAAGCGGAATCGGGCATTATTTGCCCTTTTGTATCTGGCTTATTTCATTAGCATAGTGTCTTCAACGTTCATCTGTGTAGTACCAAGTGTCAGAATTCCCTTCCTTTTTAGGGACTTCTCATGGTTTTAAGTCTATCATTTTTTTCCACCTGAAAACGCTGCACTGAAAACGCTGTCCTTTCCCTGCTGCTCTGCACTGTCACTTTTTGTCATCAATTAAATGAACATACAGAATGCAGCACTGTACAGCGCCCCATCCTTAGAAGACTCCTGTACTTGACTTAATGCGTTAGGGGTGCTGTCCCAAAATTCTTAATAGTTTGTGAGCAAGGAGCCTTGCATTTTCATTTTGTATGAGTCCTGCAAATTATGTAGATCATCTTGCCAACTACACATTGTCTGAATAATGATAGTTTCATAGTAAATTAGTTTTATGGTAAATTTGAACTCTGGTAGAGCAAATCTTGCTACTTTCTTCCACTATATCTTCAAGAATGTCCTGGTTATATTTGGTCTGTGGCATTTCTTTTTCTTTTTCTTTTTCTTTTTTTTTTTTTTTTTTTTTTTGAGATAGAGTCTCACTCTTTCGCCCAGGCCAGACTGCAGTGGCGCGATCTCGGCTCACTGCAAGCCTCCTGGGTTCATGCCATTCTCCTGCCTCAGCCTCCCGAGTAGCTGGGACTACAGGCGCCCGCCACCACGCCTGGCTAATTTTTCTGTATTTTTTAGTAGAGACGGGGTTTCACCGTGTTAGCCAGGATGGTCTTGATCTCCTGACCTTGTGATCTGCCCACCTCGGACTCCCAAAGTGCTGGGATGACAGGCGTGAGCCACCGCCCGCGGCCGGTCCTTGGCATTTCTATATAAAATTTAGAATAAGCTTCTGAAGTTCTACCAAAAAACCTGTTGAAATTTTGACTGAGGTTACATTAAATCTAAAGATGAATTTATGATAAATTGACCTTTAGGATACTGAGCCTTGCAATCCATAAACATGGTTAATTCCTCCTAATATTGAAGTTTCTTAACATTACAAAATATTTTGTACTTTTATCCCTACACATGTTGTGCGAGAGACATGATTTTTCTTAATTGTGGTAAGAAAAATCTTGCAAACTGCAGCTCTATACCCACTGAACAACAATGATCCTTTTCCTCTCTCTTCCCAGGTCCTGGCAACCACCATTCTACTTTCTAAGAGTTTAACTACTTTAGATACCCCTATATAAGTAGAATCATGCAAGACTTGCCTTTTTGTGACTAGCTTATTTTGCTTAGCATAATGTCTTCAAGGTTCATGGATGTTGTAGTATAAGACAACATGTCTTTTTTTAAAAGAATGGATAATATTCCATTTGATATGGTTTGGGTCTGTGTCCCCACCCAAATTTCACGTTGAATTCTAATTCCCAGTATTGGAGGCAGTGCCTGGTAGGAGGTGATTGGATCATGGGGACAGATTTCTTCCTTGGTGTTGGTCTCATGATAGTGAGTGAGTACTTGGAAGATCTGGTTGTTTAAAAGTGTAGCACTTCCCCTCTCTCTCTTGCTCCTGCCTGGGCCCTGTAAGACATACCTGCTCCCAATTTGCCTTCCACCATGATTGTAAGTTTCCTTGAGGCCCCCTTGGAAGCAGAAGCCACCATGTTTCCTGCACAGCCTGCAGAACTGTGAGGCAATTAAACTTTTCTTCTTTATAAATTACCCAATCTTGGGTATTTCTTTATAACAGTGTGAGAAATGACTCATACACCATTGTATGTGTATACCACACTTGCTTATCCATTCATCTGTCCATAGACATTTAAGTTGTTTCCACATCTTGGCTATTGTGAATTTTGCTGCAATAAGCATGGGTGTGCAAACATCACTTTGAAAGCCTGTTTTCAATTTTGAATCTATACTCAGAAGTCAGGTTGCTGGATCATATGATACTTCTATTTTTAATTTCTCGAGGAATCGCCGTACTGGTTCCAATTTTTCTACATTCTTGCCAACACTTGTTATTTTCTGTTTTTTGTTTTGTTTTTTGTTTTTTGTTTTTTTACAGTGGTCCTCCTAAGGGGTGTGAAGCAGTATTTCACTGTGGTTTTCATTTGCATTTTTCTGATGACTAGTGATGCTGTGCATCTTTTCATATACTTAGAGAGGTAAAACCAGTGAGAGATGGATGGATAATAGATAGATGGGGGATTTATTAGGGGAACTCGCTTACATGATTATGGAGAGTGAGAAGTCCCACAATAGGCTGTCTGCAAGCTGGAGACTCCTGAAAGCCAATAGGGTTGCTCAGTCCAAGTCCAAAAGCCTCAGAATTTAGGAAGCTGATGATGTAAATCTCAGTTCGAGGCTGAAGGCCTGAGAACCCAGGGGACCACTAGCATAAGTCCTGGACTCCAAAGGCTGGAGAGACTGGAGTTCTGATGTCCAAGAGCAAGAGAAGAAGGGTGCCCCAGCTCTAGGAGAGAAAAAGAGATACTTGCCTCTTTACTGCCTTTTTTGTTCTTTCCAGACCCCAGCTGCCTGGGGTGCCTGCCCACAGTGAGGGTGGATCTTCCCTATATGGTCCACTGACTTGCACACCAATCTCCTCTGGAAACACCCTCACAAACACACCTACAAATATTGCTTTATTAGTTCTCTAGACAATCCTTACTCTAGTCAAGGTGACACATAAAATTAACCATCACATATATTTTATTTGGAGAAATGTCTGCTCAAGTCATTTGTCCATTTTTTAATCAGGTTATGCGTTTTTATTGTTGTTGAGCTGTAAATGTTCTTTATATATTCTAGATATTAAGTCCTTAACAATCAAATGGTTTGCAAATATTTCTTCCATTCTGTAGGTTGCGTTTTACTTTCTTGATTGTTTTATTTGATGCACAGGGTTTAAGTTTGATATAGTCCCATTTGTCTATTTTTGCTTTTATTACCTGTGTTTTTTGTATCATATCCAGGAAAGTATTGCCAAGTCCAATGTCAGGAGGCTTTCCCTCTGTGTTTTCTTCTAGGAGTTTTAAAGTTTCAGGTCTTATATTCAGGTCTATTATCTTTTTTAAGTTAATTTTTATAAATGATATAAGAATCAAATTTCATTATTTTACACTTTTCCTTTGGAACTAGGTAACAGGCAGTGGTTGGAACAGTTTGAAGGGCTCAGAAAAAGATAGAAAAATGTGGGAGAGTGTGGAACTTCCCACAGACTTGTTGAATGGCTTTGCCCAAAGTGCTGATAATGATATGCACAATAAAGTCCAGGCTGAGGTGGTTTCAGATGGAGATGAGGAACTTGGGAACTGGAGTAAAGGTGACTCTTGTTATGTTTTAGCAAAGAGACTGGAGGCATTTTGCTCCTGCCCCTAGAGATTTGTGGAACTTTGAACTTGAGAAAAATAATTTAGGGTATCTTGTGGAAGAAATTTCTAAGCAGGAAAGCATTCAAGAGGTGACTTGGGTGCTGTTAAAGGCATTTAGATTTTTTTTCTTTTTGAGACGGAGTTTCACTCTTGTTGGCCAGGCTGGAGTGCAGTGGCGCGATCTCAGCTCACTGCAACCTCCGCCTCCTGGATTCAAGCAATTCTCCTGCCTCAGCCTCCCAAGTAGCTGGGATTACAGGCATGTGCTAACACGCCCGACTAATTTTTGTGTTTTTAGTAGAGACGGGGTTTTACCATGTTGGCCAGGCTGCTCTCAAACTTCTGACCTCAGGTGATCTGCCCGCCTCAGCCTCCCAAACTCCTAGGATTACAGGTGTGAGCCACTGCACCCAGCCACTGAAATCTTTATATTCATCAATAAGGCCCACAGATCTTCCACACTGGCATTGGTACTATTCCAGAAAGCAGGCTTTGGTTATGGTCTTGCCTTCCTCAAACATCATTTGACCACATATGTGAAAATTTATTTCTGGGATCTCTCTTATATTCTATTGGTCTATAGGTCTTTATGCCAGTATCATACTATTCTGATCACTGTCAGAGTAGTATTTTGAATTGGGAAGTGTGAGATTTTCAGTTTTGTTTTCTTTTACAGAATTATTTGGGCTATTCCTTAGGATTCTTTAGGATTCCATATACATTTTAGAAAATTTTTTCTATTTCTTCAAAGATGTCATTGGATTTTGATAAGTATTGCAGTGGATCTGCAAATTTCTTTGGGTAGTATGAACATTTAACAGCATTGAGTCTTCTAATCTATAAATGTGAAATATCTTTACATGCATTTATATCTTCTTTAATTTCTTTCAGCAATGTTTTGTAGTTTTCAGTATATAAGTCTTTCACCTCCTTGATTAAGCTTATTCCTGAGTATATTATTTTTTTCAATGCTCTTGTAAATGGGATGTTTTCCTAATTTTCTTTTTAAATTGTTCATTGTTAGATATAGAAATAAAACTAATTTCATGTGTTGATTTTTGTACCCTGCAACTTTGCTAAATTTGTTCTTTAGTTCTAAGAGCTTTGTGTGTGTGTGTGTGTGTGTGTGTGTGTGTGTGTGTGAAATCTCTAGAATTTTCTACATATAATATTATAAACAGAAGTATTTTTACTTCTTCTATTCAGATTTAGATGCCTTTAGTTTCTTTCTTCTTGTCTAATTCCTCTAGCTGAACTTCCATTACTATGTTGAATAGAAGTGGCAAGAATGGGCATCTTTGCCTTGTCCCTAACCTTAGAGATAAAGCTTTCAGTTTTTCACCACTGAGTTTGATGTTGGCTGTGGGCTTTTTGTATACACTTTAATATGGTCAGATAATATCTTTCTATTGATAGTTTGTCAGGTGTTTTTATCATGAAAGGGTGTAGAATTTTTTTCTAAGGCTTTTTCTGCATCAATTGAAATGATCATGTGGTTTTTGTCCTTCATTCTTTTTTCTTTTTTTACTTACATATATATAGAACAGTTGGAACATAGTGTCCTCCATTCTTTTAATGTGATATTACATTGTTGATTTTCATATGTTAAACCATCCTTGTATTCCAGGAATAAATCCCACTTGGTCATGGTGTATAAACCTTTTAATGTGTCATCGAATTTGGTTTGCTAGTATTTTGTTGAGGATTTTTGCATCAATATTAATCAGGGAAGTTTGTAGTTTTCTTTACCTGTAGTATCTTTGTCTAATTTTGGAATCAGAGTAATGTTGGTCTCATCAAATTCCTTTTTCTTCAATTTTTTAAAAAGTTTGCAAATAATTTATATTAATTCTTTTTTAAGTGTTTGGTAGAATTCTCCAGTGAAGCCACCTGGTCCTGGGCTTTTCTAGGTGGGAAAGTTTTTGGTTAGTGATTTAATCTCTCTACTAGCTTTAAATCTGTTCAGATTTTTTATTTCTTCACGATTCAATATTGGTAGGTTGTATGTTTCTAGAGATTTCTCTATTTCTTCTAGGCTATCAAATTTGTTGGCATTTGTCTCAAAACACTTCCCAATTTCTCTCGTGATTTCTTCATTGATCTATTAGTTGTTCAAGAGTGTATTGTTTAATTTCCCCATATTTGTGATCTACCCGTTTTCCTTTTGCTATTGATTTCTAGTTTTATTCCAACAAAATCAGAAAAGACAGTTGGTATGATTTCAATTTTCTTAAATTTAAGATTTGTTTTGTGGCCTAACATGTGATCTATCCTGAAGAATGTTCCATGTGAGTTTGAGAGAACATTTATTCTGTAGTTCTTAGAGTATTCTGTATATGTCTGTAGGTCCAACTGGTCTATAATGTTGTTCAAGTTCCTTTTTTTTGAGATGGAATCTCACTCTTGTCACCCAGGCTGGAGTGCAATGGCACAATCTTGGCTCACTGCAACCTCCGCTTCCTGGGTTCAAGCCATTCTCCTGCCTCAGCCTCCTGAGTAGCTGGGATTACAGGCACCCACCACCACACCCGGCTAATTTTTGTATTTTTAGTAGAGACGGGGTTTCACCATATTGGCCAGCCTGGTCTCGAACTCCTGACCTCACGTGATCCACCCACCTCAGCCTCCCAAAGCGCTGGGATTACAGACGTGAGCCACAGCACCCGGCCCAAGTTATCTGTTTCTTTATTAATCTTCTGTCTGGTTATTCTATGCATTATTGAAAGCAAGGTATTAAAATCTCCTTCTATTACTGTGTTACTGCCTATTTGTCCCTTCAATTCTTTCAACATTTGCTTCATATATTTGAGTGAGCTACAGATATATATATATACGTATATATGTATATATATACATATATATACGTATATATACGTATACGTATACGTATATATACGTATATATACGTATACGTATACGTATATATACGTATATATATGTAATTGTTATATGACTGGAAAATTGATTCTTGCTTTTTTTTATTTGAGAAGGAGTCTCACTCTCACCCAGGCTGGAGTGCAGTGGCGTGATCTCAGCTCACTGCAACCTCTGTCTCCCAGGTTCAAGTGATTCTCCTGCCTCAGCCCCCTGAGTAGCTGGGACTACAGGTGTCCACCACCAAGCCCAGCTAATTTTTTTTGTATTTTTGTAGAGACAGGGTTTTGCCATGTTGGCCAGGCTGGTCTCAAACTCCTGTCCACAGGTGATCAGCCCACCTCAGCCTCCCAAAATGCTGAGATTATAGGCCTGAGCCACTGCGCCCAGCTGAAAATTGATTCTTTTATTGTTATATGTTCATTTTTGTCTCTTGTGACAGTTTTTGTCTTAGAGTCTATTTTGTCTGATATAAATTGGCCAGCACTGCTCTCTTTTGGTTGCAATTTGCATGTAATACCTTTTTCCATTCTTTCACTTGCAGCCTGATATGGTTTGGCTCTGTGTCCCCATCCAGATCTCACCTTGAATTGTAATAATCCCCACATGTCAAGGGCAGGACCAGGTGGAGGTAATTTGATCATGGGGATGGTTTCCCCCATATTCTCATGGTAATGAGTGAGTCTTAGGAGATCTGATGGTTTTATAAGCATCTACCGTTTCCCCTGCTTGCATTCACTCTGTCCTGCTACCCTGAAAAGAAGGTGCCTGCTTCTCCTTTGCCTTTCACCGTGATTGTAAGTTTCCCGAGGTCTCTCCAGCTATGAAGAACTATGAGTCAATTAAACCTCTTTCCTTTATAAATTACCCAGTCTTGGGTATTTCTTCATAACACTGTGAGAATGGACTAATACACAGCCTATATGTATCTTTGTATCTAAGGTGAGTGGGTCTTGAGGTTCTGAAAAATCTATTGAACCACTCTATTTCTTTTTTCTTTTTTTTTGTTTGTTTGTTTGTTTGTTTTTGAGATGGAGTCTTGCTCTGTCACCCAGATTGGAGTGCAGTGGCATGGTCTCAGCTCACTGCAACCTCCGCCTCCCAGGTTCAAGCTATTCTCCTGCCTCAGCCTCCTGAGTAGCTGGGATTACAGGTGCACGCCACCATGCCCTGCTAATTTTTTATATTTTTGGTAGAGATGGGGTTTCATCATGTTGGCCAGGCTGGTCTCGAACTCCTGACCTCAGGTGATCTGCCCGTCCTGGCCTCCCAAAATGCTGGCAATACATGTGTGAGCCACCGCGCTCGGCCAGCCCTCTATTTCTTTTTATTTACACATATAAAAATTACTGACAGGAAAGGACTTACTTTGCCATTTTGTTGATTGTTTTTTGTATACTTTGCAGTTATTTTGTCCCTTTTCCTTTCTTGCTGCCTTTCATTAGGTTTTGTTAATTTTTTTTTAGTGACAAGTTTGATTCCTTTCTCATTTTCTTCTGTATATCTTCTACAGATATTTCCTTTGTGATTACCATGGGGATTAAGTATAATACCTTATCATTATAGCCATTTATTTTAAGCTGACAAAAACTTAATATCAATTACATAAAAAATTTTACATCTCCCCTACTTTATGTTATTTATTTCACAAATTGCATATTTTTATATTTTATGTTCATTAACAAAGTTTGATAATTATAGTTCTATTTATACTTTTTCAAATTTTATACCAGGATTAAATGTGATTTATGTACCACCATTAGAATATTATACAATTCTGTACTTTTCCATATACCTCCCTTTACTGAGTGCTTTATATTTTTTACGCCGTTGTGTTGCTGTCAAGTGTCCTTTTGTTTCAACTTGAAGAACTCCCTTTAGCATTTTTTTGTAAGGTAGATTTAGTGTGGATAAACACCTTCAGCTTTTATTTTTCTGGGAAGGTCTTTATTTCACCTTCATTTTTTTTTAATAACCAAAATGTATTTATTTAATATACATCACAATGGCTCAACCGAGGCTTAATTTAAAAGACAAAAACAAAACAAAAATAATACCACAGCTGAAGATACAGAGTCCTATACAGAAATCACAGACAGGACAGACCATCAAAGGAAAACTTAAAAAGGCAACACAAAGATAGGCAGGGAAGCCAGGCATGGTGGCTCATGCCTGTAATCCCAACACTTTGGGAGGCCAAGGCGGGCAGATCACCTGAGGTCAGGAGTTTGTGACCAGCCTGACCAACATGGTGAAACCTTGTCTCTACTAAAAATATCAAAATTAGCCGGGCATGGTGGCAGGTGCTTGTAATCCCAGCTACTCGGGAGGCTGAGGCACGAGAATCGTTTGAACCTGGGAGGTGGAGGTTGCAGTGAGCTGAGATCTCACCACTGCACTCCAGCCTGGGCAACAGAGCAAGACTCCATCTCAAAAAAAAAAAAAAAGAAAGAAAAAAAAAGGACAGTCTGGGCAGCCTGGGTCAGGGGTCCTGGCTGGTAACCTGCTTTGAATAGGTTTCTTGAAGGTAAAAGCTGTAGGGTTTTTCCAGAACTCAACAGCATGCATGTTCAAAGGGCTATCAATGTTGGGTTCTCCTAGCAGGCTCTGGATGGAGACCAGAATGGTCCTGATGCCATACAGTACAGACGACTTGTCTTTCCAGATATCCAGGCATATGTTACCCTGGGTGTCTATGTTGGGGTGGTAGCAGGGTGTGAGGAACTTCACTGTGGGCTCATTGTAAGGGTAGCCACTGGGGAACTCTAGCAAGAGCTTATACCTCAGGTCTTCATACACTGTGCCAGCTGCTCCATGGATGGTCCCTACCCATTTGAAAAGGTTGTCTGATTCAAGGAAAGCAGAAATCCCTTTGTCACCAGATATCATGAGGGTCATCAGCTCCTGCTGTAGTCTTTTGCCCACAGGATTCTGGGCAGCACCCCCACTCAGCTCGGCTCTTTTATGGGTGGCGACGACACTAGTGGCGGCTGGGTTATGGTCTTGGGAGACCACTTGGCTGCCTTCTCCTTCATTTTTGAAGAACAGTTTTGTTGGTTATAATATTCTTGGTTGACAAAAGGTTTTTTTCTTCCAGCACTTTGAATATAACATCTCACTCCTTTCCAGCCTATAATGTTTCTTCTGAGAAATCAGCTGATAATCTTACAGTAGCTCCCTTGTACATACAAGTGGCTTTTCTCTTGCTATTTTCAAGACTCTCTCTTTATCCTTGACTTCTGATACATCAAACTGTCCTTGATAGTTTGATTACAATATGTCTCAGTGTGGGCATCTTTGGGTTCTTCTTTGTCAGCATCCTTCGAGCTTCTAGAATTTGGATGTCCATTTTCTTCCTTAGATTTGGAAGTTTGGGCCATTATTTCTTCAAATAAGCTCTCTGCCCTTTGCTCTCTTTCTTCTTTTTAACTCCTATAACATGTATATTGATAGGCTTGATGATTTTTCATAAGTCCCTTATGCTTTCTTCACTTTTACTAATCCTTTATTCTTTTTGTTCCTGTGACTTGATCATTTCAAATTATCTGTCTTCAACTTCACTGATTCTTTGTTCTGCTTGATCAAGTTGTCTATTGAACCCTTCTAGCGAATTTTATAATTCAGTTATTGCAATCTTCGGCTCTGGAATTTCTATTTGTTTTTTCTTCCTTAGTTTTTGTCTCTTTGATCATATTGTCACTTTGTTAATGCATTGTTTTCTGGATTTGTTTTTAGTTGTCTATCTGTGTACTCTTGTATCACATTGAAGTTCTTTAAGACAATTATTTTGAATTCTTTTTCAGGTCATTAATTGATCTCTTTGTTTAAGGTCAGTTCCTGGATATTTATTTTGTTCCTTTGATTGGGCCATTTTTCCCTATTTCTTCACATGCCTTATTATTTTTTACTGGGATTTGTGCTTTTGAAAAACAGGCAACTCTTCAGTCTTTGTGGCCTGGCTTTATACAAGGAATGATCTTCACTAGTCACCCAGCTAGGGATTCTGGGGGCCTCTCAAGCCTTTTCTGGGGGGATGCACCATGAAATACACCAGCTCCTCATTTGCCTTCCACCATGATTGTATGCATCTTGAGGCCCTCACCAGAAGCAGATGCCAGCACCAAGCTTCCTGTACAGCTGCAGAACTGTGAGCCAATTAGATCTCCTTTCTTATTTATGTTTGTATATATGTATGTATTTTTAGAGACAGGGTCTCTCTATGTTGCCCAGGCTGGTCTCAGACTCCTGAGCACAAGGGATCTTCTAGCCTTGGTCTCCCAAAGTGCTAGGATCACAGATGTGAGCCACCACACCAAACCTAAATATTTTTTCATTATAAATTACTCATTCTTGAGTATTTCTTTATAGCAACACAAAAATGGACTGATACATAAATCCTGCTAGGAAAGCCATGGTAGCTTTGTATAAAAATTTTTGTAGAAAAAAATTTTGCTTACTGATTAAATTTATTTAGTACTATTTCTACTGTGTTTGTTTCTGTAATTAGCATTTTTTCAGTTAACTATCTTTCACAGTTTTGTGGTGTTGAGTTGTTCAGTATGTCCTCTACTTTTCATATTATTATTTGTGGGATTGATAGTGATAGTCCTCTTTCATTCTTGATAGTGTTATTTGTGCACTCTTTGTTTTTGTCCTTGAACACTGTTACTAAAGTATATCATCTCATTAATTTTTGCAAAGAAGCAACTTTTGGTTTGGTCAATTCCTTTTATTTATGTTTGTTTTCTATGTCATTAATTTCTGTTCTTGTCATCCCTGTGTCTTTCACTCTACTTTCTTTAGATTTAATATACTTTTTCTCTGATTTCTTCAAATGGATATTTTGTTTTCCTAATTTCTTCAAATAGATAATCGCTCTTTCAGCCTTTATTCTCTCTTTTTATGTTTGAAGGCTAAAAAAAATCCTCTAAAGTACAACTTTAGCTGCTTCCAACAAGATTTGATATACAGTATATGGAGAGCTTTTATGTAATTAAGTGTAAATTTTTAATTACAGTTCTTCTTTAAACCTTGAGTTACTTAGAAGTAAAGCTCTGTCATAGGCTCTATTTTGTCTTTTTATATATAGAGGTGGGTTTTGGTTAGTGTTTGCACAGTAAATCTTTTTTAGTTCTCTTATTCACAAGCTCCCTGTATCCTTGTGTGTTGAATGTGCACTTTGTCATTTAAAAAAAAGGTAAAGTTTGTTAGGTTTTTAATACACTTTAACAAACTTTTTACTTTAATTGGATCATTTAATATTGTCTTAGTCCATTTTGTGCTGCTGTAACAGAATACCAGAAAGCCGGGCGCAGTGGCTCATGCCTGTAATCCCAGCATTTTGGGAGGCTGAGGCAGGCAGATCACCTAAGGTCAGGAGTTCCAGACCAGCCGGACCATATAATATGATGAAACCCTGTCTCTACTAAAAATACAAAAATTAGCAAAGCATGGTGGTATGCGCCTGTAATCCCAGCTACTCGGGAGGCTGAGACAGGAGAATCCCTTGAACCTGGGAGATGGAGGTTGCAGTGAGCCGAGATCGCACCATTGCACTCCAGCCTGGGCAACAAAACCAAAACTCTGTTTTAAAAAAAAGGAAAAAAAAGACAGAATACCAGAGACTAGATAATTTATTTTATTTTATTTTATTTGAGACAGAGTCTCACTCTGTCACCCAGGCTGAAGTGCAGTGGCATGATCTCAGCTCACTGCAACCTCTGCCTCCCGGGTTCAAGCAATTCTCATGCCTCAGCCTTCTGAGTAGCTGGGATTACAGGCACACACCATGATGCCTGGCTAATTTTTGTATTTTTAGTAGAGATGGGGTTTCACCATGTTGGCCAGGCTGTTCTTGAACTCCTGACCTCAAGTGATCCTCCCATCTCGGCCTCCCAAAGTGCTGGGGATTACAGCCATGAGCCACTGTGCCCGGCCTAGATAATTTATTTTAAAAAGAAATTTATTTCTCATAGTTCTGGAGGCTTGGAAGTCCAAGATCAAGGGGTCAGCATCTTGTGATTGCCTTTTTGCTGCTTCATAATGTGGTAGAAGGCATCACATGGATGAGAGAGGGAGAAGGGGGCAAACCAAACTCATCCTTTTGTAAGGAACCCACTTTCATGATAACTAATCACGATAATTACTCATAACATTGCCATTAATTCATGTATTAGGGCAGAGCACTCCATAACCTAATCACCTCTTAAAGGCTCCACCTCTCAATGCTTTACATTGGGGAGTAAGTTTCCAACACATGAACTTTGAGGGACACATTCGAACTCTAGGAAACATATTAACAGTTCATGACAAAGCAAACATGCAACACACAAGTTAATGAAATTTCTAATATATCTCAATTTAAAGCTACCATCTCAATGATGCTATTTGTCTCATTTGTTCTATGTTAATTTTTCTCTCTTTTCTTGATTCCTTTGAGAGTATTTTGGTCCATTTTTCCTTTCACTATTAAGTATGATATTTGATATGGGTGTTTTATAAATGCCTTTATCTAATTAAAGAAGTTTCCTTGTTTTTAGTTTGGTAAGTGTTTTTCTCAAGAAAAGGTGTTGGAGTTTTTCAAATGATTTTTGAGATGTTCATGTAATTTTTGGTTTTTAATCTATTGTGTGATGTATTACATTAATTATTTTTAAAATGTTAAGTCAACCTTACATCTCTGCTGTAAATATCACTTGGTCATGGTGTATAATTCTTTTTATATATTGCTGAATTTGGTTTGCTATTATTTTGTTTAGAATTTTTTATATCTGTATTCATAACAGATATTGCTCTGTAGTTTTCTTGTAATGTCTTCTGTGGTATTTGTATAAGGATAATAATGGCTTCATAATGAGTTGGAGAGTGTTCCCACCCCTTTTTTAATGTGAGATATTAGCATTAATTCTCCTTTAAATGCTTGGTAGAATTCAGTGATGAAGTATTCTGGGCCTAAGATTTTCTTAGTGGGTAGTTTTTTATTACTTTGCTTCTTATAGGTATATTCGGATTGTTTATTTCTTGTGTAATCAGTTTTGGTAGTTTGTATCTTTCTAGAAATTTGTCAGTTTTATCTAATTTGTTGTTACATAACTTGTTGGCATACAATTGTTCATAGCATTTCTTTAAAATCCCTTTTACTTCTGTAAAGTCGGTAGTAATGTCTCCTCTTTTATTCCTGATTCTAGTAATTTGAGCCCTCTTTTTTTTTCTTGTTCAACCTAGAAGCTGAAAATTTCAACCTAAAAATTAAATATTTATCAATTTTGTAGATGTTTATAAAGAACCAGCTTTTGGTTTTATCAATTTTTTCTATTATTTTTATTGTCCATCTATTGTTTTTTATTCTCTATTTCATTGATTTCTATTCTAATCTTTATTATTTTCTTCCTTTGGCTTGCTTTGGGTTTAGTTTCCAGTCTCTTAAGGTGAAAGGTTAGAGTATTGATTTAAGATCTTTTTTCTTTTTTAACATAGGTATTTACAGCTATAAATTTCCCTCTAAGCACTGCTTTACTCGCATTCCTTTACTTTGGGGATGTCGTATCTTCGTTTTCACTCACATCAATCTATTTTCTGACTTCCCTTTTTATTTTTTCTTTGTCCTATTGGTTATTCAGGAGTGTTTTGTAAAATTTCCACATATCTCTGAGTTTACCAAATTATTTTCCTGCTATAAATTTCTAATTTCATTCCATTGTGGTCAGAGAACATATTTTGTATTATTTCAATTCTGTTAAATTTATTGAGGTATGCTTTATGGTTTAGCATATGGTCTGGAGAATGTTTTATGTACACTTGAGAAGAGTATGCATTTTGTCATAATTCAGTGGAATGTTCTGTCTTAGTTCATTTGTGTTGCTATAAAGGAATACCTTAGGCTGGATGATTTATAAAGAAAGGAGTTTTATTTAGCTCATGGTTCTGCAGGCTTTACAAGAAACATGGTACCAACATCTACTTCTGGTGAGAGCTATAGGCTGCTTTCACTCATGGACTCACGGCAGAAGGCAAAGGGGAGCGGACGTGTACAGAGATCACATGGCAAGAGAATGGAAGCAACAGAGAGGGGAGGAAGGGAAGTGCCAGATTATTTTAAACAACTAGCTCCCATGGGAACTCATAGAATAAGAACTCAGTCATTAATATGAGGATAGCACCAAGACATTCATGAAGGATATACCTCCATGACCCAAATGCCTCCAATTTAGTCCCTACTTCCAACATTGTGGATCAAATTTCAACATGAGATTTGGAGGGGCCAAATATCCAAACCATAGCATGTTCTATAGTTGTCTGTTAGGTGTAGTTGGTTTATAGTGTCATTCAAGTCTTCTTCTACTTCTTTATTGATCTTCTGTCTAATCATTCTATCATTGAGAGAGGATATTGAAATGTCTATTTATTTCTTCATTTCTGTCAGTTTTTTCCATGTATTGGTGCTCTGTTATTAGCTGAATATATATTTATAATTGGTATATTTTCCTGATGGGTTAATCCTTTTACTGTTATAAAGTATTCCCACTGATGTCCAGCAACATATTTTGTTTTAAAGTATATTTTGTCTATTACTGTAGCCTCTCCAGCTTTCCTATGGTTGCTGTTTTCATGACATATCTTTTTCCATCTTTTTACTGTCAATCTATTTGTATCTTTGAATTAAAAGTGTCTTTCTTGCAGACAACATATAGTAAGTAGAAGCATGTTTTTTGTAATTCAGTATGACAATTTTTGCCTTTTGAGAAATGTTTAATTCGCTCTCGCATTTGATATTATTGATATAATTAGATTTATGTCTATTTTATTTTTGTCTTACATATGTCCTGTGTTTTTTCTGTTCTTCCATTGCTGCTTTACTGCTTTTTCTGCATTAAGTAAATATTTTCTAATGTAGCATTTTAATTTCATTAGGATTTTTCCCACTATATTTTTATGTCATTTTTTAGTGGTTGCTCTAGGGCCTACCATATATATTTAACTGATCATAATCACCTTGAGACTTAAACTAGTTTAATTCCAGTGATCTATTAAGAACACTATTCCTATACAGCCCTGTTCCATGTCCCCCATTTCTGTGGTATTATTTTTATATGCATTACATCTATTAATTTTACAAACTCAATGATACATTGTTATAATCATTTTCTTAGCCCATTACATGTTTACTCCCACTTACCACCTTTGTGACGTTATTGGCAAATATATTTCACATATATGTTATAGGCTCAACAATGCATGATATACATATTATTCTGTATAATTGCTTTTAAAATAAGTATGAGACAAAAGAGAAAATATGCATTTATAGTGTCTTTTTAAAAGACAGTAACTTTCACTGATACTCTTTGTTTCTGTGGAACAAATTCTGTGGATTCAAATTACCATTTAAGGTAACTTGTTTTCAACCTGAAGAATTTTTTTTAGTATTTCTTGAAGGCAGGCCTAATAGCAAGAAATTCTCTGGGTTTTTGTTTTGTTTTGTTTTTTAACCTAAGCATTTCTTTATTTTGCCTTCATTTTTCAAATATAGCTGTGATGTATATAGGATTCTTCCTTGATGATTTTTTTCTTTGAACACTTCAAATATGTTATTTCACTGCCTTCTGACCTGTGTTTTGTTATGAAAAGTCAGCTGCTAATGTATTTGGGGTTCTCTTTTAAGGGATATGACATTTTTCTCTTGCTGCCTTTAAGATTTTTGCTTGTCTTTGGTTTTCACCATGATGTTTTTGTTCGTAAATCTTTTCTAATTTATCCTGTTTGGAGTTGATTGACCTTTCTGAATGAGTAGGTTGTTGTTTTCAATAAATTTGAGAAGTTTTCTGCCATTATTTCTTTGAATACTTTTTTCTCCTTTCTCTCCTCTCCTTCTGGTACATGGTTATATATATGTTGTTATGTTTAATGGTGTCCCGCATATCTCTGAGGCTGGTTTTTTTGTTTGTTTTTTTGTTTTTTTTTTGTCTATTCATTTTCTCTCTGTTCTTCAACTTGAATAATGAGCTGACTGTGGTATTGTTAGCACTCTCTTTCTGTCTCTGGCCACATCCAGATGTGAAACCACTAATTGCTCAATGATTGTTCTTTTGTTTTCAAGAGTGCCCTGGGGCATTGATGCCTCTGCAAAGACATCCGATCAAATTGTGATTCCTTTGAAGGAACCGTTTCTGAGGTCTAAGCTTCATATTTTTCCCCAGGAACTCAGAAGTGCTCCTCCCAACTGTCTTGTTCCTCAGTTCTGTCCTGAAAACTATCCAGCCTGGTTTAGGCTTTCTCTTCATAAATTCATGAATCTCCTTTCAGATGCCTTTCACTACAACTTGCACTGTTCTCTAGAGGCCCTTGGGTTTAAACTTCTCCACATTCTGTTGCACAAGAAGTCAATTCCAATGAGAAGAGATTGGAAGCTATCTGTTTTATGGCCTTCGTCTCCAATCGGGCAAAATTTTTAAGAAGAAATCACGAGCTGGAGGTGTGGAACATGATAAGTTTTTCTTTCAGTGACACCTAAACATGTAGAAGTTCCTCCTCCTCTTTGCTTTTTAAAGTGGTGATTTTAAAATTTTTAATTGCAGTTGTGCATGACTAGTAGCAAATCAATTAATTTTTGTTTATTAAACTTGTATCCTTGTATCCTAGCTAAACTCTTTTATTAATTCTAGAAGTGTTTTTTTTTCATAGTGGTTTTTTTTTGGACTTTTCCGCATGTACAATCATGTCATCTGTTACTAGAGGCAAATTATTCCTTTACAAACTACGATATTTTATGTCTTGTCTTGCCATGTTACACTGGTGTTTTAGCCCATTCAGGCTGCAGTAACAAATTACCATAGACCAGATAACTTACAAACAACACAAAATTATTGCTCACAGTTCTGGTAATTAGAAAGTCTAAGATCAAGGTGCTAGCACATTTGGTGTCTGGCAAAAGCTCCTTTTTTTCAAAGATGGCAGCTTCTAGCTGTGTTCTCACATGGTGAAAGAAGCAAACAAGCTCCCTTGAGCCTTTTTTATAAGGGCGCTAATCCCACTGAGGAGAGGAGAAAGCTTCATGACCTAATCCCCTCCCAAAGGCCCACCTCTTAACATAATTACATTGGGGAATTCAGTTTCAATATATAACTTCCTGGGAGACACTAACATTTAGACCATAGCAGCTAGCTATGATTTCCAGCACAATGTTGAATAGGAGTAGTAAAAGAGGACATCCTTGACTTGTGTCTGATCCTTGGGTAGACATATTGAGTCTTTCACAACCAAATATGATGCTAGCTTTGGTTTTTTGTACCTACCTGTTTTCATATAAAGAAATGTCCTATTTATTTCAAATAGATTGACAGATTGGATTGAGAGTTTATTTTTTCATCATAAATAGATTGTGAATACTGTAAAGTACTCTTTATACTTCTATAATCATATGGTTTTCTTTTTTAAAAAATTTTTGTTTGGGCCAGGCACAGTGGTTCATGCTTGTAATCGTAGCACTTTGGGAGGCCAAGGTGAGTGGATCACAAGATCAGGACATGGAGACCATCCTGGCTAACACGGTGAAACCCCGTCTCTACTAAAAATACAAAAAAAAAAAAAAAAATTAGCCAGGTGTGGTGGCAGGCGCCTGTAGTCCCAGCTACTCAGGAGGCTGAGGCAGGAGAATGGTGTGAACCTGAGAGGCAGAGCTTGCAGTGAGCCAAGATCGCGCCACTGCATTCCAGCCTGGGCGACAGAGCGAGACTCCATCTCAAAAAAAAAAAAAAGAAAAAAAAAATGTGTTGGTATGGTAAGTTACATTGATTGAATTTCGAATGTTGATTGAGCCTTGCATTCATGGGATACACACACTAGATTGTAATATATTGTTGACTTTATAGCAGCATCAACTGAAACAGAAAAAAAAGATTTATATATTGCTGGATTCAATATGTTAATTTATATTGATGATTGTTGCATCTATAATTGTGAAGGATAACAGCTTGTAGTTTTCTTCATCTCATTGGAATACTGGACTGATAAGATGAGTTCTATTTTCTGGAAGAGATTGTGTAAAATTGGTATTATTTCTGCCTTAAATGTTTTTAGAACTAACCTGCAAACACTTCTGGGCATGGCATTCTCTATATAGAAAGCTTTTAACCATAAAATCAATTTCTAATTTCTTTATAGATAGAAGACTGGTTTTTTTCTTCAGTGAGTTTTGATCATATCTTTTAAGGAATTGATCCATTTTACTCTGCTTATTTGAAGCATTTTCACATTATCTTTTCAGTGTCTATAGGGGTCTGTAATGATGTCCACTTTTTTATTCCTGATACTGGTCAGTATGGCCGGAGATCTACAGCCTAATTGTGTATTTGTTCATTTTTCCCTTCAGTTCGATTCACTTTTAGTTTATGTATTTCGAACTCTGTTGTTAGGCATATACATGTTTAGGATTGTTGTGGCTTTTTGGAAAACTGACTCATTATTACATTATGTCCTCCTTTATCTCTGATGATATTTCTCATTCTGAATTTTACTTTGATGTTATAGGGGTGTGTGTGTGTGTGTGTGTGTGTGTGTGTGTGTGTGTGTTGGTTGGTGTTTACTGTCTGCATGGTATATCTTTTTCCATCTTTTTAGTTTAACTCATTTATATCTTTATATTTAAAGCAAGTTTCTTGTTGACAACATACAATTTGGATTGCCTTTTTATTCTGCCACTTGGTCTCTGTTTTTTAATTGATGCGTTTAGTCCCTCTCAATTTAAATTGATTATTGATAGATTTTGATTAAAATCTTTCATCTTGCTACCTGTTTTCTTTTTGGTCCCTCTGTACTTTTTTATCTTTCCTTTTTTTAATGCAGTCTTTTGGGTTGCTGAAGACTTTTTATTGTTCAATTTGATCCCCATTATTGCCTTATTATTTATAACTCTTCTTTATACTTTTGGTGGTTTTCCTGGGTTTTATAATATACATATTTTTATTAATCAGAGTCTACCTCCCAATATTATTCCATTTCACATGTAGTATAAGGAGCTTATTGTTATATTCTCAATTATTTCCTCCATCCTTTCTGCTATTGTCACACATTTTACTTTTCCATATGCTATAAACACATGATACACTGATCTTATAGTTTGCTTGAGACCGTTGTCTTTTAGAGCAATTAAAATTAAGAAAATTTTTAAATAGACTTTATTTTATGTACATTTGCTTCATTTCCAGAATGCTTTATGTTTTTCTGTAAATTCAAGATTCTGTTGGTATCGTATTTTTTTCTGCCAGAAGAAATTCCTTTAACATTTCTTATATTGCAGGGCTGCTAGTAGAAAATTTTCTCAGTTTTTATTTATCTGAGAAAGTATGTCTTCTTCATTTTTTAAAGATATTTTGCTGAATATAGAATGCTGGGATGACAGTTTTGTCTTTCTGTAGTTTAAACATGTCACTTTATTGTAATCTGGCTTGCATGGCTTCTGAGGTGAAGTGCACTGCAATTCTCATCTTTGTTTCTCTGTATGTAACGTGTCCTTTTTCTCTGGCTGTCTTCAGGGTCTTTTCTTTGTTTTTTGTTTTTGGAAACTTGAATATGACATACGTAAGTGTGGTTTCTCTCTTCCTTCTTTCCTTCTTCCTCCCTTTTCTTCCTCCTTTCTCTCTCTTTCTTTCCTGCTTGGTGTTATCTAAGCTTCTTGAATCTATGGCTTGGTGTCTGTCATTATTTTTGGAAAAATTCCCAGCCAACATTTCTCAAATATTTCTTCCCCTTATTCTCTTTCTCTTCTCCTCTTGGGATTTGTATAATGCATATATTGCATCATTTGGTATTGTCCCACAGCTCTTAGATGAACTGGTTTGTTTTGTTTGTTTGTTTTTTGGGGTTTTTTTGAGTTAGAGTCCTGCTCTGTTGCCCAGGCTGGAGTGCAATGGCACAATTTTGACTCACTGTGAACTCCGCCTCCTGGGATCAAGAAATTCTCCCACCTCAGCCTCCCGAGTAGCTGAGATTACAGGCATGCACCATCACCCCTGGCAAATTTTTGTATTTTTAGTAGAGACAGGTTTTCGCCACATTGGCCAGGCTGGTCTGGAACTCCTGACCTCAGGTGATCCACACACCTCAGGCTCCCAAAGTGCTGGGATTACAAGCATGAGCCACCATGCCTGGCTGGTTTGTTTTTTTAAAACTGTTTGTTGTTCTTTGTTTTTCTATTGACTTATGTTCAACTTCATGTTGATTCTTATCTTCACTGTGTCTAGTCTACTGATGAGCCAGTCAAAGGCATTCTTCATCTCTCTCACTGTGTTTTTCATTTCTAGTATCACCAGTTGATTCTTTCATACAGTTTCCACCTCTCTGCTGAATTATCCACCTGATCTTGTATGTTACCGGCTTTTCCTTTAGAGCCTTTAACACACTAATCATTACAATTTTAAGTTCCCTGTCCGATAGTTCCAACATCTCTTGCTTTCTCATATGGCTCAGAGTTTTTGTTTAAAAACAAACATTTAACAGTAGTGACAGAGGTAAATAATTTTCATACTTGGAAATGAGCACAACTTTCCTTCTAGGTCTTTAATGTGGGGGTTCTATTAATCTAGTCAGGAGTTGAGTTTGATTTGAGATTTAACATTGCAATGGTTATTCTCATTATATAACAGACTTCAAATTCTAGTGTTACCTTGTGTTTAGAATGGGGGCTATTTTGCGAGAATTTTAACTTCCCTTTCTCATAAGGATGACACTGTTGGCACTCCTCCATCCCCACATTTTAAGTTTTTTCCCATGGATGGTGAGGGACAAGGGAGGGATAGGGGAGAAGTGACCTATACCACCAGGAACAGGAAGCTTTCTCAAGAGTCTCCTCGGTCTTCTCTGTGACTACCTGGTGAGAAACAATTCATCTTTTAACTTCATATGTGCAATTTATATATTATATGCAACATATGAAATCTATTAATTGCTCTATTAATTTTATAACCTGCTGTCTTGCAGAATTCTTTTATTTTTTGTGGTGGTTTTACCAACTATTTTACAATTTTGCTCTCTAGGGTTTTCCAGATGTACCATTTTGTCATCTGCAAACAGAGATAGTTCTTCTTTTTCAGGTTTTATGCCTCCAGTTCTTTCCTCTTACATGATTGCATTGGTTAATATATTAAGTAATAATAGAGCTAAGAAAATGTTTGCCTTGTTCCTAACCTTAGTAGGAATGTCTCTAGTGTTTCCTCATTAAATAAATCAGTGATTTTAGTATGAGGTATATACATGGTTTATCATGATAAGGATATATCCATTCATTTTTTCAAGACTGTAAGTACAAATGGGTGCAAAATGTTTCCAAAGGCTTTACTGGTCTCTGTAGAAAGAGTCAAATAATTTTTTCTCCTTCAACTTATTAATGTGGTTCATTTTATAGTATATTTCTTATTATTGAATCATCTTTGAGTTCCTGGTATGGATTTGCTTTTCACTGCAATATTGATTTAGTTCTGTAGTTTGGGGAAGTCTTTATTTTTCTTTTTCTTGATTTTTACTTTCTCGTGACCAGAGTATTTCTCAAGTGTATGTATTTCCCCAGAATGAGTTCATGGGTGGTTAACTTTTAAAATCTTTTCTTAAACATAAAACATTATTTTTGCTTTCATGATTAATAGTTCAGCTTACTGTATCATTTTTGAGACAAGACAGTTTTCCCTCCAGCCTTGAAGGAAGCCTTCTATTTCTCCTTAGCACATCCTCCTGCTGAGCTTGTTTCTCTGCCCATGACCTGTGCCACCCCCTCCCCTTATCTTTCTCGTAGTTCATGGCAAAATGCCCAGGTATTGATCCTTTCTCTTCTTTTTACTTCTTTTTTATAGAGAAGAGGTCTCCCTGTGTTGCCCAGGCTGGTCTTGAACTCCTTGGTTCAAGCGATCCTCCTCTCTCAGCCTCTCAAAATAATGGGATTACAGGTGTGAGCTACCACACCCAGCTATCTTTTCTCAATCATCCTATCAAATAACTTGAGAAAGTTTTAATTTAAAAACTGTTCCTCCTTGTTTAGCTCTGGGAAATTATTCCCCCAACATTTCTTTATTTCCCCATGTAGTAGACAAAATAATGGTGCACCAAAGATGTCACATCCTAATCCCTGGAACCTACGAATATGTTATCTCACATGGAAAAAGGGACTTTGCAGATGTCATTTAAAATCTTGAAATGGGGAGATTTTTCTGTATTATCCCAGGGAGCCCAATGTAATCACAAGAGTCCTCATAAGAGGGAGGCGAGAGGGCCAAAGTCAGAGAAGATGATGTGACAGCAGAAGCAGAGGAGATGGTGGTGCAATGAGGGAGGCAGGAGTCAGAGTCAGAGGGAGAGATCTAAAGAGGATACACTGACGGCCTTGAAAATATATAGGTCTACAAACCAAAGAATGCAGGCAGCCTCTAGAAGCTGGGAAAGACAAGGAAACAGATTGTCCCTTAGAGCCTCCAGAAGGAATGCAGTCCTGCTGACACCTTGATTTTAGGACTTCTGACCATTATAGCTGTAAGAGAATAAATTTATATTGTTGCAAGCCATTAAGTGTGTGGTTATTGGTTACCAACTGGTTATTGGTTATTGGTTACACTGCACTTCCCTCCATTCTTTCTTTTTTTCTGTTCATTCCTTCTGAACTCCTAGCAGACACATTTTACGTCTCACTCTGTCACCTAGGCTGAAGCACAGTGGTGTAATCTTGCCAGGGTTGGTTATAAACAACAGAAAGGCAGTTTCTGCCTCCCGGGTTCAAGCGATTCTCCTGCCTCAGCCTCCCAAGTAGCTGGGATTACAGGTGCCTGCTGCCTCACCTGGTTAATTTTTGTATTTTTAGTAGAGATGGGGTTTCGCCATGTTGGCCCGGCTGGTCTCAAACTCCTGACCTCAGGTGATCCGCCTGCCTTGGCCTCCCAAAGTGCTATTATAGGTGTAAGCCACTGTGCCGGGCCTATCAGACACATTTTGACACCCTGGATTGATGCTATGCATCTCTCACCTGCCCTGTCAGACTCTTCAGCTTTTTGTCTTCTTGCCCTACAGTCTGGGAAGTTTAACTTTACTTTCCTATCCTCCTCCTGATTTGTTTTTAATTTTTATCATCACATTTTTAATGTCTCTAAACTTTTTTGATTCCCTGATTTGTCCTTTCTCTAGTTTCCTGTTCTTGTTTTGTGGATGCAACATCTCCTCAAACATCTCTTGAGATGTTAATTATGACTCTTATTCTATTCATTGCCTTTAGTATCTATTTCTTCCAGGGACAACTGTTACTTTTGTTCCTCTTGGTCCTTCTGTCTTGTGACTGTTTTCCTTGTTTGCCTATCATGTACACAGATGAAAGATAAGACTTATGCATACAGATAGCTGCCAAGGGTCCCCTTTGTGGTTCCGGGGTCTGTTTACTCAGCAGGCCTCTCCCCTTCCTGGGAAGGCTGGCTTGACTTCTGCTTAGTCGGGTGAGTCACACCTGGCAGCCCTCACCAGAGGGTACCCAGCTTCCTCATCTTTACAAAAAGACCAAACTACCGAAGGCTTTACTCCAGCATATACTAACCCTCCTCCTAAGTTCACTTCTATTTCCTAGCAAGATGTTTTCATCAGTTCAGGTTGTTACAATAGAATCACACAGCCAGGGTTGGTTATAAACAGCAGAAATTCATTTCTCACAGTTCCAGAAACTGGAAAGTCTAAAATTAAGGCGCCAGCAGATTTGGTGACTGGTGAAGGCCTCTTCCTGGTTCGTAGACCGCAGTCTTCTTGCTGTGGCCTCACCTGGCAGAAGAGGAGAGGGGGTTCTCCAAGCTCTTTTCTTTTTTTTTCCTTCTGTTTTTTTGAGACGGAGTCTCGTTTTGTTGGCCAGACTGGAGTGCAGTGGTGCGATCTCGGCTCACTGCAATCGCTGCCTCCCGGCTTCATGCAATTCTCCTGCCTCAGCCTCCAGAGTAGCTGGAATTACAGGCGCACACCACTACGCAGGCTCTTGTTTTCTAAGGCACTAACCTCATTCATGAGAGCTCTGCTCGCATGACCTAGTCACCTCCCAAAGTTTCCTCCTCCTAATACCACCACAGTGGGGTGAAACTCAACATATGAGTTTCAGGGGCACATGGTTCCATCTACAGCATAAGCATATCATTGGTTTTATCCTACTACAAAACAGTACTCGTAGCCTCTTTGAGGCAGGGTGGAGCCTGGGATTAGAGCAAAGAGCTCCCCCCACTGTTCTCTCCATCCATACCCCTGAGTGAAGACCCTAGGCTCCACTCTTCCCAAACTGTGGACCCTAACCTTGCAGCCTTTCCGTGTCGGGAGTTGGTTCTTTCCAGTGGGTTCGTGGTCTCGCTGACCGCAAGAATGAAGTCCTGGACCTTCACAGTGAGTGTTACAGCTCTTAAAGGTGGCACGGACCCAAAAAGTGAGCAGCAGCAAGATTTATTGCCAAGAGCAAAATAACAAATACACCACAACAGGGATGGGGACCCAGTGGGTTGCCTGCTGCTGACTGGAGGGTGGCCAGCTTTTATTCCCTTATTTGTCCCCACCCATGTCCTGCTGATTGGTCCATTTTACAGAGTGCTGATTGGTCTGATTGGTCCATTTTACAGAGCACTAATTGGTCCATTTTACAGTGTTCTGATTGGTCCACTTTACAAAGCACTGATTGGTCCATTTTAGAAACCTCTAGCTAGCCACAGAGAGCTGATTGGTGCGTTTTACAATCCTATCTACAGAGTGCTGATTTGTGCATTTTACAATCCCTTTGTAAGACAGAAAAGTTCTCCAAGTCCCCGCCCCACCCAGAAGTCCAGCTGACTTCACCACTCATTTCCAGCTGGTAGAGGTAGCCTTCTACCCAACCTCCTCCCTTCTACCCTTCTCCCTGCCACATACATTCACTCCTGCACACTTACGGGGCTCCAGTGCCCTCTGCTTTGGTTTATAAACCAACACCATCATGCCTGTTTTTTATTTTCTGGAAGTCCATGATAGCCGCGGGCCCACTGGTAACTTGCCTGTGCCCCACTCTCCTTCTCACCTCTGCTTGGCTTATGCTACTTGGCCATGTCCAGGGAGTTCGGAGAGGAGAGGGAAGCAAACGGGGTGTTCAGTCTGCTCTGTGGGCACCTATGCCGACCTGCTTAGTTACCACTGTACTTGTGGTAACATGCCAGTGTGTAGGAGGGGTCCTCTCCCTGACAAGGACAGAGCCATCCCACAGACGAACTGCCTTAGTGCAGCTGGCGCTCCAGTCCGGGATCACTTACAACCACTGGCTAACCTTTTTCATGAGAAACATAATTGGCTGTAAACTCTCTGAGGGTGGTGAATCAGTTAGGACTATCTCTGACTATGGGTTGAAAAAATCCTAACATAATAGTGGCTTAAGCAAGAGAGCAGTTTACTCAATGTGGGAGGCAGGAAGTCTAGATCTGTTACAGGGGCTACACTGTGATGGGGACTCGGGCTCCATCTATCCAGTGCTCATTATCCTTGTGTGGCTTTAAATACCCTTGTGTGACTTCCATTCCCACGATGACCCATGGTCCAATGTGACTGCTGCAGCTCCTGCCATCATGTCCACACTTCAGCCAGCAGGAAGAGAAAGAAGGAGAATTGGCTCATCCACTCATTTACAAGTTACTTCCTGGGATAGAAGTAGTTCATGACACTACTGCACACCCCATCAGACAGAATTGGTCCAGGTAGCCACACGCTGAGCTAAAAATCAAGGGTTTCATTATTAAAGATGGGAACATGTATGGTGGGGCCTCTAAAGCATCCCCAGCCGACAGCATATCTCGTTTGTGATTTTACTCCCCCATCTAGAGACAAGAATTCTGGAGTCATGATTCATCGATTATTTGCCAGTCACCCAGTTTCACTGTAGCCTTTGACTTGGAGTATATTGCCCAGAGTTATCCGGACCAGAGCAAAAGATCTTGCCCCAAAACTGCTTCACAGCAGAAAAGACACTAAAAGAATGAGGGGAATCAGCAGACGTATCTATACTCAAACATTTTGGGGATCAAGATAGACTGACAGTTGGAACTGGCAATCGAGCCGTAGAGAGAGAGCAAATGGGAAGCAGCTTGTGTTCCCCAGGCCTGGACTAGCATGCCCTTCCTGGCATCCATTTTTCCTGCTGGGCCCCAAGGGACCTGGCCCTGTGCGTCAGTTCTGTGGCTGCAAGGGATAGCGAGGCTGCTTACGAAAGAAGAAAACAGTTCACGAGTCCCATTGCCCATCCCTCCAAGGCAAACACTTAAAAGTTGTTTTTTTTTTTCCCACATTTTAGTATTTCATATTCCGATAAGACCCATATACTGCTGTTGGCTGAGCCAGAACAGCCTACACATCCCAGGGGAAAGAGGACCTTCTCTGACAGAAACAAGTCTAGACTAATGAGCCGCAGAACTGAGTGTCTGGTGATAAGCTGAGAACACTGAGCCTGCCTCCCCAGGCTCCACCTGGGGCTCTGTGCAGCA